>NC_000023.11:149930151-150233181 GCF_000001405.40 Homo sapiens
TCCCTTTTCTCTCTTTCTCAAACATATCTTCATAGGACACCAATTTGAATAATATACTGTAAGAGCTTAAGTGTCAAAGATAGCATTTGAAAATGTGAAATATTGTTTATTGAAAGATGAAAAGTATAGAACTTAAAAAGTATGGATTTTGATATTAAACTGCAACCCCCTTAGAGATAATGTAAGCATCATATTTTGCAGACCTGCATATTACCTCTACGGGGTTGCAGTTTAATATCAAAATCCATGCTATTTATATATTACTGCCTTGATCTATGAATTGTTTATCTTTAGTCAGGTCATGCTGTAGAGCATAACCACACTTGCTGCCACTTAAAGCATTCTTTTCTCCATTGCAAAACAAAATCATAATTTTGAGAGGTGGGAAAGGAATAATTTATCCCAGAACAACTAACATGTTTCATTTTGTTTCAGATCTACTGCAACTCCAATTTTCAGAGAGACAAGCCCAGGCTCCTGGAGAATATCCAGAGAAAGGATGCCCTCAGAAACACCGCTCAGCAAGCGACCCGTGTCCCAACTCCAAAGAGAAAGAATCTGGTAGCTACAAGACGCTCCCTACGTATCTATCACATCAATGCCAGGAAAGAAGCAATCAAAATGTGTCAGCAGGGAGCCCCCAGTGTTCAGGGGCCCAGTGGCACCCAGTCCTTCAGGCGCTCTGGCATGTGGTCCAAGAAGAGTGCCACTAGGCATCCCCTGGGAAATGGGCCCCCTCAGGAACCAAATGGCCCAAGTTGGGAGGGCACCTCTGGGAATGTCACATTTACATCTTCGGCTACTACCTGGATGGAAGGCACAGGGATTCTTAGTAGTCTGGTTTACTCAGATAATGGTAGTGTAATGTCTTTGTACAATATCTGTTACTACGCTCTGTTGGCCTCCCTCTCAGTCATGTCTCCAAATGAGCCCTCTGACGATGAGGAGGAGTAGGAAGGCTCCTCAGATTACAAGTGTAGACTCTGTGAACAGTTCAGACACACTGCAAATTCGTGAACTCACAGGCCACTAATGGCCCATAAAAGTTGCCATTTTCTAATGAGAAACACATTTTTGGTCTTAATAAAGAAAAACAAAATTCCATGGAAATAAATAATAAACAATTTAAATGAGAACTGTTGTCTGTGTTTTTTTTTAACCTTCTATATTATATACATCTCATTGGCAGAAACCAGGGGAGGCTGGAAATCCTGTCCAAGACAGGCTTTGGTCCCCATTGTCCTCGTTTATTTGGAGAAGCAGCATTTTCACACACTCAGCAAAGGATGTTGCTAGGAAGTGTCGAGGCCAAGCCCAGGAAGACCTGGTCCCCTGAGATTGGCCTGCTGGTCAGGAGAAAGAATAGACGCCTGATTCCGGCAATATCTTCCTGTATCTTCAAACAGGAGATTGTTTCCTCATGGGTCCCTCCCAATGTTGCCAGGAAGTGTCTGGTCAGCAGCTCAGCATCCCTAGCCTAGCATCCAGGGGCCTCCAAAGAGGCCCACTTGAAAGTCAGGCCACCCCATCTGCCATGGGATGTACAACCACCATAACATCCTGGCTCAGAAGAGAAGGGCCACTGCAGTCAATACCTGGGGGGAAATGCCCATCATCCTCATGGATAACAACTAGAAACTTTGCTAAATCACCAAAAAAAAAAAAAAAAAAAAAAATTACTACAAAATAAAACAACACTACTGATCACATTTCCAAGTTAACCTCACTCTACTAGAGCTGTATTTTGGATGTATTGCTAGGATAGGAAGTAGCTGTGTGATGCAGGTAACACACATGCTTCAGAAACTGACAGACACTTTCAGAAGAGTGAGAGTAACCTGAAAGGACAGACAGCTGCTCTAAGTCTGACGTCCTCTTCATCCTGGATGAGTCGGTTGATTAACGGCTAGTCACTACCAGGCAAACATTCAGTGCCAGGTCCCAGACTTTCTGTAATGTCGCCTGGATGCTAGTTACACATTTGATGAGTTTTGACCAGAACAAATCAGGGGAAAACATAGAACAAAGCCTCAAACACTAACCAGTCATCTACAACACATTTATTTGTACAATCCAGAAACTAGCAGGACCAAAATTAGCAGCAATGCTGAGACATTTACTGGCAGCTTTGCCTTCTACCCTAAGGTCAAAGTACTTGAGACATTGCCTGTGTGCCTAAGGAGGCATCACACAAGGAAAGCCCCACCCCCTACTTCCTTCATCTGAGCAAAGGAACCTGTTTACATGCACAGTGCTTAGTGGGTGGGACTCTCCAAAGCAGTGGAAATTCATCTTTAACCTAATTTATACAGGTCTGCGTCACGATGGCAAATTGAAGGTGCCATGATTTAGCTGGTTTCTCTGGAACATTCCTTTCAGGAGCCCACACTTGTCACACTTCATGCCCCAAAGGGATCAGGTGCTCTGGGATGTCTACCTGGAATACATCCTTGCCTCCTTTCCTAGGTATGGGCTCCAGTAACCACCTGGGGTTTGAAATCACAGTCAGGTACTTCTGCTTCAGGTTGGTCAGTGCAGCTTGATTTTCTAGTTCCACAACCTCATCGGGAGTTAAGTCTTCGGGGCATTGCAAAGTTTCCCCAATGTCAACGAGTCCTGTACACAAAGAGAGATACACATGAATGCCTTTCACTTCCATAGCCCAAGGCCTGCCCATGTGACAACACAGTTACTCAAAGTCACAATCAATAGAGAGTAAGACAGCATCAGCAAAATGACAAGAAGGGAGTCAAGTCCTTCTTCCGTAGCTTTGATAACGAACCAAACCCGATTCAGGAAACGCTGGGAGAGGCAGGGGGAGGGCTCCAGAAAGGCAGAGGAGAGGGCCTTGTCCTCATGAAGCCACACAAGTAAGAGGCAGGTCCAAGCCAGACTTCTGAGAGCAGCGGTTGCAGATTGGAAGGGCACCAGCCACTGCCTGGGAAGCTACAGGTGATGCCTGAGCAGGTCACCAGGGGACAGATGCTGATGTCGGGCCTCAGTCACCTAGAGGTTAGGGGACTTTCCCAGGGTGCTGTGAGTGGTGGGGCTGGGGCAGGTTCATGAAGCCAGGCGGGCAGCCCAACTCTAGAGGCCACCTGACCCATTCGGCGGGCTGGGCTGCTTTTCATGGTCTCTGCCACACATGTGCACTCACACATGTATGTGCAAATACACACAGCCAAACACCACAAACACCATGTGCACATGGCCCTGACCAGGCTTCTCACTGAGATCAGAAACAGAACTGCGGCCCAGAGTGGAGAAATGATTTACCAGAGCTTGCGGAAGCCAGCCATACCAACCCCCAGCCCAAGGTCCTTGCCGCCCCTTTGAAGGTGTGTTGCCAAAGGAAACTGTGTTATACACGCCAATCAGTTCAGATGACAAGAGAAGCCCCCAAATTCCCAAGCAAGATCTTGGGCAGCAGCCCTAGGCGTTGTCTGCGCATTTGGTACATTGTCACTTACCCGCTATCACTCCTCGACCAAACTTTTCCCCTTTCCTGAGCAAGGCCTGAATCTGAGCAGGAGTCATCCCGAGTCTCTCCACCAGCAGCTCCCGACAGGCATCGCCTTCCCAGTCCCTGTGAGCAATGTGGACGGCGATGGTACAGTTCCGCTGGCTGCTCAGCAGAGGACGCCAGCGCGTCTCCACAGTCTTGATTCCATTTAAGACAAAGCCAGCATAAGGCTGCCGGAAGGAGAGGCAGCCAAACTTCATCTTCGCAAGCGCCCCGGGCCTCCCGTAGCCTGCGGAAGCACAGAAGCGCATCACACGCCAGCCCTTCAAGCTCATGGGCAGTGGCCTGACCTTCCCCCCGTGTCTCTCAGGTGGCCTAAATCGCACTGACCTTGATGGTCTGCTGCTTCCGTCTGTCACTGATGTCGAGCACCACAGCAGGCCCAAGGGAAGGGGCTAGGATTCGGCTGACTCAGGTCCATCCCATGGAGTCTTTGGGGCGGTCCGGAGTAGGGCGGGGACAGCTAGAGGAAGGCACAGGCAGGATAGCATGTGGTCAGTGCTATGACAGAGGTCACCGAGCCCTAGGGCAACACAGAGGACAGAGGGCCCCCTCGGCCTAGCCAGAGCGGAGAGTCGGGGCTGGTGTTAGCCCTCTTCCAGCACAGAGGGACAGTCCCACGCTCTGCTTCTCTTCCCTTTCCCCTGCTGTGCCCTGCCAATACTCTCAGTGCCCTGGCCCTGCCGCCACCAAGGCACTGACCTTCCCAGCTCCTACTCCAGGGCTGCTGAGCCCACATCGTTGATATCCAATCTCAGCTCTGTCCTCAGGATGCACCGTGACCTCAGATGGCCCTCAGTCAGACATCTCCTCTCCACCCCTCTGGGTGCCACCTTCCTCAAGCCCCTTCCCCCACCACTGCTCTCCACTGTCAGCAGACGCCCCTGTCCCAATCTGAGCTGAGAAAAGAAGAATGATAATCAGAACAACTGGCAACCCCCCACACATGCCTTCCACGTGCCAGCCTCTGGGATGGCATGATCTTCAGATCATCAAATTGAATCTTCAAGTAACCCAGCAGGGTCAGTGGTACTGTGAGGCCCACTCTATGGCTGAGGAGAATGAGGCACCAGCCCACAGTCACACGGGCTCTGACTTCCCACAACTCTTGCCCAGCCTCCTGCGTGTGTGGCTTGGGAGAGGGTCCCCTCCTCTTGCACGGAGGACAGCCCTGTGCCTTGGAAGGAACCCTGGGCTTGAAACCAGAACCTCAGCCCAGTCATAGACTCTTGAGATGCCTCAGTTTCCACATGGCTGTGAGGAAGGGAGATAAGGCACCAAGAGCACCCAGCCCAGTACGTGGCACCTAACAGAACAGTCAGAAATAGTGGCCGCCCTCACCCCTCAGGCCCGTGGCCCCGCCCCCTGGCCCTGAACTCCACCCTTGAGCTGCCCCTACTCCTCTCTCTGTCCTTCCTTTCAACACATAAACGCAACCTCTAGTACGCTCTATGATTTTAAGAAAATATACCCACCCTCATGAGACAAAGCCCTGATAGGGCCAAAGCTGCCTGGTATTCACTCCTTTCCCAGTCTGCACTGCAGCCTTCTGAGCTCCAGATCTCCTGCTTTTCTCCCGCCTCTGGGGTGAGCTGCCTCAGCTGAGCCGGTTGCCTGCTGTGCTCTGGACCCTGCTCCTCTGGCTCACTCCGGGCCCTGGGTGCCACCAGCCACCATCTATGCTCGCTCAGCATCCCTACTCTGAGCACACGCGCGCCTCCCACTCTGCCTCCCTTCTCTACAACCCTGAACAGCCGAGACCTCAGAAGAGCTGTCTACATGCGCAGTCTCTACTTCCTCTCTGAACCTTCTGCCCCCACCCCCACCTTTCTCCCTTTATTCCCCACCCCCCCCACCACCCACTCCACTGACTGACCTATCCCCACAAGCACCCATGGCCGGCCTCATGCCAGTCCTGTCTTCATCTTAGTCCATGCTCAGCAGCCCCAGCATGGCTGGGCACACTCCTTCCCTTCTTCTGGGACCCCCATGTTGCTCACCGTCCTGCTCTGAATCCCGTGGTGCAGGCCACCCCCCTTCAGACTCAGCCTTAGGTGGACAGGCCCATACATACTCAGGACCCCAACCATCACCACCAAGTCCACCTCCCTTCCACCTCTGTGAGTGGCATCACCAGCTACAGTGTTCCTGCCCCAGACCTAGCTGCTCTCTGCCCTGCCTTTCTTTCCCACATCTGCGGCCCACATCCCGTGGCACTGTGTCCAAAACCGACACTGAATCTGATCCCTTTCCATAATCTCTATGGCCACAATCCCAATCCAATCCCCTAAAACCCCCTGCCTTCTGAAGAAGTCTCCTGATAGCACCCCCACCCCCCCCCAGCACTTGTCCTCTGCACTCTTGTGACCACACTGCCATCGGAATGATCTTGGTACAGGGACAATGAGATTATGTCACTCCTCTACTGAAACCTTTCAAGGGCTCCCTGCCCCAACTAGCACAGAATCCACACTTCCTCTCAGGGCACTCAAGGTCCCTCCTGATCTGGTTTCCCACCCCAGCCACGTCCTCTCCTCTCCCCTTTATTCACCACCCTGAAGCCACACAGGCCTTCCATCCCCTGAGGGAACATGCCAAGCTTGTTTCTACCTCAGAGCCTTTGTCAGTTGTGATGGGTTGCATTGTGTCCTCTTAAAATGCGTATGTTGAAGTCCTAAACCCCAGCACCTCAAAATGTGGCCTTATATATAAAAACAGAGTCATTACAGAGGCAATCAAGTGAGACTGAAGCCATCAGGGCGGACCCGCATCCAATGTGGCTGGCGTCCTTATGAAAAGGGGGATTTGAGAGACAGTCACGCACACAGGGAGAACACCATGAGAAGATAAACGCAGAGATAAGGGAGATGCTTCTACAAGCTAATGAGTGCCAAAGATTGCCGGCCAGCCGCCTGCAGCTAAGAGAAAGGGACAGACCAGATTGTCTTTCACAGCCCACAGAACAAACGAACCTGGCCACCACTTTGATTTCAGACTTCCATCCTCCAGAACTGCGAGACAATGATTGTCTGTTCTTTAAGCCAGCCCCTTTATGGTCCTTTGTTTCAGCCATCTTGGCAAACTGCTGTTCCCAACACATCTGCACAGGCTAGGGCACGAGTTTGCCATTTGACAGCACATCAAGCCCATTCTTTCCACCTGACAATCTTCATCTACCTTGTTTTTCACTGCCTGGGTGATATCCCATTGTTGGTCGTCTCATAATTTGCCTGACCATTCCTCCACTGATGGAGAGTTACAAGTTGCTTCCCACTTTTGCCACTAGAAATGACATTACTTCTAACACTCGCTGTGTGAAGACATGCTGAAGGAAATGCCTCGGCCGCCTGGCACGCCCATCTAAGATGCTGATATCTGCCAGCAAATGACTTTCCACAAAGACTCACCCGTGTACCCTCCACCAACCCATCCATGGTGCCATTTCCTCACACACTTGTGGCCCCTGAGCATGATTATTCTTCTGATGAGTGACCAAAGATAACCAGGTTCCTTGGTTCTGGATTACTTCTGACGGAGGCTGAATGTCCCCCACAGGGCCTGGCCACTTCCATCGGGATAAATGGCTACAGTGAATGTTTGCCTCTTTTCTGCCGCCCAGTTTCTTAGCCAACCCTTTTCTCGTCATCACCACAAAATCACAACAACTGTGTGTGTGTGGAATCCCTAGTAGGAACTGATGTAACTGAAAAGGCAAGAAGGGGGTTGAGTCCCCTCCTACCTGGTGCTGCAGAGAGTACCTGCTTTACGGCCAGAGGAGGAAACACTCTTCCACTTGGTTTCTTTACCTGCACAACAAGGAAGATAAAGAGGAAAGGTCATTAAATGCAAGTCAGCAAAGCTGGTTAATGGCCCTAGGAAGGTCTTCTACTCAGCAGGCATTGGAAACCAAGAGCTGGGAGGGCCGGTCCTAAGAGTAACACATGTGCACCTCACTCACGGTTTGGTTCTGCTAATCAGAGCGGTGGGACCCTCCACATCTGTCTGGGTCACAGGGTGCACCAGTCCGCAGAGCAGAAAATCATTTCAGCAAGTTGAGTCACATTCCTACAGCTGAGCACGCTCCATCCGAGGGGAGAAAAATCACACTTCCCCTCCCATTGTCATCGGACGAGGGTTTGGGGGGCCTAAATCCCATTGTCCACTGCTTAATTCTGGTTAGGTCATGCTGAGCACGGGGCCACAGGCCACAGAGCTATGCACCGCCCGGCCTGGGGTCCAGGCGAGCTTACAGCACAGGGGCCAAGCGGGAGGCAGGGAAGACCGGGCCGAGATGGGGCCGCTGTGTGTGGAGCAGCACTTGCAGACGCAGGTCGCGGGTACACGCGCTTAGAAGGAGGGGGGCCGAGACCATGGGGAGAGCAAGGGACACCAAAGGGCGCTTCGGGCGCGCCCCGCACGGGTTCTCTGCCCGAAACCCAGGGGAAAGAAACCCCAGCCCGCAAGTACCGTCTGCAAGAGGGCCGAGCACACGGGCTCCGGCATCAGGGGCCCTGGTACCTTTCAGCCGCGGCCGGTCTCACGGCCTCTGGACCCTGAGAGTCGTGGGCGTTCAGGGCCGACTCTGGCTTTTGGCCTCAGAGTACAGTCCTCCGCCTCCTCGCGACCCAGCGAGGCCACCGGAGCCAGCGAGGAGACGTGGGCCGCGGTGAGAAGAGAGAGCACCCGGCTCGTGTCAGGGCTGTAAGGTAGCTGCCGCTTACTCCCGGAAACCGGTGGCCAGTGACAGATGCTAGCGGTCCATAACTTCGGCTTTCATGCAGCTCCCGTCGTCCCTTTCATGAGGAACGTACGTGTGCGCGTAATCACGCACGTACGTACACCACGCACGTACGCAGGAGGCCCGTATTCAGCCACGCCTATACACCGCCAAATCGCTAGGAAGCCACGTATTCACGAAGCCACGCAGTGACGTCGCCACGCACGTACGCACGCACTTGCCACAAGGAGACGCTGTTCAGTTTACCGGATCCTGTCCCGCGCCAGCCAACCAGGACAAGGCCGGGGAGCTCGAGACAGGCAGCCTAGACCAAGAACCGGAAGGAGGAAAAGGAACCGGAGGGAGGAAGAGGAGGGGCGGGACGAGACCACCAGGCAGGATTTTTAAGCCCAGAGCTGCGAGACCAGCAGGAAGGAACTGGGAGAAACCAATGGGGAGGGGATGGGGGCGGGGCTGAGAGGAGGAGGGCGGAGCTGGGGGAGGGGAAGGGCGGGAGTGAGGAAACCGCTGGGGCGGGGTTGAGAGTGGGGCGGGGACTTGAGGGGATGGGGCGGGGACTTGGGATGGGGCGGGGACTCGAGGGGGTGGGGCGGGGCTGAGAGAAACCATTGGGGGCGGGGCTATGGGCGATCTGGGCGAGGAGAGGCTGCAGGAGGAGCTCGCGGACTCCTGAGAACCAGCGCGGGGAGGGAGGGGGCTGGTGAGAGGAGGAAGGTGGGGCTGAAAGAAACCAGTGGGGAGGGGTTGGGGGCGGGGCTTTGGAAGCTGGTGCTGGAGAAGCAGGGCAGGGCTGGGGGAGGAGTGGGGCGGGGCGGGGTTCGGGGGGGGCTGGGGCTCGGGGAGGGGTGGGGCGGGGCTGAGGGAACCGCCGGGGAGGGGCTCGGGGGCGGGGCTTTGAAAACAGCCTTTGGAGAAGCGGGGCTGGGGGGGCGGGGCAGGGCCGAGGGGAACCTCTGGGGTGGGGCTGGGGGGTGGGGTTTGCACGCAGCCACAGGAGAAACAGGGCGGGGCTCAGAAAAGGGTTGGATCGGGCTGAGAGAGACCGCTGAGGGGGGTGCTGGGGGCGGGGCTTTGGAAGCACCCGCGGGAGAAACAGGGAGGAGATGGGGAGAGGCGGGGCTCGGCGCGGGGCGGGGCTTCGGAGGCAGCCGCGGGAGAAGCAGGGGGGGGTTCGGGGCAGGGCGGGTCTGAGCGAAGCCATTGGGGAGCGGCTGGGGGCGGGGCCTTTTAACCAGCCGCAGGAGGAGCCGGGTGGGGCTGGGGCGGGGCGGAGCTGAGAGAAACCGCTGAGGATGGGCTGGGGGCGGGGCCTTGGAAGCAGGCGTTGGAGGGGCGGGGTAGGGCCGGGCCGAGAGAAACCACTGGGGAGGGTCTGGGGTCGGGGCTTTGCCATCAGTGGTGTGAGGAGCAGGCCGGGGCAGTGGGCAATTGAGCGAGGAACAGCTGCGGGAGGACTCCGCGGACTCCTGAGAACCAGCTTAGGGGAGCGGCGGCTTGGGGAGGTGTAGGGTGGAATCACGAGAAAGCTCTGTGGGAGGGCCTGGTGCACAGCTCAGCTGCAGGGTGGAGCTGAGGGAAAGCCGGGCGTTCCTGGAGGAGGAGCAGGGCGAGGCTGTGGCAAAGCGCTGTGGGAGCAGATGGGGCGGGGCTGCGGGAAAGAGCTGGAGAAGGAGGAGCCAAGCTGCACCAAGGCTGGCGGGTGAGAATTGCGGGGGAGGAGCTAGTGCAGAGCTGGAGGAAAGAGCTGAAAGGTTGTTGGGGTGGGCAGAGGGGTAGGAGAAGCGAGACGGGGCTAGAGGAGGCGGAGCTGGGAGCGGTGATGAAGGGGTAGCAGGGCGGGGCAGTGGGAAAGAGCTGTGGGAGGAGGAGCTGGGGGTAAGAAGCTGGGGCTGTGGCTGCAGCGGGGACTGGGTCAGAGCTTCTGGAGGAGCCGCCTGCAAGAGGAGGGCGTAGTTGTGGGAAAGAGCTGTGGGCGGAAATGGTTAAGTGCCGGGTGGAGCAGGGGCTGGCGTCGGAATAGCTGGGGCGGAGCTGCGGGAGGAGGAGCTGGGGGGCGGAACTGTGGGAGGAACAGCTGGGGCGGAGCTGAGGGAGGAGGAGCAGGGGGGCAGAACAGCTGGGGTGGAGCTGTGGGCGGAGCTGCAAGAGGAGAAGTTGGGGACGGACTTGCAGGAGGAAAAGCTAGGGGTGGAGCTGTGGGTGGAGTTGGGGGAGGGAGCTGAGGCCCTTCTGTGATGCACCCTTAGGCAAGAGTCCAAACTTTCCCGCGGCGACCTAACTGCACCTCCAGTGTCTTCCCCCAGAGGGCACAGAAGCAGCAAGAAGGGCGGGAACACTTGACTGGGGTCCATGCAGCTCTAGGCTGAGTCTTGCAGGGCTGAGCCCCCCAGGCCTGCTCTCCTGTGTCCTGGCCGCTCCGTCAGTGCCTGCCAGTGGGGTCCAGAGGGACCGTTTTTTTAACGCCTCTTTTGCAGGTAATGAGAAACATCCCCACTCTTAATGTCTTGCCTCCTCCGGCCTAAGTCGCCCAGCACACAGCCCAACTTCCCTGGCAAACTTGCTTTTCAAACTCTCTTCTCTCAGTCACGGGCTCAGGTTCTGTAGTGCTGCCATGCTTTACTCCTCTGTCCCTCCCCTTATCTAGTCTCCCGCATTGACTTCATAACCAAGTTCTGGGTCCCTGCCTCTGGAGTGCCTGATGAGACAAAACGGCTCCTCGTCCTGCATCCCCGCTGCTACTTCCAGAATTCAGGCCTCGTGGTCTGGAGCCTGCACTGTTCCATGAGCCTCCTGAGCAACCTGGAGTCCTCTGTCTTTCTTCCCTCAGGTCTGTCGTCCACATTCCATCGGCTCAGTTTCTAAGTCACAAATCTGTCCCCAGCAATCCTCTAGTGAAAACGCTGCTGGGCCTTCTCAGGTTTAAGTCCTAGCAGTTCAGGGAGTCGGCTCAGCTCTCCCCACCCTTAAGCCAAACACTCTTTGGGTTCACGCTGTGCTGTTCAGTCACTGGTCCCCACCAGCCTGCTGTTCCAGGTCTCCCTGCTTTGCACCGGCGGTTCCCATGGCCTTGTCCTGGTGCGCTCCTGGCCTCCTTCAAGGCACAACTTTAAAGTCACCTTCACAGCCCCACTCCGAGTATTAGAGACTTTCGTCTCCAGCTCTGATAGCATTTTGTACCTCCCCTGTCCCCACCCTACGTTAGGCTCTTGCAACCCAGGGTGGTAATTGCTCTGTAAGACTGTGGCTGCCGCAGGGTCTCTTGAGTTCCTTGAAGGCAAGGCCGGTGTTTTACTCATTTCTGAAACTGGGTGCCCAGGGCACAGTATCTGCTTAGTAAGTGTTGAATGAGCAAAGGGCAGCTTTCTTGTTTTTTCTAGTGAGATGCGCCTACTTCTCCCTGGAGAAGCTTGAGGAAGCAGAAATGCTGGAGATGAGGTGAGGAGGAGAGGGTCCCTCTTTATGGGATGTAGGCCGTAGGGCTGCAGGGGACCTTCAGATCACCAGTTCCAAGTCCTATGTATGCTAGCATCCCCTCCTGGGTTCCTTCCCCACAAGAATGGTTGCCAGCTTCTGCCGAACACCCCAGAATCTGCTTAGAGTGGTTTCAGATCATGAATGAGGATCCCCGGGATGGTGGGTGGCCGTTGCTCCTCCCGTGGCCTCTTGTTTGAAGAACTAGAACTCGCATAATGAGCTGGATAGCCACCGTGTGGCTGCTAGCAGGGAAGCCCTTGGTGGCCACATAAGGGCTCCCTTTTCCAACTCTCTCAGCTGCTCCTCACTCTCACTCCTGGGTGTGCTGGGCAGTGGGGTGCAATGTGCACGTAGGTGCACACTCTCCCTGGGCGGCAGCGAGCAGCAGAGGTCTGATCTGTGGTCGGATGACGAGAGGAAGTGCAAGTAAAGCAGCTGCAGCGGTGAGTGGGCCTAGGAAGAATGGCATCAACAGGCCAGGCAGGGATGCGGGTGGTGTTCGGCTAACCCTGAGAAAGGGACCAGAATGCACCTGAGTCTTGATTTTCATTCCCAATAGCAGGTCAGCACGAAACCCAAAAACGCTCTGATTTCTGCCTTCCATGCCACACTCTCTTCACCTGCTGCCTTCTCACTCCTCTCATTAACAATGTCCTGGCAGGAACAAGACTTTCCCCTCCCTCTCTTCTCGTCTCTTAGCAGGTCAGGTCGGCCTTCACCTCCCTAGACCCGTCCTGCTCCTGCCTTCCCCTGTGGGGCCCTCCATGGATGCTCTGGAGTCCCGGGCAATAGTCAGCCAACTGCAGACATGCGGGGCCTTCTTGGGTTCCTTGCTGTGCTCCCTTGAAACCACTGTGCCTGACTGCACCCCAGTAGCACACACTGAACTGACCCCCACTCCTGGGGCCAGCGGTGTGTCTCCTCAAGTTCTGCTTGCTTCTTCAGGCCTTGCTTGCATGCCTATCGTGCCACACATCATATCTCTTTTAGGAAGTCCTTGCCTTTTCCAAAGATCCTGCTTTGCAGCTGACTGTACCCTCTGCCTGCCTCCCCCAGGATACTGCCTCCTTCCTGAAACCACAGCCCCCGCTCAGGTCTTCCTTCCTTCCTCATCACCAGGGAGCCCCCTGCAGAGCTCCCGGTCCATCCTGGTGGCCTTCTGAGCCTCACCTCCCCTTCCTTCCCCTCCCATCCCTTCCCCTCCCCTCCCCTTCCCTCTCCCCGCTTCCCTTCCCTACCCTACCCTGCCCCCCCACCCCCTGCCCCCAACCCTGCCCTCTCCTGCTCTGTCCTCTCCCTCCATGGCAGGCTAACCTCCCTGGCTAGAGCTGTCCCTTGCGAATTTGCCATCACCTTGCCTCTCTGTGCTCAGCATCCCCGGCTGTGCAGTCCTTCTCTTCTGCCCACATGCTCCCCTAGAGAAGCATTCTTTTTGCTCAGCCTAATTTCCGTGCAACTCCTCCTGTTTTCTGAGCCTGTCACCGCCTTCCTCTTCCTTTGCCTCCCCACTGACACTTTCCAGAGTGCAGCCACCTCTCCTCGCTGTGCTTTTTTGACTCTGAGGCCCAGGAGGAAGTTGCCCTTCTCTGGAGATGGTTCACGTTTGATCCTGCCTAGTGTTCCGGGGCACGGCCAGTCTGGGACCGCTTTGACCCTGATTCATGGTTTCCCTTCAGATGCTTTTTGGTCAGCCTGCTTTCCTCGTCTAGGAAATGGCTTTTGCCCATTTTTCTTTTTCTTTCTTTCTTTTTCATTTTTTTTTAGACGGAGTTTTGCTCTTGTTGCCCAGGCTGGTGCAATCTCGGCTCACCACTACCTCTGCCTTCTGGGCTCAAGCGATTCTCCTTCCTCAGCCTCCTGAGTGCTGGGATTACAGGTATGCGCCACCATGCCTGGCTAAGTTTGTATTTTTAGTAGAGATGGGGTTTCTCCTTGTTGGTTGGACTGGTCTCGAACTTCGACCTCAGGTGATCCACCCGCCTCGGCCTCCCAAAGTGCTGGGGTTACAGGCGTAAGCCACCGTGCCTGGCTTGCCCATTTTTCTATTGAGTCATTTGCCTTGTTGGTATGGAGTTGTAGGAGCTCTTTCTGAATTCTGCCTCTAACCCCATGTTGGCTTTTTGTATTTCAGAGACCTCGTCCGCACAGGGGCTTGTTCTTCTGTGTCTTTGCAGGGCTGTTTTGGACTCAGTATTCACCTAAGCACTCCAAATTGTAAGTAACCCCAGAGATCATGGAGTGTCCCACTGCCCCTCCATCTGAAGGCTGTGACCTCTCCCCCAAGGAGGAGGTGCTCGCATGCGTCCAGTGCCCTGCCCATTAGATTAGGGAGGGTTCCCTTTTTTGCTCTCTTGCACTCATTTGTCCGCCTTTTAGCTTTCCTTTTCTGCCCTGACTCTCACAGGGTCGTGCGGATGTGCGATGTAGGAGGAGGAGAGAGGTAAAGTGGAGGAATAGGAGCTGGAGGGGAGGAGGAGAGAAGAAAAGAGGAGAAGGAGGGGGAAGAGAGGGAGCGGGTTCAAGGAGGGAAGGAGGAGGAGAAGGAGAGGAGGAGGAGATGAGACCAAGGAGAAGAGGTGAAGGAGGAGAGGAGGACACAGAAAAGAGAAGAAAGAGGAGAGGAGACGGAGAAGAGGAGGAGGAGTAACAAAGGAGGAAGAAGAGGAAGAGGACTAGAAGAGCAAGTAAGGAGGAGGAGGGGGGAGTAGGAGGAGAGGAGAAGGACAGAAGGGGAAGGAGAGGCAGATGTGGAGGAGAGGAGGTGGAGGACAGGAGGGGATGAGAAAGAGGAGGAGAAAAGGAGAGGAGAGGGATGAGGGGGGAGGAGGAAGAGAAAAGAACAGGAGGAGAAGAGGAGGAGAAAAGGAGGAGGAGTGAAAGAAAAGAGGAGAAGGAGAGGAGGGGGGGAGGACGGGGAGGAAGGGAGAAGGAGAGAAATAGGAGGAGGGAGGAAAGGAGGAGAGGACGAGAGGAGGAGCAGAGGAGGAGGAGGAGAGGAAGGGGAGGAGATTTGGAGGAAGAGGGGAGGTGGAAGAAGAAAGGAGAAGGCGGAGAAGAGGAGAAAGCAGAG
Organism: Homo sapiens; assembly: GCF_000001405.40. Taxonomy (NCBI): domain Eukaryota; kingdom Metazoa; phylum Chordata; class Mammalia; order Primates; family Hominidae; genus Homo; species Homo sapiens. Next base: position 149,944,957 of record NC_000023.11, read on the forward strand.
AGGAGGAGGCTGAAGAAAGGAGGACCAGGAGGAGAGGACGAGGAGGAAAGGAGGAAGAGGAAGAGTGGAATAAGAGGAGCAGAGGAAAAGGAGGAGGGGGTTGGGGAGGAGTGGAGAGGAGAGGAGGAGGAACAGAGTTGGAGGAGGTGAAAGAGAAAAGAGGAGAAGGAGGAGAGGAAGAGAGAAGGAAATGAGAAGGAGAAAAGTAGGAAGAAGAAGAGAGAAGAGGAGAGGATGAGGAGGAGGAGAGGAGAAGGAGAGCAGGAGGTGGGAGGAGGAGGAGAGTAAGAGGAGGAAATGAGGAGGAAGAAAGGAGGACAGAAGGTGGAGAGGAGGAGGAGAGGAGGAGAAGGAAACGAGGAGGAGGACGAGGCTGCACCACCCTTATCAGGTTCCAGTTCTCGGTGCGCCCCGTTCTGCAAGACACTCTCCTGTGGTCAGCCCTGGTCTGCAGAGGATTCCCGCGCTGGATCTCTGAAGGATGCTGGCGCCCTCTCTGCAGCACATTCCTGATGCCCTTGCTGACACGTGTCCTCTGGGCCCTCTCCTGAAACCTGATTCTCCGGGGTGTCTTCTGGCCTCACCTCTTCTGTCCAGTTCCAGCAAGCTCACTTTGCTTAGCCTTTGAATCCCTTCCTTCACTGTCTGCCATGACAGTTCAGGCCTTTCACCGTCACTCAGGCCTGGACCATCACTGTTGCCCATCCCATGCCATCAACAGGTTTGCCCCATCCCTTCGGCTCCCTACCAGGGCATTCAGTTGTGTTGAGCAGCAGAGTGTCTCCAAGTCCCCACTGGTTGAGCTGCATCCGGGTCCCATCCCACAGGGACCCCCTGGCCGCTGCAGATGCATGCTGATCCTGCAGCTCCTCGAGGGTGTCATCGCTTTCCCCCTTCCCAGACCCAGCACACCCTGCCTGCATGGCGCTGCGCTGCACCTTCACTCTGGTCACGGGTCTGGCAGTCAGCTCACCAATTCCTCCTGCTTCCCTGGGACTTGCCGGCTTTTAGCACTGCAATTCACTCAGCAAACTGGGACTGTTGGTCACCCTACCTGGCAGCCAGTGATAAGGTGAGGGCCACTCCTGGGAGGGAGGACACCTGTGGGGAAAATTCTTGTGTTATTTATTTCTCCTTCGGGATAGGGTGCCTGCAGCGCTTCATGGGAGGGGGTGGGCTGATGCTGCGGGCTCAGAAGTTTCAAGGGCATCTGGGGAGACCAGATATTCAGAGACCTTCTAGATGTGCCTGTTCCATGTATCAGGGACGCAGGTTTTCCCAACAGGGCTGGTGTCATTGGCATGACAGACCTGCCTTGGCTGAGCGTTCACCTGTCTTTGGAGTTCAGCCACCTTAGCAAGTCCTGGGTTTGTTCTTCAGACTTTGCTGCTCGCCCATTGCCTGGATCGGGGGCTACTTTGTAAACCACCAGGAAGACTCCAGTGTTTCTGGTTAATTTTTAGATGTTTGTTAATTGCTCTTGGTCTCTCATTAATCCCCTGTGGGTCATCCAGGAAACATACTCACCACTGTCTGTTCTCTGAGTTTTCATTTCCAGGCATCCGCCCTGCCTGGATCTCCTCACCTGCCAGGAACTTCCTCTCCACAAGCCGGCCATCCCAGCAAAAGTTCTAACACCAAAGGTCTGGCAACTAGCCTGCCATCTTGTGCCTGGAGCCGCCTGCGTGCCACCTACTCCCGAAGATGGGAACCTTGTTGCCAGTTGGGCAGATGCGGGGCAATCCTGTACCAAGACCCCATTTTACCACCTGCTTTCTCAGACCACTCTGGAACCCACTGTCTCAGATTGTGTCCTCCAGGAAGCAGACCATGAGAGGGAGTTGGCAGGGCCAAAGATTTACTGGGGCTAACTAACACTCAGGAAAGGGATAGGAAGGAAACAGGGCTGGAGAGCAGGTTGAGCCCGACCTGACAGTCTCGAGCAGCCCAACAGGGAGGTGTGGAGCAAGGGTTGCCCACTAGAGGGGCCTGCATTGGGTACGGGTGATGGGGTCCACATGGTACCTGGCATATAGCAGGCTGTGCAATCCATATTAACTGACTGGATAAATTAATGCCCAGAAAAGGTGCCCTGGAGAATGGGTGTGTGCTGAACACAATAGGGAAGGGCCCAGCATCTGCCTTGGCATAGGCAGAACTGTGCTGTGCCCTGCAACAGGCCACCTGAGAGCTGCTTTGATCTTGTGTGTACATTAGATGACTGCCAGGGGCATGAAGGGGATGTGCTTCCAGGGCATTTGCTGGCAGGGCGTCTCGTGATCTCTTGGTATTGGTGTGAGCACAGCCTGGCAGGAGAGGGCAGATCTCCATGCAAAGTATGTCAGAAAGCAGATGGAAGCCAGGCCCCCTCCTGAAAGAGGCTCCTTGAAGGTAGGTGCACACTCATGTCTTTGTTACTTGTAAGGGGGCATCTTACAGGCAAGAGGAGTTAGGTGAATGTGAAGAGGAAGGAACTACTCTGGGCAGGGGGCTGGGGGACGCTTCGTAGAGGAGGGGGTGTTTGAGCTGGGCCTTGAAGGTCAAAAGGGTTTTGTTAGGTGGGAAATGGGGGAAGGACAGTCTGAAAGGGTTAGGTACATTCAAGGAGCCCAGAGAAGGTTCGTGGCTGGAGCAGACGCATTCGTAGAGTGAAGTCATGGGAGAGAAGAGGCTGGGAAACTAGATTGGTTCCAACTCCTAAAGGACCACTGAAGGAGTGTGGGCTGCACGCTGGGTGCAGCAGGTGAGTTTCCTCACTTGGGTTTCACTGTCAGCATTTTAAAAAGGCAAACTGGTTTTCTTCCTGAGAAGAATTCATTGATTCACTTGTGGCCAGTAAGTCATCTGGGCCAGAGGTTGGTGGGGAGATGATAGGGGTGCAAGTGTCATCTTCAATCACAGCATAACTGCCCTTGCTTTCTTACCTCTCGTTTAGATATTTCAATGCTTGCTCAGGTCCCCTGCGCCCTCCTTCCTTCTCCCTTCCCAGCCATACTACTTATGGGATGACTTTCTCTTTGTAAAATGACCGTTAGTCTTATCAAATTAATCCCAAAGTAATACCATCAATTTCCCCCTAAAATACCAACAAGACCCCTGCTTGAAACTGCTTGTACATTAGAGACAGAGAAGAGTCCATGAGAATCAACATTTTCTGAGGACTCCAACTGTGTGCCAAGAGAGTTCCCCTGCTGGTGCCTCCTCTGTAGTAAAGGAAAGGTAACATTCCTGCAAGGCTTTGAAGCTTACAGCGTGCTTGCCCTTAGATTCTTGTGTTGTGTTCTGGGTCAGCAGGAATGCCTCGCCAGGTCCTTTTTCTCATCCTAATGTGACACTGAATTCTTCACAGGCTCCTGGGACCACATTATCATTCTCTTCACTCGAGAGATGAGGACACTGAAATTCAGAGAGGGGAAGTGATTTGCCTCAGCTTGTACTGTAAGTGATCAAGGCAGGACTCAACCAGTCTTTTTGACCCTGACTATGGTGATTTGATCTCTACACCACAAGATGGTGGTGGAATGGTGGAATATGGTAACTAGAAGGCCCTTTCTAGCTCAGGACACATTTGATGCTGTGACTGTTTGGGAATTCAGTCCTGACCAATTTAAGAGGTTGTGTTTCTTAGCTGTCTCTGGCTCCTGGTTTGCCCAGTTTGATTCTGTGCCTGCCTAGCAAAACCTCTCTGTCTGTGGTCTAAGAAGCCTGACATCTCTGAACTAGTCCTCTTCCTGTCCACTCAATATCGACAGAATCTCATGGTATGTCCTCCTGGCTCAGCCATGGAATAAAGCCAGCTCTGTTGTTTTTGTCCTTGTGTTGTGCCCCAGCTTAGGAAGAATAACTCTTCAGGCTGCCTCTCCCATGCTAGGTCACATGCAGGTCACACATTCCCAGGTAAATTTTGCACTTTGTTTATCTGGAATTTGTCTTAATTTCCTTGTCCTTGTTTCTGATTGTGTACTCTCTTCCCTTCTGTCTCATTATCTGGGCCCTATGTCTTTTCTCATGGTTTCTCTTCTGTAAGTCTCTAGACCCGATGCAAGTACACAGTGAAGTGAATGAAGTTAAAGATAAAGCTTCAGTGTCTCTTGCTTGAACAGCCCTGGAAGGAGCCCTAGCATTATGGTCCTACAGTTGTATGGTTTGGAAAATCTACAAAAGATATTTTAACCACAGTTGGTTCAGGGAATCTTTCTTTCCACTATGCTGTCTCTATCCCTCTTGCCTGTGTGTTGGGTAGCAATGCAATGACCATGGTCATATTGAGAATTCAACTAAGGGGACATTAAGTTGGGATTCATTTAGTTTAGGATATATTTTTGAGATATCTTTCAGGAGTCCACAGGCAATTCCATATATTTCCCAGTTTTTGCCAGCTGCCCTTTATTGGAATAGCTTGCAGGAATACTTCTGCTCACTGTGCTGATGCATCCAGTGTTAGGACAAGAGGGGTGAGGCTGAAGGGTACATTGTAATGTCACTGTGACCTGCAGCACTTGGCATCAGGGGTATGTTGGCAGTGGAGGAGAACCAAGATTCACAATGTACAGCACCAGAAGCTAGTCTGTGGAAAAATCTTCCAGTCATCAATCAGATGTGTAAAATTGTAAGTGAAGGATTCCATTTTCACTGAAAAGCAAAAGTGCTCTCTTGTCAGAAATATACCCAGCGTGCAGTGTACGCAATTGTAAATACAAGATACATTTATTTGCACATTTGGAAGGGGATTTTGTGAAATGGCATTTTTCAGAATTCCTGTGATTGTAGGACATGGACCTGTAGAAGGACTAGAAACATTGAGTAGTATGCAGAAGAGTTTTGCTGGGCAGGCACAGAATTAAACTGCGCAAACCAGGAGCCAGAGACAGCTAAGAAACACAACCTCTTAAATTGGTCGGGACTGAATTCCCAAACAGTCACAGCATCAAATGTGTCCTGAGCTAGAAAGGGCACAGTCATAGTTCCTGTGACTGCTACCCTTAGAAAGACCTGCTTGGAAGTTACGCTCCCTGCTGGCATCTGGAAACTTGACTCTCAGAATTTCCCTAGTCAACAGTTAACTGATAAGATGGCTCACTGTGCCTTGACTGTTGATACAGAAAACGTAGTTTATGCTGAATATCTGCTTTCCTTCTGGGAGTCTGGAATTTTGGTGCATGCTAGGCAGAGGAAGTCTCTGTTACCAAACACCAGTGTAAAGTGTGGGCAATGAGTCTGGGCTTCTCTGGCCAGAAACATCACACGTGCCACTGCATATTTGTTGCCGAGAGAAGCATGTGCTCTGTGTGGCCCCTCATGGGAGGGAGAGAGCATAAGGAAGTCTGTGCATGGGCTCCTCCAAACTTTGCCTGTCTTTTCTGCTTGTGATCTGGCTGTGTGCCCTAACTACATTGCTGTAATAAATCTTGGTTGTGATTATAACTATATGCTGAATCCTGTGTTTCCAACTATAACAAACAAGAAAAGCAGGAATAACATACTATAGAAGTGCATGAGGCAGTTAAGTACTAAAGATAAGTAGCTATTTATGTTATTTTTTTCTAAATTTTCAGATGTTTCTAACATTTGTCAACGTTTTCAAATGTGTGTTCTTTTGTTTTTTTTTTCTCACTTTAAATATTTGCTTTTGTTCCCAATTTTATACTGGTAATTTTGCATTCTTATACTTAAAGAAGGCCCCAGATGTTACAAGCTTCAAGCCCCACAAAACCTGGATCTGTCTCTGTCTTGGATCCAAGACTTGCTGCCTCATGTTGGTTTTCCTGTTGTCACTTCATATTACACAGATGGGGAAATTAAAGCCAAGAGAGGGGAAGCTAACCTTACTTGGCAAAACTGGGACAGGATCCAGTTCTTCCAATTCCCAGTTTAATGAGTGCTCTTTCCCCCTATTCTGTAAAGTTTTTTGGTAACTTGTCTGTAAATATCGGTCATGGTACATTGTCCACTGGGTGGCACTCAAGAGATTGAAATTTGAGTTCCTTCTCTTTGAGTAGTTGGGTAGTCTTGAACTAGTCCCTTTCCCTCCTGGGACAGATTTTCCCAGTTTGTAAAATAAAGGGGCTGGATTTAGTGCTCTTTATAGACCTTTCTCTCTCAGATATTTCCTGAGTTTTTCATTCTAGAAATGCTGGAATCATATATTTGTAACTGAAACTAGTAATCTTCTTGTTCTTGAGTCTTCTTCATCTCTAAAGTGGACATAAAATACATACCTCTCGTGGTTGTTGTGAAGCCCGTGGCACTATTCATGGTAGAGCAGGTGATCAAAAGTCGCTTGCATCCTTCTGTCCAATTGGGAACAAAAGCTTTCATGTATAATTCTCACACCTCTCCCTTGGAATCAGACAATCTTATCAGAAAACCTAAAAATTTTTTTCAATCAATTTAGAAGTTTATTTTGCCAAGGCTAAGGACATGCCTGTGACACTGCCTAAGAAGGTCCTGGTGACATGCCCAAGGTGGTCAGGCCACAGTTTGGTTTTTAGGGAGATATAAGACATCAACTGATACATGTGAGATGTACATTCGTTTGGTCTGGAAAAGCAGGACAAATGGAAGTTGGAGGACTTCCAGGTCATAGGCAGGTTCAGAAATTTTCTGACTGGTATTAATAATTGGTTGAGTTATTATCTAAAGACCTGGAATCATTAGAAGGGAATGTCTGGTTTACGATAAGGAGTTGTGGAGACCACAGTTTTATCATGCAGATGAAACCTCCAGGTAGCAGGCTTCAGAGAGAATAGATTGTAAATGTTTCTTATTAGACTTAAAGAGTCTATTGTATCAGTCTTAAGGACAGTGTTCATGTTGATGGTAATGAGGCATGTCCGACTCCCCCTTCCTCATCATGTCCTGAACTAGTTTTTCAGGTTAACTTTGGAATGCCCTTGGCCAAGAGGAGGGGTCCATTCAGGTGGTTGGGGAGCTTAGAATTTTATTTTTGGTTTACATTCTTTCCTTCTGGCCAGGATTTGCCAGAGGCAACATCAATGGACAAACTTTTATTTTGTCCCATAGCATTGTGGAGGTGGTTTGGCTGCCTGCCCCAGGTCCATCCTGTCCCTTGGTAGGATCTCTATGGCCAAGAGACTTACAGCCAAAAGACTTATAGACAGTTTAAATGTTCTAGGCCAGACAGGAATGGACGTGGACAGGCATTTATTACTCCTTAACAATTTTGAAGTAATGTAAAAGCCAACAAACAGAAAGTAAAAGGCGAGGTTACAAAATTGCCTTATCTATCTTTAACTTCTATGCATTGAGCTACTGTAGTCTTGGTTTTAGTTACAGATTTTTAGCAATTGGCTATATAAGCAAGCCTAAATTTTAAAAAGAAGAGAAAATGAAGCATACATTTAAAAGTTCTTAAACTTTTTTTTTGAAACAGGGTTTCACTTTGTCACTCAGGCTGGAGTGCAGTGATGTGATCATAGCTTTCTGCAGCCTTGACTTCCGGGCTCAAGTGATCCTCCCACCTCCGCCTCCTTAGTAGCTAGGACCACAGGCATGCACCAGCACACCCAGCAAATTAAAAAAAAATTTTTTTTAAAGATGAGATCTCACTATGTTGCCCAGGCTGGTCTGAAATTCCTGTCCTCAAGCAATCCTCCTGCCTTAGCCTCCCAAAGTGCTGAGATTACAGGCATGAGCTACCATGCCTGGCCTAAAACATTTTTAATGGAAGTATAATTTGCAAACAGAAAACATGCCCAAATATTAAGTGAATGCACTGATGAACATTCACAACTTAACAAGATAGCCAGCACTTAAATCACAAAATAGAACACCGCTAGGACCTCTTTGTAATACCCTCCAAGTCACTACTTCTGCCCAAAGGTAATCGCTATTTTGCAACATTTTTTATTACTTTATATAAATGAGATCGTACACTGCGTAATCTTATTACTGTCTGGATTTTTATATTAAATATTGCTTGTGAGATTCATCCATGTTGTCATGTCAGCAATACTTTATTCTCATTGCCATATACTATTCCATTTTTATCAGTATACCATGATATATTTACCCATTCTGCTATTTGTACATACTGGAATTGTTCCCAGGTTTTTGTAATACAAGCAAAGCTGCTATGAACATGCTTGGATTTACTTTCTTTGGTGAATATGTATTACTGTTATGTACATGTCTAGAGGTAAAATTGATGATTTATGGGATATGCATATGTTTAATTTTAGCAGATATTGAAAAACAGATTTTTAAAGCGGCTGTAGCAATTTACATTACCACCAGCAATGTGTGAGTTCCATTTGCTCTCCGTCCTTGACAGCACATGTTGTCACTTAGGTGGGTATGCAGGGGGATCCTTTTTTGGCATGTTTACTTATTTTTTTACACAGTGCAAACTGGTGTGGTGTACCGTTTTATGGCTTTTGCCTAATGCCATCACTAAAGTTACCAAACAATTCCATCACCTCAGAAATTGCTTTGTACCGCCTCTTGGCATTCATCCCCTTCTCCATTCTCAACCCTGGCAGCCACTGATCTAATTTCCATTCCCATAGTTTTCCAGATTATCAAAGAAACAGAATGATATGGTTGTAACCTTTTGGATGTAGCTTCTTTCAGGTAGCAAAATGCTTTTGAGATTTAACTATGTTGTTGTGTTTTCAGTAGTTCATTCCTTTGTGTGTGTGTGTGATAGTCTGACTCTCTTGCCCAGGCTGGAGTGCAGTGGTGTGATCTCAGCCCACTGCAACCCCTGCCTCCCACATTCAAGGGATTCTCATGCCTCAACCTCCCAAGTAGCTGGAACTACAGGCGTGCACCATTGCGCCTGGCTAATTTTTATATTTTTAGTAGAGACAAGGTTTCGCCATGTTGACCAGGCTGGTCTCGAACTCCTGGCCTCAAGTGATGCACCTGCCTCTGCCTCCCAAAGTGCTGGGATGACAGGCGTGAGCCACTGCACCCAGTCCAGAAGTTCATTGCTTTTTATTGCTGGGTCATATTCCATTGTATAGATGTATCACATTTTGTTTATGAGTCCTATAGTTGAGGGATACTTGGTTTGTTTCCATTTTTTCTCTATTATGGATACATTGTTATAAACATTTGTGTACAGGGTTTGTGTGAACATAGTTTTTATTTCTTTTGAGTAAATAGGAGTGGGATTGCTGGGTTACTTGGTAAATTGCTGGGTTATAGTTCTTTTTGAGAACTTGTCAAACTTTTGCTGAGTGGCTATACCATTTTGCATTCCCACTAGGAGGGCTTGAGAGTTCCAGTTGTTCCACATTCTTGCCAGCACCTGGTACTGCTAGTTTTTCTGTGTGTGTTTTTGTTTTGTTTTGCCACTCTAAGGTGTATAGTGGTATCTCTTTCTGGTTATAATTTGCATTTCTCTAATGATTATTAATGTTGAACATCTTTTAACATGCTTATTTGCCATCCATCTAACTTCTGTGGTAAATTTTCTGTTTATATTCTCGTCCATTCAAAATATTGGGTTGCTTGTTTTCTTATGGTTAATTTTAAAAGCTTTATTTGGAAATAATTATAGATTTAAAGGAAGTTGCAAAGAATTGTATTCCCTTCACTCACCCTTCCCCAATGTTAACATCTTGCCTAACTATGGTACAATATTAGTATCAGAAAATTGACATTGGTACAATCCACAGAGGTTATTCAGATTTTACCAGTTATACATATACTTGTGTGTGTGTGTTTCTATGCAATTTTATCACATGTATAGTTTTGTGTAGCTTCCACGACAATCAACATACAGAACTGTGCCATCACCGCAACATTCCTCTCATATTACCTCTCCACAGCCTCACCCACTTCCTACTCTACATCCCTTACCCTTATCAACCACTATTTGGTTTACCATCTGTATAATGTTGTTATTCCAAGGATGTTATATACATGGAAGCATACTATATAGTATGTTTCCTTTTCATATTTGCTTTTTTTCCCACTCAGCATAATTCCTGGAGGTTCCTTCAAGTTGTGACATGTATCAATAGTTCATTCCTTTTTATTGCTGGATAGTATTTCATAGTATGGATGTACTATAATTTAAGCATTGTCAATTTTGGTAGTTTCCACTTTGAGCTATTCCAAATAAAGTTTCTGTGAATATTCATATACAAGTTTCTACATTAACATAAGTTTTCATTTCTCTGGGGTGAATGCCCAAGAGTGCCATTGCTGGGTCATTTGGTAAATATATTTTTTTGTTTTTCTGAGATGGAGTCTTGTTCTGTTGCCAGGCTGGAGTGCTGTGGTGCATTCTCGGCTCACTGCAACCTCCAACTCCCTGGTTCAAGCGATTCTCCTGCCTCAGCCTCCTGAGTAGCTGGGATTACAGGCATGCGCCACCATGCCCAGCTAATTTTTGTATTTTTAGTAGTGACAGGGTTTCACCATGTTCGCCAGGATGGTCTTGAATTCCTGACCTCATAATCTGCCTGCCTTGGCCTCCTAAAGTGCTGGGATTACAGGCGTGAGCCACTGTGCCTGGCCAATCCATTTTTAGTGTTTAAAGAAACTGCAAACCACCATGGCACATGTATACCTATGTAACTAACCTGCACATTCTGCACATGTACCCCAGAATTTAAAGTATAATAAATAATAATACTAATTTTTTTTTTAAAAAAAGAAACTGCCAAACTATTTTCCAGAGTGATTGTGCAGTTTTACATTTTGACCAGCGATGTCAGTGATCCATTTGCTCCACATCTTCATTAGCATTTGGTGTTGTCACAGTGTTTTATTTTAGCCACTTTGATAGGTTTCTAGCAATATCTCATTGTGGTTTTAATTTGCATTTTCCTGAGGGCTAATGATATTGAACATCTTTTCATGTGCTTATTTGGCATCTGTGTATCCTTTTCAGTTAAATGTCTTTTGCCTCTTTTCTAATTGGATTTTTTTTTTAATGTTGAGTTTTGAGAGTTCTTTATATATTCCAGATATAAGTCCTTTGTGGGATATATAATTTGCAAATTTTTCTCTCAGTTTGTAATTTGTCTTTTTTCATCTCCTTGAAAGAGTTTTTCACAGAGCAAAGTTTTTAAATTTGATGAGGTATAATTTTCAATTTTTACTTTTATGGGTCATGCTTTTGATGCCAAATGTAAGAACTCCTCACCTAATCTTATGTCTGAAGATTTTCTCTTGTGTTTTTTTGAAAAGTTTTACATTTTTACATTTCACACTATGTTCCATTTTGAGTTAAAGTTTGAGATTTAAGTCAAGGCTCATTTTTCTTTTTCTTTCTTTCCCCCCCTCCGCCATGTATGTCCAGTTGCTTCAACACCACTTGTTGAAAAAACTCTGCCTCTTCCTTTGAATTGGTTTTGCACCTTTTTCAAAAATCAATTGGGCATCTTTGCGTGGATCTATTTCTGTCTCTGATACTCTTTTTCGTCTCTTTTTAAGAGTCAGTGTCTCACTCCATGCCCAGGCTGGAGTGCAGTGATGCAATCATGGCTTACTCCTAGGCTTAAGCAATTCTCCTGCCTCAGCCTTCTGAGTAGCTGGGACTACAGGTGTGTGCCACCATATGCAGCTTTTTTTATTATTATTATTTTTTGTAGAGACAGAGTCTCACTCTGTTGCCCAGGCTAGTCTCAAACTCCTGGCCTCAAGTGATCCTTCCACCTTGGCCTCCCAAAGTATATGTTTGCTATTCTGTTCTGTTGTTCTATGTGTCTATACCTCCTTCAGTACCATACTGTGTGGATCATTATTACTGTTGAATTTTGAGGGTTTTTTTTTTATTCTGGATACAAGTTCTTCTTCAGATTTATGATTTGCAAATATTCTTTTCCAGTCTGTGGTTAGTCTTTTTATTCTCTTAAGAGTGCTCTTTACAAATATCTTTCTTTTATTAATTTCCAATATCGCCTGATAACGTTCTTTTTTTTTTTTTTTTTTTAGACACAGTCTCACTCTGTCACCCAGGCTGGAGTGCAGTGATGCAATCTTGGCTCACTGCAACCTCTGTCTCCCAGGTTCAAGCGATTCTCATGCCTCAGCCTCCCAAGTAGCTGGAATCACAGGCATGCACTAGCATGCCCAGCTAATTTTTGTATTTTTAGTGGAGACAGGGTTTCTCCGTGTTGGCCAGGCTGGTCTTGATCTCCTGACCTCAAGCAATCTGCCCGCCTTGGCCTCCCAGAGTGCTGGGATTACAGACGTGAGCCACCACGCCCAGCTCCTGAGAATATACTTTTAATGATTTCAGTTCTTTTAAATTTGTTGAGTTTTTTTATGGCCCACAGCATGGTTGATCTCTATGAACATTCCATGTGCTGCTGAAAAACGTGCATTGGATGTAGTTTTAAAAATACGTATCAGTTAAGTCAAGGTGAATAGTAGTGCTGTTTAAGTAATTTATGTCATCACTAATTTTCTGCCTACATTTTCCTGCAGTTACTAAGAGAGAAGTGTTAAAGTTTCCCATTATAATTGTGTATTTGTCATTTTATTTTTTCAGTAGTGTCACAGTTTGTCTAATATATTTTAAGCTCTGTTAAGTACATGCACATTTATACTTTTTATATCTAATTGGAGAATTGACCTCTTTATTATTGTGTAATATCTCAATTTCTGACAACATTCTTTGTTCTGAAGTTTACTTTGTCTGATATTACTATAGCTACTTCTGCACAATATTTTACTTCTAGTAATATTTTAGATCAGATAATTTATTTCTTTTTAGCACTCTTGATTTGTTTGTGAAGATTTATGTTTCCATCTAATATATTCCTTCGGTATAAAAAAACCTCTTAAAGATTTCTTGTAGTGTAGGAATACTGGCTAGGATTTCCATCATTATTTTTGTTTTCCTGAGAAAGTCCTTATTTCTCCCTCATTTTAAAAATCAGCCTTATGGTGATAAAATTTACATACCATAAATTCACCCTTTTAAGTGTACAATTCAGTAACTTTTAGTGAATTTACAGTTATGTAACCACTAACATAATCTACTCTTAAAACATTGCCATCACCTCTGAAGATCCTTCATGCCAGTTTGTAGTCAGTCACCTTCCTATCCCCAACCCTGGCAACCACTAATTTACTTTTTGTTATTGTAGATTTCCTGTCTTTGGAATTTCCTATAAATAGAATCACACAATATCTAGTCTTTTGTATCTGGCTTCTTTCACTTAGCATAATGTTTTTGAGGCTCGTCAATGTTGTAGCATATATCAGTATTTTGTTCCTTTGTTTTGCTGGCTAGTATTTCATTGTATGGATGTATCATATTTTGTTTATCTGTTTAATAGTTGATAAACATTTGGATTGTTTTCACTTTTTGGCTATTGCGAATAATTCAGTCATGAGCATACTTACAAGTCTTTGTGTGAACATAGGTTTTCATTTTATTTATTGCCTAGGTGTTGAATTGCTGGTTCACATGGTAAATTTATATTTAGCATTTGAAAGAATTAATGGCCAAACTGTTTTCCAGAGTGGCTCCATCAGTTAATATTCACACCAGCAATGTCATCTTCTTTATTTTTTAATTTATTATTATTTCAATTGTTTTTTGGGGAACAGGTGGTATTTGGTTACATGGAAAAGTTCTTTCGTGGTGATTTCTGAGATTTTGGTGCACCCATCATACAAGCAGTATACACTGTACCCAATGTGTAGTCTTTTATCCCTCACACCCCTCCCACCCTTACCCATGAGTCCTGAGTCCATTATATCATTCTTATGCCTTTATGTCCTCATAACTTAGCTCCCACTTATAAGTGAGAACATATAATGTTTGGCTTTTCATTCCTGAGTTACTCACTTAGAATAATGGTCTCCAACTCCATGGAGGTTGGTGCAAATGCCATTATTTCATTCCTTTTTATGGCCAAATCGTATTCCATGGTGTATGTGGGAGATATATATATATATAGATATAGATATATATCTCACATTTTCTTTATTCACTCATTAGTTGATGGGCATTTAGGCTGGTTCTATATTTTTGCAATTGCAAATTGTGCTGCTATGAACATGCATGTACAAGTGTCTTTTTCATATAATGACTTCTTTACCTCTGGGTAGATACCCAGTAGTGATTGCTGGATCAAACGGTAGATCTACTTTTAGTGCTTTAAGGAGTCTCCATACTGTTTTCTGTAGTGGTTATAGTAGTTTACATTCCCACCAGCACTGTAAAAGTGTTCCCTTTTCACCACATCCACACCAACATCTATTATTTTTTAATTTTTAAATTATGGCCATTCTTGCAGGAATTGTGTGTGGTTTTGCCTGGCTTATGATCTGGGAAACTTGCATCCTCCTGTTAGTATGTCTAGTTAGCTCTGAGAAGTGGCTTGGTTTAATCTAGACCTCCTTTTCTAAACACGTAGAAATTCCTAGGGAAAATGAAATGTTGTTCTATCACTCCAAGGTTTCTTTGGGGTCTTTTAAGGGATAGGTTCCTCTTCTGAAAGCTCAAAGTCACCCGTGATTCTGGGTAAGAGCAGGAGTAGGTTAACCTAAGCAGTTGCTCAATAGGTTCATGCCTGTAATCCCAGCACTTTGGGAGGCCAAGGCAGGCAGATCACTTGAGGTCAGGGGTTCGAGACCAGCCTGGCCAACATGATGAAACCCCCATCTCTACTAAAAATATAAAAGTTAGCCGGGCGTGGTGGCAGGTGCCTGTAATCCCAGCTACTCGGGAGGCTGAGGCAGGAGAATCGCTTGAACTCGGGAGGTGGAGGTTATAGTGAGCCAAGATCGAACCACTGCACTCCAGCCTGGGCAACAGAGTGAGACTGTGTCTCAAAAAAAAAAAAAAAAAAAAGCACAAAGGACTGTTCAGTACTTTTACATTAGCTAAGAACTAATTTACGCTAACTTCTTTTTTATATGCAAAAGATAGTCATAGGATCTTAATAAGTTGTGTAATCATGTTATTTGAGATTGTATACTATATGTAGCTCATGTCACATTAGTTATTTTCACCTAAGGATACCTTAACATTAGGCCTACAGAAAATTAATATAATACCTTTGTTCTCTGCAAAAGGCTACAACAAGTGATCTCTAGAGGTGTTTTCTGACTCTCAAATCTCTAACTCTTGGATTCTGCCTCATCCAGAAAGGTTTGGGTTACCAAAGCAAAGTACCATAAACTGGATGACTTGAAAACAACAGAAATTTATTTTTCATAGTTCTGGAGGCTGGAAGTCTTAGATCTGGGTGCTAATATGAGTTCTGGTGAGGACCCTCTTTGGGGTTGCAGATGGCCATCTTCTTGCTGTGTGTTCTCACACAGAAGAAAGAGAGTGAGCTAGCTCTCTGGCCTGTTCTTATAAGGGTACTTATCTCATTTAGGATGGTCCCACCCTCATGATCTAATCACCTTCCAAAGGACCCATTTCCTAATACCATCACCTTAGGGGTCAGGATTTCAACATATAAATTTTGCGGGGACACATTCAATCCATAACAGATTCTTTCCTGTTATTATTTTAGAATGACATGGACTCTTTCCCAGTCCATTTGGGTTAGGATTCTTATTCAGCCTGGAGGCAGAGCCGTACCCTGTATGGCCTATCACATTCCTTTTAGCCTGGGTCTCTGGTTACTTGTAGAACCCTTATTTATAATTATTGTCTAATGCTGGGATTCTCCAGAGTGCTGCTTGGAGAAATTTAGCCTCTTAGAGACAGTTGCAATAAAAGAATTCTATCAAAAAGAATTCACTGAATTGTGATCACAAACAAAATAACTTTGTGGGGATAAAATGTACTCCAACAAGGGAGGCTTATGTTTGTTTTTCAGCCTCTCCTCCCAGTGCTGCACTTCTAATCTCTCTGCAGAAAGAAACATTTCAACAGAGAACCCAGTGGAAATTATGACATGTTATCTTCTCAGAGTCCTGAACTCCCATCCCTACCTCAGAAGAGACTCCTCTGTTCACAGAAGCTAAAGGCAGTTCCTTCCCAATGGCAACTATGTTTGGATGTTGGATCTACACTTTCTCAAGCACTGTGATCTTCAAATGTAAGTTTAGTAACATAAATATCTTTTTGCAGCCTGAAAGAATTTTATGTCTCTGTGTTATCAGGTAATGTTTCAGTATCTCATATTTTGCTGGTAACATTTAGAATGTTAATCTCATAAGGAGATTTTAGAGTTATAGTTAAATTTCTTTATCTGGGTTAGATGGGAATCCTTTATTCTGGGGAAAGCAAAGTTCTTTCTATAAGCCTGGGTTCTCATAATATACAGACTGGGAAACTTGGGAAAGAGTAGGAGCATCATTAGTTTCATTTTATAGGTGGGAATAACAAAGCATGGAGAGACAAACATATTTGCCAAAATAGTTATTCTCAACTCCTTGTTTTGGGAATTCTAGAGTGTTTCATAGGATTTCAAAGTACCTCACAAAATTGTTCTAAATTTCTCAAAGCCAAATTCATTTTAATTAACTTTAATTTTTTTTGAAAAGTTATAGCATTCTTGGGGGTAGGATAGGTACATTTTATAAAAACAATACAAACAATTGTTTTGCTTAGAACCAGTGAAATGTCAAAACTCCAAAAATGTTTGGGAAGCACTGGATTAGTCAGTAGCATAACAAGCAATAAAACAACCCAGGTCAGGTGCAGAGAGATATAAACTCTTGTCTCATCCTCCATAGATCTGTATTTTCAAAGGCAGAGTCTTGTGTGACTGCATGTCTGAGGATATGTCTCTTCTGGACAGGGTTTTTACAGTACTTGAGAATGATCCTAACAACCTTTTGGGGTGACTCAATTTTTTTCACTGCTAGAGAGGTAAAACAAATATTGATACAGTTGAACAGTGAGAAATTGAGTTTGGCTGGAGCACAGGCACATAATGGTAGAATTATGAGCCTGTGCTAGGCTGTGTGGGTTTGGCCAAATTGGGTCAAGTGAAAACAGAAAGATCAGTTAGAAACTTGCAATAGTTTCGATAAAAGATGTTATGGCGGTTGTCCAACTTTATTGTGAACTCTCTTATTGTACTAGTGTTTAAAAGCAGATAAGCTGTTACCTCTTGAATCCCACAGGCTGTCTAGTTATACTGGTCAGGATCTCTTCCAGCTCAATTTTTTAAAAAATCCTTTGCCTTGACTTCCAAAGGCACCTGTTAAGAGTGGACTTCTCAAGCTGTGTAAAGTACTTTTGGCATAATCAAGTCTATGTTGTTCCATGAAGCTCTAAGTCCAGAGTAACTGTCTTTAGTTGATCATATTGAAAGCAAGAACATCATTTCAAACAAACCAAGTCTGAGATATTTAACCCACATGTGCTTTCAGACCTGGTATGTATGAGCTTGAGCAATGAAGCCTTATTCCATTTTGATGTTATAAAAAATGGAGGGATTTCCCTGCAGTCAGTTTCACAGCCACTATTTGACTTATATTTGAAGGGGGAAAGATAAGGGCTGTGTTCTTTTGATCTGAATTTTTCTGTTCTTAAAAGTTTTCTTTTCTAAGAACACTAGTCAGTACCTGGAGACACTCCGACATATTTAAAGAATTAATTTGCTTTATTGAAAAAAGTTGTTTCTTTAAACATTTAAATAATTACTTTTTCTTCAGTGACAAATTAGTTTGCTTTAATGAAAAAAAAGGTTTTTTTCATAACTTTCATTACATGAACCTTTAGCAAAGGAGATTTCTCCCATTATATACTTCTTATGATCAACAAATTCCATCATCTCCCCACTAAGAGAAAGTACTCCAAGATGATAGAATGATTTTAAAGTTATGGGACTACAACAGCAGCCACAGGAACCTTGAGTAAGTACCATGAACCCTGACCCTCAGCGTTAATTTGTAAGCCTTTGGCAGTGAGATGGAATGTCTTCCTTCAGTTTGAAACAAAGGAAACCTATTGCATCGCACGTAAATTTGTATATTGATGCTATATTGACTTTGTAGCTGCCATGCCTTCATACAGACACCTCATCCAGCCCCCACTGTTCCACTTATTGTGATGGTTTGTATATCTTTATTTCAAAGAAGATCTGTTTGAACCGTGTTTAATTTCTTCTTTGACCTGCTTTCATCACTGCCCATGCCTACCCTGGTGGCATTCTCATCCACGAGACTACCACATCCATGCCACTAGGTGGCATTCTCATCCATGAGACTACTGCACCCGTGCGCACGTCAAGAAGTAGCCAAGCCATGGGCTGGATTGTGCTTTTCCTGAGAGGATGAAAGGCTTCATGGATACATGCTAGTATCCATGTTCCTCTATTCTCAAGTCAGGCACCAAGATGATGTTTCATACCTGCCTGCCTTTCAAAGTCTCATAAATGTTCATTGAATATCCACTCTATGCAAGGCACTAGGGTAGTCACAGAGGCAAGGTTTGAGCTAAACTACAGGCCCTGCCCTCCAGGAGCTCCCGGTCTCATGGCAGGGTGCAGAAGCCAGAATAGAGGGCCATGGCATGGGAGAGAACTCTGCTGACCGGGAGCTCTGAAGGGTTAGGGGTCCATGAGCCTGATTTATGGGGTCGTTGCCATAGGATTAGGGGCTCCCTGGCATACAGTGAATGGAGAGACTAGCATTGCTGTGTTATTTCACTGAGAGGGCACCAATGTTCAGCCTCTGAGACCAGGGGAGGAAAGCAGTGGCCATGAATGTTCCCTCCCATCCCGGGGACTGACTGGGCTCCTCCCACAGTCTCAGACACAGAGGAAGAAGTGTACTCACACTGCCCCAACACCAGTGAGTGGAAATATTTATAGGTCTCTCATTTGGTTTTAATTTTTATTTTTTTATTTTTCAGAAATTAAAAAAAAAATCACACTCACAAAATTAACCATTACCCACATTCCTACCAACAAGAAGTAACCATTCTTAACCTTGTAATATGTTGGTTTCCAGATTTATGTTTATGCTTTAAAAAATTATGCAGACAACATATTAGCACATTGCCCCTTTTCTCATTTGTTTTAATCCATGTTCTTCCCATTTATACAGGAGCAATTCTTGCATTCAGTTATGGGATACTATAAATGCCTAGTATAATGGCAGCAGAGAGAATTACTATGGTTGTATACCTTTTCTCGCTCCTTGCTCCTCAAATGCCTTAGAGTTTAAAATCTATTGTGGAAAGTTTGTGAAATGCAGAACGGTGAAAATAAACAAATTACCAGTGGTTCTTTGGCTTCGGGAGAACTGTAATTGATGTTCATTTTGGTATATTTCCCTCCAGTATTTTTTCCATATGGTTTTATTTTTAAAAATTTTACCCCATATATATATACATATATATATACATACTAACTACTCACAAAATTAAAAATTAAAAAAATTAAAAATGTATAAAATGAAAGAAAAAAATTAGCCTCATTTTGTATTTACTATTTTATAATCTGCCTTTTTGCTTAATCTTCTTTGTCATTATATGTTCTTCTACCTCATGATTTTTAATAGCTGCCTAGTATTCCATTGTATAGCCATAGTTATTTCATACTTTATAATTGCTATTGCTAGACATTTAGTTGGTTTCCTTTTTTTGCTTTTATAATAATGTGTGTTCCTATACATAAATCTTGTAAATGTCTGATTTTAAAGATAAATTTCTAGCAGCAAAACTTCTTAGTTAAGAACATATACATTAAAATACACTCTTATTATATTTTTCTTTACCAAAGTAATATATGTTTATTATAGAACATGTACAAAATCACAGATATACAAAAAAAACAGCATATAAGTTACTTGTATTCTTCCCACTCAGAGACAGCCACTATTAACATTTTATTGTAACCATCCAGCCTTCTTTTCTCTGTATTCTACATGCTCTTTCATAAGCTTTTTTTATTGAATGTATTCAGAATACCTAAGTTCATTGTTCTTTTTTACCTTCACTGGTTACATGGCATTTCACTGAATGAACAAACCAGAATTTGTTTGATGAATCTTCTAATGCTGGACATTTCAGTTACTTTCTGTTTTTCTGTACTATAAACAATGCAGAGGTAAGTAGTGTGTGACTACACCTTTCCAAGTCCTTGATTGTTCCCTGTGAAGAAATTCCTAGACGTGCAACTGTTGTTTCACCTGTATGTTAATTTTTAAGGCTTTTCATGGGTATTACTAAATGTTCCTATAACAATTTTTATCTTAGAGGCAGAATATTGGTATATCCTTTTTTTCCCAAATTCTTGATATTACTATTTTGCCAATTTGACTACAAAGAATTGATTATCATATTTTAAAATTAACATTTATTTAATTACAAGTAAAACTGAACTATTTTTTTCTTTTTTGCCCAATTTTATGTTTTGGTATAGGTTTTTCCTTGTTTATTAATAGATTTAAAAAATAAATTTGAAATATTAATTTCTTGTCATTTGTTCAGGTTTTCTCCTTCAACTGATTGTTGTGATGAGTTATATGTCTAGACTTCCTGATAGTAAATTGCACTCCTGAAATAATCCCTCCTTGCTCATAATGTCTTGCCAGATTTGGCTTGCTGGCATTTCATTTAGGATTTTTGCATCTATATTCCTAAGTGACATTAGTCTTCAGTTTTCTTTCTCTGTGTATTTGTGTGGGTGTTCGTCAGGTTTTGTGATCAGGATAACTTTAATTTTATAAAATGAATGGGCTTATTCCTTCTTTTATTTTATAATGAGAACCGCTTTTAGAGCATGGAAATTACCTGTTCTTTGTAAATTAAAAAGAACTTGCTCATAAAGCTGTCTGGGCACTGTAACAATCATCAGAGGAAAATGTGTAACACCCTATTTTTCCCCACGTTTTCTACTTCTTTGTGATTCCAGTTAGCTAATTTTCCTAGAAAATTGTCCTTTTTATTGAGATTTTCAAACTCGTTACCATCTTTACAGTTTTATTGAGATATGCATACAAGTCACCCATTTAAAGTGATTTTTAGTGTATTCAGAGCTCTAGACCATCACCACAACCACCACAATAGATTTTATAACATTTTGAAAACCCCAGAAAGAAACCCCATGCCCATTAGCAGTCACCCTCTATTTCCCCTTAATTCCCCCCCTTGTCCTAGATAACCACTAATCTACTTTCTATCTCCATAGAATTCCCCTATTCTGGACCTTTCATATAAATGGAATCACACACTGTATGGTCTTCTATGGCAGCCTTCTTTCACTTAGTGTAACGTTTTCAGAGTTCATCCATACTGTAGCATGTAGCAGCACTTTATTCTCTCTCTTTTTTAAGTTTTCGTTTTTGATTAACAGACTACTTTTTAGAGCAGTTTTAAGTTTACAGAAAATTGAGCAGATAGTACAGAGAATTCCCTTATACTGCCCTCCTCTCCACTCCTGACCATAATTTTGCCCACAAACATCTTGCATTGGTGTGGTATATTTGTCATAATCAATGAATTGATATTGACACATTATGATTAACTGAAGTCCGTACATTTGGGTTCATTCTTTGTGTTGTACAGTTCTATGGGTTTTGACAAATGTCTAATGTCATATATCTACCATTACAGTATCATACAGAGTAGTTTTGATGAAAAGGTAAAACACAGGGGACTTTTAGGGCAGTCTTTCCCTCCTCCCTGTGAACACCTACCAACCACTGATCTTTTGATTTGCCTTTCCCAGAATGTTATATAATTGGAATAATATAGCATGTAATCTTTTCAGAGGCTTCTATCACTAAGTAATATGCATGTAAGCTTCTTCCCTGTCTTTCTTTGGCTTAATGGCTCATTTCTTTTTATGGCTAAGTAATATTCTATTGTATGGATTTACCACAGTTTATCCCTTCACCTTTTAAAGAACGTCTTGGTTACTTCCAATTTGGGGCAATTATGGATAAAGCTGCTTCAGTCATTTGTGTGCAGGTTTTTGTGGGCACATAAGTTTTCACCTGATTTAGGTAAATACCAGTGAGCATAGACTATGTTTATCTTTGTAAGAAACTGCCAAACTGGCTTCCAAAGTGGCTTTGTAATTTTGCATTCTGACCAGCAATGTATAAGAGTTCCTGTTGCTTTACATCCTCGCCATCATTTGGTGTTGTAAGTTGTTTGGATTTTTGTCATTCTGATAGGTTTGTACTGGTAGTTCATGGTTTTAATTTGCAATTCTCTGATAACATACGATGTTGAGCATCTTTTTACATGCTTATTTGCCATCCATACATTTTCTTTGATGCGATGTCTGTTTAGATATTTTTCCCATTTTTAAATTGATTGTTTTCTTTTTTTGTATAGTGGATACAAATCCTTTATCAGATATGTGTTTTGAAAATATTTCTCACACTCTATGGATTCTGTTTTCATTCTCTTAACAGTACCTTTCACAGAGCATAAGGTTTTTGGTTTAATTTTACTAAAGTCCAGTTTCTTTTTATGGCTAATATTCCATCATATGGATATACCACATTTTGTTTATTCATTTATCACTTGATGGACACTTGAGTTACTTCCTTTTGGCTATTGTAAATAATGTTGTTATGAACATTTGGTAGAAGTTTTTTTTTTGAAACGGAGTTTTGCCCTTGTTGCCCAGGCTGGAGTGCAATCTCCGTGATTCTCCTGCCTCAGCCTCCCAAGTAGCTGGGATCACAGGCATGTGTCACCATGCCTGGCTAATTTTGTATTTTTAGTAGAGACGGGGTTTCTCCATGTTGGTCAGGCTGGTCTCGAACACCCGACCAAGGCGATCCACCTGCCTCAGCCTCCCAAAGTGCTGGGATTACAGGCGTGAGTCACCGTGCCCGGCCTGGTAGAAGTTTTTATATGAATATATGTTGTCATTTCTCTTGAGTAGATACCCAGCAGTAGAACTGCTGAGTCATATGATAACTCAATGTTTAACTCTTAAAAAAAAAATAAAAAAAAAACTGAACAACTTTTCCAAAGCGGCTGCACCATTTTATATTGCCATGCCTCCTACATTGCTAGTGGCATTTTACGTTGTCACTAGCAGTGTAGACGGGTTCCGTTTTCTCCATATCCTCACCAATGCTTGTTATCAGTATTTTTTGTTATAGCCATTGTAGTGGGTGTGAACTGGTGTCTCATTATGATTGACTTGTATTTCCATAATGACTCATGACATTGAACATATTTTCATGTGCTTATTGACCATTTGTATATCTTCTTTGCCTCTTCACTTTTGATATTCTTTTCCATGGGAATTTCATGGATTTCACTAAAATCTTTGTGCAGATGATTTCCAATATTTACTTCCAACTTTGACCTTTCTCCTGAGATTGTCGCAGTTTCCCATCTGTTTCTTAGCCATTAATGCCCTAATTGCAGAATCAGTGTGTCACAACTGAAATTCATCATCTTTCCTCCCAATCAATTTATTCTTCCTCTGTGTTCCTTATTTCTGTTAATCATAGATTAACTAATCTTCTAATGATTAGACTATTCTTCTAATCATCCAGACTTTCAATTTGGCATCATATTTACATGTAAGAGAAATGAGATAGGAAGGAATCAGTTTGTTGCCAAGTTCCACATTACTTTCATAATATTTTGCATATGTTTTCTCTTTACTTTGTATTCTCTCCTTCCTGATCTCTATCCTCTTCTGACTTTTTTGATCCCTTACTCTTCTGGTTCTCCTGTCTTTGATCGTTTTATTTCAGGTTATTCTTATCTGCCCCTTAAATTACCTATCTGCAAGATCTCAGCTCACTGCAACCTCCACCTCCTGGGCTCAAGTGATCCTCCCACCTCAGCCTCCTGAGTAGCCAGTACCATAGGTGCACACCACCATGCCCAGCTAAAGGGTTTCACCATGTCGCCTAGGCTTGTCTTGAGCTTCTGAACTCCTGAGCTCAAATGATCCACCTGCCTTGGCCTTCCAGAGTGCTAGGATTATAGGCATGAGCCACTGTGTCCAACCGTCCACAATCTTTTACAAATCAATGTTTACCTTCCTTCTTGGCTATTTGTATGTAGTCTTAAGATATGAACTATCACTTACACACATAACTCCCAAATAAATATTTCTAGCCTTGGAATATTCTGAGAACTTCAGACACATATATCAAACTATCTGTAGGACAGATGTCCAACTGGATAGATGGACATTTGTAGAATAGATGTGCAATTGGATACATGTCCAAACTTAACTCTCCCCACCTTAGCTGCCCCCAAACTTGTTCCTCTTGTCATATTTCCAGTCAATGGCATGACCATCCATCTGGGTTCTCAGGACATACATCTGACCATCATTCCTCCTTTCTCCCTCTCCCCTAAAGCCAAATATTCACCAAGTCAGTACTATTCTAAAACTCTCTTTAATATTCTGTCTTTATCCCCATGCTGCTTCTTTGTCCAGGCTTTTATCATCTCTCATTTAGACTATTTCAGTGATTTTCAATCTTGCCTTTCTGTCTAGTCTCTTACCATGCCCCCCAACCCGCTTCGTGCAGTCTACTGACACAAAGTGAATTTCTAAATTGAAAATTTAGTCATGCCATTTCACTGCAAAGAACAAATCAAAATAAGAACAAGTACAACAATATTTACTGTCTCTCTGGTGGCTGCTTACTTTTCTAAAGGATATAGTTTAAGCTCTTTAGCCTGTCATATTGTACTGCTCCCTACCTACTTCTTCAGCTTTGTCTCTTGTCACTCCAGAAATATTCTTCTGTCTTTTAATGTGTTCCCTCTGCTCAGATGCTTCTTCCTGCCTTCTTTACTTAGTGAACCACCATCTGAGATTTCTTGGAGGTAGACACGATCACATGGCTGGAATCCAAAAGGGATGGTCGATAAGAACCGGCTTCAGTGAATGTGGATTTACATACTTTCTGGGAGCTCTGTATGTAAAGGAAATGCTTCCAGCCCTTCCTCGCTTGGCTCTTGGCATATAACTTCTGATGGCTCTCCTGCTTTAGTAGTCACTTTTGGAGCAATGAGAGATCAGATTCCTTTAGTGGCCTGGGAATGATGTCACATGGTGTTATTGATAGAAGCCTGCAGAGCTTGGGATTCTGAGAAGCAATCTTCAGACTAGAACTTACCCCAAGAGAATGAGCAACTCTATGGTAGAGGGCGAGAGCCTCGAACAGGCCCAATAACCTCTAGTCCAAGGACTTTGGGAAGTTTTATGGTCCCTTCTAGGCCTACAGGATACAAGCACTCAGGGATAGCAGTGTTTTTGGGTAAAGAACAGTGCGGGGCTCTGGGCTCAAATTCCTGGGGGCAAACAAATCAATTTGGCTCCCCTCAGCTCTGTGGGACTAAACTTTAAAACTGCCCCTGGGAGTGACCTCCCCAGGATAATCTCAGGGTACTCAGTACTCACCTGAGTAGACAAGCCCCAGGAAGACCTGGATGAGTCTTTGGAAGTCATCTTTTTAGCTCAGTTTTGCCTGCTCCACCAGGATCCACACCCTTTACTATGGAAATCTGAGTACGAGTTAGGGCAGATGTCAGTGAGGAGAAGGATTGGAGCTCAGTGACCTTTCCTCAGTAGTGCTTACTTGTGAAGCCTGTGTCCTTAGGAAATTAGCGCTGCCTCTGCCAAAGTGGCTTTTTACTGTGTTATCCTTTCCCAGAGTGCACTTCCAGTCTCGTTTAGGCCAGTGTAGTTCCTGTTGAGTTAAGTGGCTGTGAAAAAAATGTTTTCTGAAAGGAATTCGGAGGAAAGATACCTTATTCCAGTGAACAGTTTGCGAACTCAGGAGACACAGCCTTTTGTATAAAAGGAAGTTATGTTTCAGAGAACAAAGAGAGTGTTTGGGTTTTATAGCAAAAGTTTCTGCCTGAGTTCCTAATCAGGTTTATTTATGCAAATGAAATATTGAAATGGGCTTAGTTCTAGTTGGTTGATGCAGCTAAGTTCTGATTGGTAAATACAGCTAAGCCCTAATTGGTTGGTATAGGTGAGCTCTGAAAGTCCCAAAGTTAAAGAGAGGTGGGAGTTTTTGGGAAACTCAGAGTGACCTTTAGTCAGCAAATGGCTGCCTGGCTGTATTTTAAATTTAGGCCCAGTTAGCCACTTGGGATCCATCTTGAAGGATTGACTCTTTTAGGTTCATATTTGTTCACATGTGGCTTTCTTCCTCTGATACCTTGGTGAGCCTAATGGAGACTAAAAGCTTAGTTAACTTTGGCTTTAGGGAATGAAATTATTTCTGGCTGAGACACTAAGTAGAAGCTAAAATTGCAGAAATATCTTTATAATACTATGTGAGAGTTTACAAAAACTCTCACATACATTATTCAATTTATTAAATCTTCACACAAGCTAGTGCCTGTCCCTTAGTAATCACATGTTTAGTGTATGAATGAACATGGAGGTTTTTGTTTTATTTTGCTTTGTAGAGAGACAGGGTGTCTCTCACTCTTGCCCAGGCAGGAGTGCAGTGGTGCGATCATAGCTCACTGCAGCCTTGAACTTCTGGGCTCAAGTGATCCTAATGCTTCAGCCTCCCAAGTAGCTAGGACTAAAGGCATGCACCATCACTAATGCCTGGCTGTTTTTTTTTTTGTAGAGACAGGGTTTCCCGGGCATGTCTTGAACTCCTGGCCTCAAGTGGTCATCCTGCCTCAGCCTCTCAAAGTGCTGGGATCATAGGCATGAGCCACCACACCTGGCCAAACGTGGGGATTTATTGTGCCTATTTTACAGTTTGGCGAACTGAGGTCTAAGCAGCTGAATTGAGTTTCCTAAAATTCAACTCTACAGTTAGCCAAGTATGGAGCCTACACTTGAAATTAGATCCATTTCAGGTGAACATTTACTAAGCATCTACTAAGTGACAGGTACTTATCAGTGATGAATAAACATGTTCCTTGGTTTTGAGAGCTTATAGGCTTGTCAGAATATGAGCAAATAATTTCAACACAATATGCTAAGTGTCATGATAGAGAACTTTGTGTGATGCCGTGGAGTCATACGGAGGGGCACCTAATCCAGTCTGATAATGTTGTGAAAGACTACCTGAAGAAGTGACACCTCAGTTAAGTTTTGAAGGTTCATTGGAGATTGGCCAAGGGTAAAGATATTCTAGGCTGAGAGATCAGCCCCAGTCAGGGCACAGAGGTGCAAACCAGTATGGTATGTTTTTAGGATTGCTGGAGTATTCCTTGCCAAGGGGAAAATGGCAGAAATGATGACTTAGAGAGGTAGGTGAGATTCAGATCATTGAGTACGTAGACTTTGCTTTGTACACCATTAGTTACTACACATTGCTGAATTATTGAAATCATCTGGGGAACAGGCATTTTCTTAGTTAGCTAGATTTGAGAGTCACATGTGGAGGCAATGAGTGACATAGACTGCCCTGTTGCATCACTCTGGTGACAGTCTACATGGAGGCAGGTAGATTTGAAAGGGATGCTACTAGACGCCTAGAGACCATTTTGAAGGTCACTGAATTCATCTAAGAGATATGGTGGACTGTATAAGGCAGTAGCAGTGAGGACAGAGAGGAAGAGGCAGATGCAAAATGGTGAAACTCTTACGATGTTGTGGGGAGGATTGGTGAGGGAGAGAAAAGTGTCTAAGGTAATTCTCCAGGTTTCTGGCATGGCTGTCTGAGTAGATGGTGGTATTTTTGACCAAGTTCAGGAATGAACAGTGGAGATAGAATGTACAAAAAAATT
Organism: Homo sapiens; assembly: GCF_000001405.40. Taxonomy (NCBI): domain Eukaryota; kingdom Metazoa; phylum Chordata; class Mammalia; order Primates; family Hominidae; genus Homo; species Homo sapiens. Next base: position 149,972,516 of record NC_000023.11, read on the forward strand.
GGATAAATTCAGCTTGGAACCTGCTGAATTTGAGGTACTGTGGGACTTCCAGAGGGGAGAGCAGCTATTTTGTTCTGGAACTCAGGATGTGTCTAGGCTGGAAATACAGGTCAAGGCCTCTATGTCTGGGCAGTTTAAACCCAAGTGAATAGTAAGACATCTCTCAGAGAGAATGTGTGGAGAGTGCATCTTCAATAATTCTACCCCCTTTCGACTTCAAAGGCTGTTCCCATGGGGAAGCAGAAGCAGCGTATTTCTCTCTCTCTCTTTTTAATGTTTGAGGCAACAAGGGATACTGAAAATGCTATAAAAGGTGGAGTTAGAAAACCTGAGTTCAAGCCCTGCTTCTGACACTTCACCACTCTGCAACCGTCAGTAGTTCCTGAGCCTCTCTTAGCCTCCAGGTCTTCATCTGTGAAACAAGGGTAGTAGGAATAACTGCTTCACAGGATTATTAAGATAGTCCAATGAGAATGTGTATGTGGAAAGTGCTGTGTAAAGAACCATAGAAACATCATTTTTGTTGTTGTTGTTGTTTGTTTGTTTGTTTTGTTTTTTTCCCCTAGAAACTTGGACCAATATGTAGGAATTACGGGGAGACAGATTTGGTCCAATATAAGGAAAGACTAATACTTTGACTGTTGGATGATGGGAAGAGCTTTGGGAGATGGGAAGCTCTGAGGCTCTGGATATCCTTAAGCAAAAGCCAGGTTTCTGGGCATATGCTGAGCGTTTTGTTGTCAGGGGTTGGGTCATCCTGCATGACCTCTGAGTTACCTTTCAGGCTCAGATAGAATTTGAGTTACTAGAACACTTATCTACCTATTTTCTGAAATTTTCTACACTAAGTAGATTTTTTAAATTGTAAAAGCAATACAAGCGCATGGTCTTTCCCTTTGACTCTCTTAAAGTACTGGGCATTTTGGATCCTAAGTGGAGACTTGGTTTATATACCCTGAATAATGGGGCAAACTGCCTCATGTCTTACTGCATGAGGCATTTATGGACAGACATTTTCTTAATGTTCTTTAATGAGATCTCTTTAAAATAATAATTTTTTTCTTATTTTCAAGCAGAAATGATATTATAAAAAGCTAACAAAATATTGCCAAGTAGAGGTCTTGATCGAGTATACTCCAATGAGTAGGTAAAGGTCATTTGAAATCAGCACACTAATTATTTATATGCAAATGAATTTGTTAGAGAGCTTGGAAAGAGTTGTTCTCTGAACTGGGTTAAACATCCCCTAAGAGCTCATGTTTATACTCTTAATTTACTCAGAAACCTGTTGTTGCTCTTTCTTTTTTTTTTTTTAATTATACTTTAAGTTTTAGGGTACATGTGCACATTGTGCAGGTTAGTTACATATGTATACATGTGCCATGCTGGTGCGCTGCACCCACTAACTCGTCATCTAGCATTAGGTATATCTCCCAATGCTATCCCTCCCCCCTCCCCCAACCCCACCACAGTCCCCAGAGTGTGATATTCCCCTTCCTGTGTCCATGTGATCTCATTGTTCAATTCCCACCTATGAGTGAGAATATGCGGTGTTTGGTTTTTTGTTCTTGCGATAGTTTACTGAGAATGATGGTTTCCAATTTCATCCATGTCCCTACAAAGGACATGAACTCATCATTTCTTATGGCTGCATAGTATTCCATGGTGTATATGTGCCACATTTTCTTAATCCAGTCTATCATTGTTGGACATTTGGGTTGGTTCCAAGTCTTTGCTATTGTGAATAATGCCTCAATAAACATACGTGTGCATGTGTCTTTATAGCAGCATGATTTATAGTCATTTGGGTATATACCCAGTAATGGGATGGCTGGGTCAAATGGTAGACATTTATGCAGCCAAAAAACACATGAAAAAATGCTCATCATCACTGGCCATCAGAGAAATGCAAATCAAAACCACTATGAGATATCATCTCACACCAGTTAGAATGGCAATCATTAAAAAGTCAGGAAACAACAGGTGCTGGAGAGGATGTGGAGAAATAGGAACACTTTTACACTGTTGGTGGGACTGTAAACTAGTTCAACCATTGTGGAAGTCAGTGTGGCGATTCCTCAGGGATCTAGAACTAGAAATACCATTTGACCTAGCTCTTTCTTTAATTGATAGAGGAAAGGTGAAATATGCCAGCCATGACTGAGTTATCACAAATTTAGAAATGGCATGAATTGAATTTATACTTTCCTGTGTTTATTTTATTGCCAATCACTGATGTGACACACATTTGCTAAACAAGTTCTAATTTTCTGGGTAACTTTCCCTACAGAAAGCTTATTTCGCTAAATGAAAGATCTCTACTCATGCCATTTAATGAGGAATTATCTTTATGATTGTTGAGGTGTCTTCCTGGCTCTTTGAAAAAAATCACAAAAACAATAGCCCCAAATAATAGTGATTTTATACCTAGAAAATATTCTACAAGGAATAAGTTGCTGTAAACCATATAGAGGTGAACAATTTTGAAAAGTCAAGAATTTAGGAAAGTACATTCAGTCTTAATTATGGTAGAATAAAATTTCATCTTCCTGATGCTTCCATAGGCCCTTCAAGATGTTTGCAAAGCCCTTGGTCAGCTTTTGATTATTTTTTCATTGTACTGTATCTATGAAAAAGGTTGCCATTGGGAAAGCATAAGTAGGTTGTGTTTTGCAATTCCTTCTTGTGGAAGGAAATTGATAGAACCTTCTAGTTGATTTTTTGAAAAAGTAAAGATGTTTAAATACTCTTGCCTTCCCTACCTTACTCCACACTTCTGGTTCTCATCTACAAGAACTAGTGCACCAAGGGAGAGAGTACTCCAGCTGTGGCGTCCTGGACTTTGAATCCTGGGATGAGGGGGCAGGTAGGGTAGAGGATTCAAGAACAGAGGAATTATGGAGGGATGGAAGCTGGGAGGGAGGAAGAAAGAGTAAGAATCTAAAAATGAACCAAGGGAGGAGCCAAAGAGTGTTGGTCTTGAGCCAGATCACAGGCAGTTGGGTCAGGGTTAGAGGTAACAGTTGTAAGGAACAAGTCTAAGCCAGCCAAACCCTGGTTGAGCCATGGTGTCCGACCTTGTGGGGGACCCCTCAGTATCTTTCTTAATGCAACACATTGTTAAACTTTGGTCTGACCCCAGGGAGAGGCTGAGCAGCTCAGTAAGCAGGCCATTCTTTAAAAGCCTGAGTGTCTATTCACTGACAACCCTGTGGATCTTTCTTTGTATCAGTAAATTACCCTATACAACTCATGTCCAGACATTTTATAGCAGTCTCACTTTTGGTGGGGGTGATATAGTGTGCTGGGAAGAGCTCTCCATGGAGATTTGTGGGAGAGGGGGCAAGAGGCTTGGGTTTTAGCCAGTGCTCTGCCACTAATTGGCCATGAAACATTAGGCAAGTCATCTAAATGTTTGGTGCCTCAGTTTCCCCATATATACAATGAGGATCAAGGAGGCACAGATGTATAGTTCATCTATCAGTTGTGAGTTCTAAAGCATAGAAAAGAATTCTGTGGCTTTGGCATTTGGCTTTTTTGACTTGAGAAAAATAAATATACCCTAAGCACTACATTTGAGTTGAACCTATGAAAACCCTGAGAGTCAAAACTAAACTATAAATAGTAAAATCCTTTCCCCAGCTTCTTCGTTAGAGCCAGGAGTGTTGAAGACAGTCAACTTTTTAGCATTTGTGGAAATGGCAGGAAGCAAATTGAATAGGGTTGAACAGTTGTGCTCCTTGACCTCTGAGATGCAATATCTTACATACCAGTACTAAACCAGAGGTTCACTGTGTTCCAGGGACTCTGATGGAGTTGATAGACCCCCTAGTGACGCACATACCACCAGCAAGCTGGGTGACCTTCCTCCTTTGCCAAAATCACACATGGCTCATTTGCTGAGGGCTACAGTAAAATTAAGTGCTTCTTCTTGCTTCTTCTGAACTGGCACCCTGTTGGTCCTGCCAGTGTGAGACAAAAGATGTAAGGGCTACCAGTGGACTTTAAAATGTTAATTTTAAAAATAGCCCTTAATTATTAAAAGTAGCCCTAATTATAGCTTACTATAGGCAGGCCACACGTTTCTGAATAGTTTAACAAATGAGGAAATAAGTGAAGAGTTGATAAGTGCTGGTAGATTCATTTGCATGCTTTCCTACACCCAAATGGTAATACTGCAACACCACAGTCTTCAGCCAAATTACGAGTACAGCAAATTAACACAATTTGTTAATTTCCTTTTTAATTACACTACGAACAGGAGTATTTCTGTATTTTGGCTTTTTTTTGACATAGAGACTTCATCTTAAAAGCAGAAAGACTTTAATATAGCTAAATCTATATCTATAACAAATAAAGCTTGTTTCATTTTCCTTACCCAGCTGGCTAAGATTTATACATTAATTATTCAACCGATGCATCTTAAACATCCTAGTTAAAATACACACTGTTGGCCAGAAATTGTTAAACCTCCAGCATACTTTTGTTTGCCTGTAAGGAATAAATACTTAGAACTGTAAATGGGTAAACTTAATCTTTCCATGTGGTGAGGTCAACAGAACTCATGGTGAACATACAAAGAATAGGGGACTAATTATTATTGAGATTCAGGTAAGTGATTTCTTAGGCATTTTAGCTGTCATGCTGTGGAATAATTGTAAACTCACCAGGAAGGAATTGCAAAACACAACCTACTTATCCTTTCCCCAGTGGCTATATAGAATTTTTTTCTGTCCTGCAGTTTGTGCCAACTCTAATCATTAAAAGGAATGTTATTTTAAGTATTGCTTCCTCAATAACAGTGTTTGACAGAAACTCTACAGAATGGTGGCTTTGCCCAGAGTGTGGCTTCAGTATGCTAGTGTGATTTAGGCAATCAGAGCTATTGGTAATGGAATGCAGATCTCTGTAGCAATTTTATTTAAAGTTTTGCCTAGTTAATATTATATCCAACTAATGTAACCATCTGTATCCGGCCCCATCAGTGACAATATAAAACTGTTAAACACCATTTCATAGGCATTAAGTGCTTTGGCTTTGGTATAATTTTATGATCATGTCTTATTCTTATTGTAGTACTTCATTACTATCTTTTTTTTTTTTTTTTTTTTTTGAGACGGAGTCTCATTCTGTAGCCCAGGCTGGAGTGCTGTGGTGCAATCTCAGCTCACTGCAACCTCCACCTCCCAGGTCCTGGTTCGAGCAATTCTCCTGCCTCAGCCTCCCGAGTAGCTGGGATTACAGACACACACCACCATGCCCAGCTAATTTTTGTATTTTTAGTAGAGACGGGGTTTCACCATGTTGACCAGACTGGTCTTGAACTCCTGACCTTGTGATCCGCCCGCCTCGGCCTTCCAAAGTGCTGGGATTACAGGTGTGAGCCGCCGCGCCCAGCCACTATCATTTAAATGTCAGTAACAGCAGCAGCAAGTATTCTAGGCATAGCACAGAGACCAAGGTAATGGGTCTCCCAGCCTTGTGACTAAATTCTTCCTGCCTCTAGGTCTTCACGTAGTCTGTTGCCTTGTCCAGGAATGCCCTTCAAACCTTGGTTTAAAGGCCTTTTCAGATAAGTCTCTCTTTTTCCCCCTAGTATTCTTGATCACTGTACCTATTTGTCTTCTCCATAGTATTTATCACAATTTAAAATTATACTTGTATTTTTTAAAAAAACTTGTCTCCCCCACTAGAATGTAAGCTATACAAGGACAGAGACCATGCCTATATTTTATTTATTATTTTACAAAATTTTTATTTTTTAATTGTAAATTAACAAATTGTAGTTACATATATTTATGGGGTACAAAGTGATGTTATGATTTATGAAGACAATGTGGAATGATTAAATCAAGCTAATTAACATATCCACCACCTCAAATATTAACCCATATATCCTTTTGCGTAGCAAAGTAAGTAGGGACTGTAAATATTTTTTGGGAGGGACTTTAAGTAGTTTAATGAATAAATGAGGCAATGTGGTATAATTATAAGGAGGCAGAGGCCCTATATGCTGAGGACTTCCAAGTTAATCTTGTGGTTACATTTGACTTGCCTAGGCCTGTGTGACTTTATACCAGTATAACCAAAGGCTTGCTGGACATTTCTACCCGATGACCCCAGACATCTCACAGTCAACATTCCAACCTATAATCTGTCTTCTTGCCTCTCAAATCTTTTTTCTCCTCAGTCATAACTTGGATAGTGGCACCATCATGTATGCCATCTCCCCCTCCCTCCTCTGGAACATCAGTCAGCGCACAGTCCTGTCAGTTTGTTCTCCTAAATGTCTCTCGCGTCTGTCTTTTTCTTTCTACCTCCATTGATGTGGCCTTGGTTCAGGTCCTCATTATCTTATCTCTATCTAGACTACTGCAAATGCTTCTTCCTCCTCCCTGACTCCCTGATCTTATTCCCTAAAGACCACCTCCCTCCTTCCAAACAGGCAAATGCTGTTCTCTCTCTCTTTCTGGATCCAGAAGTCAGTAAGGGCTGCCAGTGTGCAGAAGTAGCTGGAACCTTACTAACATATATTCAAAGATTGCAGAGACATATGATTTCTTCAAGATTAATTTCCTTTTTGTTTTTCTGCTGTGAATCCAATGGAATAAGTTATTAAAATGCTTCAAGCTTCTGAAGGAAAGCATGGAAACATGCCAGCAGGAACAACATAAAGGTTTCCTTTATTTTCCTCTAGCATCTATCTGTGATGGACGATGTGACCATGATTCTTCACTTAAATATGGAATTCTGGAATATCATAAAATCCCAGAGCGTCAGGGCTGGGCAAAGCCAGTCTGGATCCTATGTCTGAGGCTGAGAGAAGGGAAGGGCTTTATTTAACATCACAAGGCCAGTTAGCTGTGGAAGTAGGACTCAGACCCAGTTCTCTGTATTACTCAAGTGATCATGAGGCTTCATTTAGATGCATTGTTAAAACATTTGGCAGCTCTGTGACCCATCCCCCACATGACCGTGGCATGACTTCCTTCATCTGATCATTTTTTGCTTCTCTTAAGCCTGAGTGCTAATCAGTGTGATTAGAAAGAAAGGAACCCATTAGCTGGTTTGCTCCCCAAGTTGAATATTCCAATTAAACCATATTTTTGTGGTTTTGTGTTTATTTTTATTTTTACCCTTCTCTTTACAATAATAAAAGATGGGAAAAATCCAGGACATAATAAAGTGACATATGCTTTAGTGGTGATTTTCAAATGGGGTACCTTAGAGCACCAGGGCTTTCTTGGAGTTGCCTTGGGGCCTCTTATATGTATCACTCATTGAGGTGCCAAGTGAACAGGGCCCTGGGCTGGCAACCCCCGTTTCAGCCAGACAGCTGTGTTTGTATCTGTTTTATATGGACTTACACTACCATTGGATTTAAATAGGTGATTCTATGTTGTAAAAGTTTTAAAAATGACTGTGCCTCAGGAATACATTAGCTAGTTTGCTCTCCAAGTTGAATATTCCAATTAAACAATATTTTTGTGGTTTTGTGTTTATTTTTATTTTAACCTTTCTCTTTACAATAATAAAAGACAGGAAAAAATCCAGGCTTGCTCATGTGGGTTTGGTAATTTGAATATAGATTTTCTGTGACTAGTTAGTGTACCAGTGCCTAAGACTGGGGTTTTATGGATTCTTGGCTATGTGTTAGTATGGGTGTGTCAGGTCCACATAAAGGGTCCCAACCCTCCTTCTCAGGCCAGGGCGTATGAATGATTGCTTGGTAGGAGGTGTTATTGTTCAGTGTCTGATGCTGACTACCGACACGCAAGGTGGAATGTATTCTTTCTGAGAACCAAACATTGTAGCGGAGTAGTAAAACACCATGTAAATGTCCGTGGAAGGGCGCAGTTGTATTGAACATTGATGACATGTCATTGTGAAGGGTCTCAGGAGGTAGTGTTCCAGTTTCTGGCATGGGAGGTGATCGTGGGAGGGATATATAGGCTTTGAAGCAGGGACAAATTGGACAAATGGTGTCTCCCACTTGACTGTCTTTCTTTGTTGCCCAGGGACAGCATACTTTTAATACTTCTCCTTGGCATGATGAAAGGTAAGGCCACTCCTGACTTTGGTGGCCTGGGGCAAGGGTGCAAAATACAGACTCACTGCAAATTCCCACTTCTCTTCAACCTTCTCGCTCTGTTCCTTCCCCTAAGAGGACTTCCACACATTATATTTGAGGAGCCTTGCTTCTCAAAGTGTGGACCCCAGTCCGCAGCATCAGCATTACCTGAGAGCTTGTTAGAACTGTGGACTCTCAGGCCCCACTCTAGGCCTGCTGAACCAGAATCTGGATTTTAATAAGATGCTAGGTAATTCACATGCACATTAAATTTTGAGAAGCACTGCCATAGCCCACGTGTTCAAGCTCCATCAACACTGAGTGGAGGGGCAACAGCTGCCCTGTGGCCACCCCTCAGTCACTCTTCAGGCCTAGGGTTTAGTCCATCCTTAGGAAGACAGAACTAGGAAAGAGGATCACACAGGCTCCAAAGGCAGGCTTGAGGCACATGGGCAGAGGATTTCAAGGTCATGGGTATCCTGAGGATAGCCTCTAAGAGGGAAGCATAGACTTGGGGTTGGCAAGACCCCTTGGCCCTCTATACCCCTTGCCCTGTGAGGAGTGTGGCTGCAGCAGGGCCAGAGTAAGGCCCTGCCAACCATGAGGCCTAGGGCAGGATCTGGTTGTCCCAGTCTAAGAGTGATACTGTTGAAAGGTGTCCCAAATATTCAAGGGGATGAAGATTTGAGTGGGAGTGATTCATAGCTCCCTGAGGTACTGGCCAGCAGCCAGGGTCTTGGTGGCTCTTTGGAGTGTGCGGAAGTTATGGTGGTGGGACCATTACTGCTTTAAGAGGGAATCAGTGTGAACTGTTATAAGCAAAGTCTTTGGTAGCTAGAGACGTATACATTGACTTATCTGTAGAAGGTATACAGCGAAGGTGCCTCCTGTAGTGCCTAATAACAATTTGATTAGATTAGCTACTAGCCTCCGTAGAAGACAGGTGGATGTGGCTGTGGAGGGCTTTGAACAACTTCCTTCAAACCTAAGAAACGGGCCACTTTTCTCGAAGAATTGAGAGCAGTGTCTGGTGTGGTTGGGATGCCGTGGCTGTTGGAGGGGCAAAATATGCCATTTTGTGTCCACCACCACCTGTATGATGCCACGGTTGTGGGACAGAGGCAAGTCTGAAATGAAGATCAACAGATTGCTGTCCCAGCTCCCACACCCCACCTCTTCCTCTGTAAAATGGGTCTAACAGTCCTTGTCCTGCCTACCTTGCGGAGGTGTTGGGTGGCTCTAGTGAGACAATGGATGGAAAAGTGCTTTGCAGCCTGTCAAGTCCGTGCATGAAGAAATGATGATCATTCTGCCATTTGTTGTCTTTCCTTTGTGAGTGTGTCTTCACCTGCACTTGAGTTTTAGATTTAGGTTGCCCTCTCCTTAGCACTGCAGCTTTCAGGTCACAGCAACATACAAGGTTCTGTGCAAAGCCATATCTGCCCCTCTTCCTGACACCTTCCAGCCTCTTCCATGCAGATACACTGCTGTGATTCTCATTTTTGAGTTCCACAGATTTGGGACGGAGATTTTATATTGGCAAATATTTCTGAAGAGACAAATAATTGCCTCTGGAAAGAGGCTTCTTTTCTCTTCCAAAAATTCATATTTGCTGGTTTAAATTGATGTGACTATTTTTTGGCTAGAACTCTGCAGTATTTCACTGAGCAGTAATTATTCCTTTGGTGTTGCAGGAGTTTTCTGAGAGAAGGGAACTAAATCTAAGAGAGCGAATCCATCTGGTACATATGTTGAAGCTCTCTATGAGGCCACTGACACTGAAATGTTAATGCTAGGTTTCTATAAACTGGTATCATTTAGATATTGATACAATATGAGCTAGTACTCTGGGTCACTGAACCAAAGGCTGAATTCCATTTCCTTATATGGCACTGGATTCCTGCACCAGTGGATTGATGACTCTTGGCAGAGTACCATGGTAAGATAGACCCTGCATTCCAGTCCTGTCACCCGATTGTCAGACTCTGGCTGTCCCAGCCCCAATCAGGAGTAGACACTAAAGGCCAGCAGCTGGCAAACTTAGTGTCTCTTAGTACCTCAAGCATTGGTAGGTAACTAAGCTTGACGGGATAGTAGAAGTACCTACACATAGTAGGTAATTAATTCTAGATTAGTCTGATACCTTAAGTGTTAAGTGCCCCTGAGAAGAACCCCTGGGGCCCATGGAGACTCACTAATCTGCAGCTTTTCTTTTTACATTATGGTGTGGGTGAAACCAGGATGTGTTCCAGGACTGAACTGGTGGCTGTCCTGCTTGGGTGGGGATCTGGCATCCAGCCTAGCCATTGCTAGGTTTTTCCCTGGGGTGTTGGACTCTGTTTCTCCACCAAACTGCCAACTAACATTCAATTCAAATAAAATGTCTTAGAAATATGGTGCTGCCGCCGTATGTAAGGTGCAGGGTGGCAGCACCATGTTTCCAAGATTAGTATTGCCACTGTGCAAGGTCTTTCCTAGCCAGATTGTTCAGCTTGCATTTATCATGATTTTTTCATCTTTGTAACTTGGATAGCCAGTCAGCCCTCTTAGGGACAACTCTGGGGCTCTCCAAGTTCTGATTCTTCTTGATCTGTGCTCATTATTCTTTTTCTGCTCTTCTTACATTGAAGTCTTGGAAATCCCAACCATTGCTATAAAAGTTCTGTTGCAAAGAATGGAAAATAGCCTATTTTATCCCATAGCCCAGTTACACATACATAGGGAGCTATGGACATCTCACTGTTCACTTTGAGTTGAACTTGAAATTCCTGCCTCTCCTCTTCGGGAAGTATTAACCAAAGAAGCCACAAGGGGATTCACTAGTCTCCTATGAAATAAAATGCTATCAGATACCAAACAGCTAACTGTCCAGATTTTTCAGCAAAAATTGGCTGCTTTAGTTTTTTGAAATTTTTTCCTCTCTCCTCTGTAGTTCAGTATGAGAGACTCTTCAGGGCAAATTGTCAGTGGGAGGAATTCGGAGATGCCATATGTCATCAGTACATGGCTGAGGAGAAGCCAAAAAAGTATTACCGCCGTTTTCCCAAAAAGCTATTAGGGAAGGTTATTGATTGTTTTCCACACACCTTCCACCTTCATCACAGGGTATTGTGATAACTAAAAAGGTACTTTCATGTAGCTCTTAAAAACAGTTTTCTCCTTTTTTGTTTTCTTAATATCCACTGTGCCCAGGTCACTTCACAGAGCTCCAAAGTGATGCTCCTTTCTTTCTCCATAGGATTTGTCCTTGCCCTTCTGGCAAATGGACTTGAATTGCTACTGCTTCTGTCAGCTGGTGGCTATGTTTACTTCAAGGTCTTTGAGTAGGCCAGACAAGTCCAATTACATAAATCATTATTGACTGCTGTCAACCCCCTGTCCCTCCCTCTTACACTTGTTTTTCTACCCCTACCTCCCTCTGCTTTCTATATAGGATTGGAGATGCCATTTTTTTCCTTCAGACTTTCAGGCTTTTTAATAAAAATGGTGCTTAAAGGTACATGTCAGCAGACTTTTGGGTGACCTTTAAAGTAGAGTGGTATTTGGTCTGTACAAAATAACCCATTCTCTATCATTTATAGATTGTCCACATTATACCTAATTTTAAAATTCTTGATGACATCTATTAGGCTTAAGCCCTTAAACTAGTTCATGAGGGTACAAGGGTATTGTAGCATTAATGCCCTGTAGGTAAAGTGAATGTTGGTATTTGATCTTTTTTTTTTAACATTCTTAAATAATTATTATTATTATTTATTATTATTATACTTTAAGTTTTAGGGCACATGTGCACAATGTGCAGGTTAGTTACATATGTATACATGTGCCATGCTGGTGTGGTATTTGATCTTTTAGTTGGTACCTGGACCATCCTTCAGTGGGGCTTTCCTGCTTTTCCCCTTTCCCCTTTTGTGTTGTTGGATTAAGGTATATTTCATTTATTCTTACTCTGTGTTCATTTCAACATAAGCATCACAGACCCATTAATTAAGAACAGCTGGCTATGTTCTCCTGCCACATTTCTAATTTCTCAATGCCCAGTTGACAAACAGAATCCTATCTAGAGCAAAGTCATTTGTTCCAGGCTCAGAACACATGGAGGGCCCAGAACCATACGTTGCACTTTTGTTTCAGTTAGAAGTCTTCCATGGGCTTTTCTTCCAGTCACACTAAAGTAGTATTTGCAGAAATGAAGTTTCTTTGGGTCTTGTTTTGTTTTTGTTTTTGAAGATGGAATCTAAGATCATCTCAGTTTAGTTCTTTGCCTTTTTGTTGTTGTTGTTTTTGAGCTCATATATGGGGTATGTAGGCCTTTGGCCATTTGAAGCATTGCAGGGAATGGTATGTTTTAGTTGGTGCATTTGTTACTGTAAGAAATCAGCAAATGGTTTGTGGTGCCTTTTAAGATTTATTTAGCACATATTTTTCCTATGGGCTAGGTGCTGAGCTGGATGCTGGGGATGCACAGATGAGAAAGGCACAGCGCCTGTTCTCAGATTGTCTCACAGTCTAGTAGGAAAGAGAGAGACACATCAACAGCTAACTCTGATACCTAACGATCTGGATAGAAAATTTCAGGTCAGGGCACTGGCATGAACAGAGATTGAGAACAGATAAATGCGTGGTTTGTTCAGGGAATCACTTATGTAGTAATATGGATATTGGCAGAAAATGACTAGAGACAAGATGTAAAGGTAGATTCAGGTCACATTTTGAAGAACTGAGATTTTTAGCTTTTAGAAGATTATGTTGGTATCCCTTGAACTCAAGATGTTGGGTCCAAGGTAGTGATTCTGTCTACATTCTTAGAACTTTTTTGTAGAGTAGCAGGAGGTAGAAGAAAAAGTTATTGAAGCTGAAATAGTGATCCTTAGCCTTAGGGACAGTGTGTGTCAGAGGTTAGAGCATCCAGCATGGCTGGTGGCCAGAGCTTTGCATCAGTCTGAGATGTATGTGATGTATCTTTAGCTCAGGGAAGAGAGAGGACTTGATTTTTGAGGAAGGCTTGGGAAGGAGGGATAGAAGAGCTGGATAGTTTTGCTGCTCCCCAGCCAGAAATTTATAGTTTGATTTCATTATTGCCTTGAAATATTGGGATGTCCCAGAACACACAGCCATTCATATTTAAAAGTAAGCATGGAAACCTCACGTCTGATTCGGATATAAAGGGCTGATTTGGCTTATTTATATGATTTCAATTCACAGGCAGCCATAATCAAGTGCTTACTAGGCTTGTAAGAGCAGCCAGAGGTCAGACCATTTAGGAACACACTGGGGATGATAGGAGCTATTGGTTACAGTGCACCCTCATCCAGGCACATGTATCATTACCCTCTGGCCCATAGCCACAAGTATATCCTTGTCCCCAACCCACCATCTTCCAAATGCACACTATGATTATAACAGGGAGCATGGTTGGATTGATGTGGCAGTCCACATGGAAACACAGATTTTGCCAGAGGTCCTCTTTCCTGATGTTGTTTCACCTTCACTGTGGGCTGTCATTCATGTTGCTTCATATCTATGTTGCTTTGCTGTAAGATGCATGGGTCTTTCATAGACTGCTCTTCCTTTTTTGCTATTGGGGTGTGAAAGGTATTGCTCCTTTAAAAAAGTACAGCAGGGCTGGGCGCTGTGGCTCACACCTGTAATCCCAGCACTTTGGGAGGCCAAGGTGGGCGGATTACCTGAGGTCAGGAGTTCAAGACCAGCCTAGCCAACATGGTGAAACCCCGTCTCTACTAAAAATACAAAAAATTAGCTGGGCATGGTGGCAGGCACCTGTAATCTCAGCTACTCGGGAGGCTGAGGCAATAGAATCGCTTGAACCCGGGAAGCGGAGGTTGCAGTGAGCCAAGATCATGCCATTGCACTCCAGCCTGGACAACAAGAGCGAAACTCTGTCTTAAAAAAAAAAAAATAGTACAGCATAAATCCTTCCAAACATGAGTAGAGAAACTCTCTAAGGAAGAAAAATCTCTGGATGGAGGTGCCAGGGTCTACTTGGGCAGGTGTTCTATTGTGACATAGCTGTCTTTTTTTCTGTTTAGCCCTTGGAAAAATGTGTGTTTTCTTGGATTCAATGTAATTTTTAAAAATAATACAATCTCCAAGTCCTTCTCACAAACTGGTTCTAAAGTATCCCTAATTACTTAGTATAAAAGCTGTCTTGATTTATCCATTTCTACTGTTTTTAGCATTGCTGTTTAGGGAATGTTGATCCTGGAGGATAAAGTTCTACAAAATATCTAGAGTTAATGTTTAATCGAAAGGAACCTGTCTTAAGGGTCAAGAGATAGTTGAGTTCCTCTATTAAAAACAATGAAGGCTAGACCCTGTCTTCTCCATTAGGAATCCTGAGCATTGGTGAGGAAATTCATACTAAAACCTTGCTGCTACCAATATCTTATTCCTTATACTGGATCTCCAGTAAAATGTGCATATATATATGCATATATATATGGGTTTAAAATTATTTTTATCAATGCAATAATATGAATAATTTTTGTAATCAGGCTTATAATAACATCAACAAAACCAATCAGGCCGGTACTGCTTCCTCCCAATCCTGCTCCTCTTGCTTTTGGTACTTACCTTCATATTTTATGTAATATGCTTATGCTGCCATTACTTGATTCATTATTTTAGATATTGTGTGTTTACTTCTTGTGATGATAGATGAGAGGCTGGCTGTCTCATAGTCCCTATCAGTCGAGTATGGCTGGTCTGTGCTGCATAACAAGACATTCCTAGTTACCAGGGGCTTTACAGAACAGAAGTTTATTTCTTGCTCATGCTACACATTCAACTTAAGTGGGCAGGGGGCCTCTGGCTCATGTTGGTCACTGAAGGATGGACATGGGATGATGGAGGCTCCAACTCAACACCTGATCACATGATCTATGAAATGGGCAAATAAAGAGTTAATTGCCTGCTGCCTCTCAAAACTTCTTCCCAGGTATGATATAAATTAATTTTACTCACATTTTATTGGTCAAAGCAAGCTACATGACTATACTTAATCTGAAAAGAGGCCTGGAAGTACAACCCTACCATGTGCCTGGGAAAAGATGCTCTGGAATATTTGTGAACAGCCCTAATGATGACCATACAGCCTCTCCATTTTCTTTCCTCCATTACTCCAGTATAAGTAAATCATGTATTTTTTCAAAATTGGTATTCAGTGTTTGTTATTATAGCTTTGCATTTATGTCCAGTGCCAAGCCAAGCAATGCATTATGCTTTCACTTCCTTTTTTGAATAATATTTTATTTTCCCCAGAGTCAATAATTGCCTAATTTCTTATTTGCTTAGTTTTCTTTTTACTCATTTCTTATTTTCTGCACAACATTCATCAGATTTATCAAGTAGTCCTCAGTATTATTTTTTGAACACTGAAATATATCAGATAACCTACCAATTTTATTTTTTCTTGGAGTCTTCCAGCCTCCCGCTTCAGCCTTGGCTCTCTGGGCCTTCTGTACAGGAATCATCCTCCCTTTGCCAGTTTCCTGTATTAGGACCCTAGTTTTTGGGTCTTTTGTCTCCTTTTTAAAAATTATTTGCTTACTTGTTTTGCTGGAGCACGTGCTTTAATAGCTTCCTAAATAAAGGTTTATGACAAATTATATTAGTCAGCTTTTTAGTAGGCTATGCCGTGGTGCAAATGATTCCAAAATCCCAATGGCTTATACAAGATTTCTTTCTTACTGGTATCCTATGTCTTTCATGGGTTAGCAGTAGTTCTAGCCAGGTCTTTTTCACTCTGGCACCTAGGTTAAGGGAGCAGCCCCTCTCTAGGAGAAGCAGTTCTCATGGCAGAGGAAAAATAGCACTGATTGAATCAGTGTTGGCTGTCAAAGCTGCTGCTCTGAAGTGGTACACATCACTTCTGTTCACATGTCATTGGAAAATCAAGTCTTATGGCCAAGCTTGATGTCAATAAGCCTGGAAAATAAAAATAATCCTTCCACAGGTAAAATTATATTTTTGCCAAAGGAAATAAATAGCTGTGTTGCGTATAAAATTATGAATTGGTTTTTCGCAGAATTTTGAAGGCATTGCTCCATTGTCTCCTCGTTTTCAGTGTTGTTATTTAAAAGGCTGATGCCAATCTAGTTCTGGTATAAGAGTCTTCCGTATAAGCATTGTTTTTTTCCTTTGCTCTGAAACCTTTTAGGTTCTTTTTTTTTTTAGCCCTTATAATTCAGACATGTTTTGACAGTGTGACTTGGTATAGATCTTTATGCATTCATTTTACTGATCCTTCCTTAGGAGCTTTAAATGTGGAAATTTATGTCCTTATTTTTCTTACATTATGACTTTGATAATTTTCTCCCCTTCGTTTTTTCTTTCTGAAATTTCAATTATTTGGATATTAGACCTCCCATATTGTTCCTCTGCTTTTCTTGTCTTTTCCTCTCTTGGTCTTTATGTTCTTCTTTTTGGGAGATTTTCTTATTTTAATCCTTTTACTTTTTTGCAGTTTGATTATCATATTTTCAGTGTCCTTAAATTCCTTTGTTTTCTGTGTCTTCCTTTTTGTAGTATCCTGCTTATGCTTATGGATATAAATTTTCTCTTATCTCTGAGGATATTAATTATAGTTTTAAGTTTTCTTCTGTTATTGTATCATCTCTGTTTTCTCTGTTTGTTTGTTTTGACTTCTCTCATATTGGAAGAGTTCCTCAAATGTTTTGTGATCCTTGGCTGTCTATTCATATTGAAGAGTGGAACTCTCTTGTTTCCTGGGGGCAAAGGGAGAGGATAAAATAGTTATCTAGGTAGCTGCATGCTGAAAAGTATATATGGGAGCCTGCTGCTCCCTATACAGAGTTTTAATTCCTGTTTTCCTGTGTCTTATCCCAATTTCTGTGGTACTTGGTATTTCTAAACCCTTAAGCCTTCCCAGGATTCAATGGGGACTAATTGTTTCACTTTTCATTGGCATGTCTTTCTGCAAGCACTTAGGTTCTAACTTGCTTTTCCTTTACTCTCTGAAATAAATATTCGTTCTTCCCATCATTTCCTGTCTTCGAAACATTTATGGATAATTCTTGTCCACTAATGTCTCCTTCCCTGTTTTCTTAGTCTGCGTGGACTTAACACCTCTTTCTCTCTGTCTTTCTCTTCTCTCTCTCTCTCTCTCTCTCACACACACACACACACACACACACACACTTTTTATTTGCATTGTTTTAATTCCATTAATGAGACTTCGGGAGGGAGAGAGATAATCATGTGTTATCAGTCTGCCATGTTTAACCAGAAGTCAAGCTGTGGTAGAATTTTTTAAATGTAGTTTTCTTTACCTCATGCTAAACTGAGCATGGCCTTAAAATCTACCCCTGTTCTTTGAAATAAAACTAGCCTTATACTTGGATAGATGACATGCTTTCACCACCAAATTTTAAAGACAAAACTTGAATGTTGATGGAAATTAAAATGTGTTTAGCACTTTCTGACACTATGCATGGTAAATAAATAAATGAATGAATCAGTGAAAAGAAAGGAAAGTCACCATAATGGATACTCTTGAGTTTCCCACTCCAGCTGCACTCTCTACCCTTCCTTACCCTGCTCTGGGCCCCTGGAGACTGACTTCTATGGGCTGCATCAACCAGGCTCCCTTGTCCTCTGGCTTCCAGTTAGGTTTGACAATGCAACGTATCAGTGGGGGAGGGAGAAAGGATCAGAGGGTTGAGAGGAAAGCCAGATCTCAGTATTTACTTCTCCAGCTTCTTCTCTGCCAGGTCACATTTGGCAGTGGCTGTGTTCCACTATTTCATGCCATAGCTTGTGTTGGGTTGTCCCTCTCTGACAGCCTCAGCTTTTACCAGGTTCTGGTAACCATTACTCTCCTTCTCACTTCAGGTCGAGAGATGGTAGTGGTTTCTTCCTGCTACTGATCCAGGACCAATGCACCTTACCTTATAGGTTCCCTTAACCCTGCCCCTACCTTCAGTTACACCTTTTGAATGTGCTGTGTTTCCTGCCAAGACCCTGCTTGATACAAATGTTATGGTAGCACTGTCTCATTATCATCCATGTATTCTTGAACAACATACTCCACATCATGGGCCTCAGTTTCCATATCTGAAAAGTACTAAGGTGGCGATAGGTGGTCTGGTCTGTCATGTAAGAACTCCTTCCTGTTCTGACATCTCTGGTTTTATATGATGCAGCAGTGGTCAGTAGCCAGCTCTAGCTCTAAGTTCTCTTTTATAGACTTTGTGGACCATTGTGGATAATTCTGAGTGGTGGATGATCACAAAACAATTTCTTCCTGTCTTTGGGAGGCAGTTTGCTGGAGCAAAAGGATTATAGACTTTGGAGTCAGACCAGGGTTCAAATTTGAGTGTACTACTTTCTTACTATATGACCTTTAATCCATTACTAAACCTCTCTAAGTCTCACATTCTTCATCTTAAGATTAGGGTATATGATGGACACTGCTAGTTATCTATCCTAGCCGTTTTCTTTTCCCTTGCTAAAAGAATACTATTTTCCATTACATATGTAGCTGAACATTTAGTTGGATGTTTTGATAAATGCAGTTTGCATAGACATAACTAGTATTTACTACCATCTGATTCTCTCCTTCTGAAAGCATGAAAGACTAATTTCCAAGCTTCCTATAGTTAGGTGGGATCATATGATTAGGTCTGGCCAATGAGCTGTGAGGGAAAATTACCTGTGACACTTTGGGGCTGAAGTAGAAAAAAGCAAGTGTGCAATCTCTGTGTGCTCTCTTACCCCTGCTGAGGCAATGGGGAACAATCTCCATGGTGGAACTTCCATCAATCAAGGGTCCCTAAGTGACTATATGGAACATAGACACTCATAAACTTGCAGGCAACATGTAGCATGAGTGAGAAGTAAACCATTGTTGTGTTAGGCCATTGGGGTTTTGTGGTTGATTTGTCAGCTAATCCACAGCTGAAAAGCATCCCTACAGTTATAGGACATTATCTTTCTTGTAGGGTTGTATGGAACAGACTTTCTAGATTTGATTCCTAGCTCTGTTATCTATTAACTTGTACGTCCTTGGTCAAGTTACTTAACCTTTCTGTGCCTTGGTTTCCTCATCTGTAGAATGAGATTAATAATACCTTTTCCTCATGAGGTCAGTGTGGGTACTAAGGAAATTAATATACAGGAAGCACTTAAAACAAGGCCTGGCAGGTAGCAAGTGCTATGCAGCATTTTCTGTCAGAGATCATGTATTTCAGAGTGTCAAATACAGTGTCTGGCTCTCACCAACAACTTAATGCTTTATTACCTTTATTGCTGTCATAAGGGTTAGAATGATCCATGTAAAGTCTTCACATATGGTGGCCACTTAACACAATGGCACTATTATTTGATGACTGATTTTTGTGCTTAATTCTGGATATATGCCCCTCATTTTTTAGTTCTCTTAATCATTGCCCTCTAAGATTTCCTTCACAACATGGGAGGTAGTTAAGTGTATGGATTTCCAAGAGTAGTTCTGAATACGAAGTTAAGAAGATGTTGAAATGGCAGCAAAGCCTTAATTTAACAGGGAAGGCATTCATCAAAAGTGTTGTTATCCATAAGTTTGAAACCAAGGCGACCCACAGAGAAGCTACACTTGTGAAAATGAGCCTTGGATAATGAGTATTTCATTATATTTGCCATTTAGAGCCCTTACACACTGTCTGTCCATGCTCTTCATTTTGCAGATGAGAAAACTTAAGCCTAGAGAAGGGAAATGAATAGTCTAGGATAACACAGTCAGTTAACAGCATAAGCAGAACTAGAGCCCAAGTACACTGATTCTTGATCTGTATCTACATTTTGCATCTGTAAAGCTATACAATATTTCCTTCTAGTACTTGAATAAGAAAGTCATTGGCTTTTCATCTCAAAACTCTCAAAAGCTTAGCAGAAACTCAGAGATGTGGTTTCGGAGGAACCAGAGGAATTCAGGTGAGCAGTGTAAGGTAGAAAAAGTCAGGTTTGGTCTTGTAACATTTGTGCCATTTGAAAACTGTTGTCAGACAACTGCAACCCTAGACTCAATGTGAAAATTAAAGTAACTTTGCTTTTATGTGCTGTCCTTTTCAGAGCTCATCATCCATTTTGTTGGTGCCATTTTGCTCATGTCTTTGAATACATCAAAAGTGGCTTGATTTTCTCTTTCCTTTGCTGTCTATTCACTGGCTGCAAGAATGTCCTGTCCATTCCAGATTTTGGATGGGCTGTCCAGAATCACCACAGACTTCGCTTCTTAGCCAGCTAGAGGAAGGCAGAAATGAAAGAGCCCTGCCAGCGTGTTTCCTTTCTGTAAGTTTCCTTGGACACGAACACAGGAGCAGAGTTTCTATGGAGCAGCTGGTCTCCCCATTTTGGATTTTGCTGAGGCAGGTAGTTGAACTCTTTGAGGAAGTCTGGGTTTTCTCTGTCTTGGGAAATTACTGATAACATCAGAGCCAGAAGGAGGTGAGTAAAATGGAAAAGAAAATTCATAAGAGTCGTGCCAAGATTGAGATTTCCAACCCCACCCAATTCTTCCCCAGCTCTCCTTTCAGCTGCTACTTGCTTCCCAGGAAGCAACAAACAATAGGCTACTGATTGAATTTAGGTCTGAACTTCATACAATTAAAGGTGAGGCAAGTAAAACATAGTTACATTTAGAATCAAAGTCTCCGTGTTTCCATCAGGAGGCACAGTCTGTATGTATACTTTAGAAAGTGGGTCTGGTTCTGAAGCCAAACTTGAAAGCCCATTCATTTTGGTAATTATTTTCTTTTTTAAAGCAAGAATAATCTTTATTCCTTGGAAACTAATTTATAAAATTGTTATCAATAAGATGAAAAGATTCATGGTAATTATTTTCTTGTTCATAGTTTCTTGCTGGCTTTTTTTTGGAACTAATCACTTCCAGGAAAGTGCAGAGGTCTTACAGTGAAGAGAAGGAAAAGCATATTAATTGTAGCTGGACTGGGTCTAGATCATGAGAGCTGGAATATCCTAAGATCTGGGACAAAGGGACAGCCATTGGGCAGCTGTACTTTATGGTAGGCAACATAGCACAAAGATTCAGTTGTTTCTTTTTTACCCCCTCCAGGACAATTTAAATGTCTACTCTGGTTAGTTTCTGAGAGTAGGTACCATGTTACTTAAAAAATTCTACTCATTGTAAATGAAGTTGTATCAACACATAACAACTGCCACTTGGAAATCATCTTTGTCTTTCCCTGATGTCCCTTTTTCGTATCCTTCTCTCTAGTACTCATTCCTTCAGTCAGTGAATTTATGCTGCAACTTGACTACATGCCAGGCACAACACCGGCACCATTGATATAATGTTGACTAAGACAGTGTTCCACTTGCTTATTGCTGTGTGATAAACCACCCTCAAAACTTAGTTGCTTAATGTAAAAACCATTTTACTATAGCTCACAATTCAGAAATTCAGGCAGGGCTCATCTTGGTGATTCTTTTGATCAACACGGATTACCCAGTGACACTCAGCTGGTAAATGCGCTGGTATGGTAACCTCCTCTCTGTATCCCCCTCTCCAGTTTCACACACATGTCTGTCTGGTGCTTTGGCAAGGATGGCAGGAAGGCTAGGCTCAGCTGGCCCTGTCAACCAGAGAACCTACACACGGCCTCAACAGCATGGTGACCTCAGGGTGGTTGGACTTCTTATGTGTCAGCTCAGGGCCCCAAGGGCTAGTGTTCCAGCGATCCAAGTGGAAAATGTACAACCTTTTATGACTCAGCCTCTGGAGTCCCAAAATGTCACTTCCACTGCATTCTCTTGGTCAAGCAAGTCACTGAGGACCAACCCAGATTCAAGGGGAAGGTAATCAGATTCTGCCTCTCAATGAAAGAAATAGCAGAGACTTGATGGACAACTTTAACGTGTCACAGACAGCCAGAGCTGCTTGATGAGATTATATGCCAATGGAACAAGCAGCAGACTGGTCAGCAAATAGTCCAGGGGCAGAGGCTACCTTGAAGAAGTGACTAGAAAGCCTATTGAGTAGTATAGTGAATACCGTTTGAGGACTAAGCTGCTGAGAGTCTGAGGTTGCTGCCTTGTGCTCTCTTGGAGGATTCCTGTGATGCCCCCCACCTCCTGCTCAGCATTACATATCATACTAGAACAACAACCAACTCTGCTGGCAAACACACATGCACAGGGCACAGTGCGTAGTCCTGTCTCTACACACAGCTGCTGGTTTCATTCGGATTGGTTAAAATCTAATTGTTTGAATGAATTCAGGGGTTGCTAAGTGATTAGTACTTATTTAGGCTAGTTCAGTCAGAACTGGCAATTGGCATTGTTGTTCCATCTGCTGAGGCTGTTCCCCCTCTTCTTCCTCTTGCTAATGCTGCTCATTCTTTTGAATTCAGTATGAGGAGCCCCTTCTTCCTGGAAAAAAACTTTTTGACCACCCTCATCCCAATTTAATTTAGATGCGTTCCTCTTGACTCCCAAGCACCACCCAAAAATGTACTGTTAATCCAGCAGACATATCTGCAACGGGAATGTCAACTATTGACCAGGTTCTTGCTGAGAGAGCTACAGATACTGGGGTGATTCAGACTGATACAGTCGCTCCCTACACCAGTAAATCTCCCAGTCTGGTGGTGAAGGCAGATATCAAACGAATCGTTAAAAATGTATTGAATGTTCCTAATAATGCCTGACTCAGAGTCACATGGGTAGTGATAGGGACTGTGCCATCTTTTCTGTTGTTGTCATGGTGCCTGGCATATAATACCATATCAGTAAATGTTTTTTATGTGCATGAATGAATTTTGGTGGTATATTTATTGAACATGTGGATAAAGTTATGTCAGTAGAATGTCATTTATCTTTTTATTAGAGCCCTTCTAAGATTTTACCAGGCTGGGCCATGATGCCTTCCATTAAGAAACAGTGGATTGGGGTGGAGGGAGGGAGAGCATTAGGAAAAATAGCTGATGGATGCGGGGCTTAATACCTAGGTGATGTGTTGATAAATGCAGCAAACCACCATAGCACACTTTTACGTGTGTAACAAACCTGTACATCCTGCACATGTACCCTGGAACTTAAAAATTAAAATAAAAAATAAACATTGGAGACAGGGCCTACATCTGGATCCAGTCGATCCTTTTTGCTGCCAGCCAGGTTATGCCAGCCTCCTCTCATCCCTTGGTCAGTCTGATATCTGGGGGGCTGCAAAGTGGTACCTCACATATCAAGTTTTGACCTTCTTCTCTGTTAACCTTTGACTTTAGCTATCATGACCCTATCGATAGATGAACCTGTTTCCTGCTGCCCATCATATCCTATCCTTTGGAATAATTTGTGGCAGTACTTGACTAGGGCTTTTCTGACCTAGACCTGTCCTGAGCAGACACATGTTGTCCTCTGCCATGTTCTGGGGAACCTAACTGGCAGCTACCTTGATCCTTCCTGGTTCACTTGCCTTCCAATATTGGCTTTTCCCTAATATGATTTCCAGATCCCAAGGTTGTTGGTTAGTTTTTTGTTTTGTTTTGTTTTTGTTTTTGTTTTTTTTTTAGGCAAGGTCTCTGTTACCCAGGCTGGAGTACAGTGGTGCCATCACAGCTCACTGCAGCCTCATCTCCTGGGTTCAAGCAATCCTCCCACCTCAGCCACCCAAGTAATTGGGACTAGAGGCATGTACTACCATGCCTGGATAACTTTCTTATTTTTTGTTAACACAGAATCTCTATGTTGCTCAGGCTGTTCTCGAACTCCTGGGCTCAAGCGATCCTCCTGCCTTGGCCACTCAAAGTGCTGGGATTACAGATATGAGCCACCGTGCCCAGTAATCCCAAGTTTTTAGAACAACAACAAAAAAGTATAGTCCTTGGAACTAGACATAATTGATTTTGAAAGGATTTCTGTATTTGCTAGCTTTATCATTCTGAGCCTAATTTTCTCATCTGCAAAAATGGGGATAAAAATCGTGACATCACAGGGTTATTTTAAGTGTAGTACCTACCATGTAATTGCTGAGAAAGTGGTAGTTCCCTCCCATATCCCATCTCAATGTATTGACTTTTGTATTCAAAGAAGACATTATTGATTACTTTCTCTCCAGTACCTTATTTACTTTAGGGTACTTTTCCTAGATGGGGATAGTGGCTTGCTTCCAGGGCTGGCCTTGACCACACCGTTATCAGAGCTTCTGGACTCCAATGACATGACTACCTGACTCCCTCACTTGGAGAATCTGGGTCCCATGGCTTCTGGCACAATGACTTCACTATGGCTGCAGTTCTACCTTTTCCCTCCAACCGTGGCTCAGTGCCAGGATAGAAGGAAAATGCGAAAGAGTTTGACAATATTTCAGAGAGGAGACTTTTAGCAGAAGTTATAGCTTTGCTGTCCTGGGCAGTGTTATGAAGGAGCTTTCCCACACATTCCTCTGGATCCTACCTTCATCTGCCACCTTTACTCCTGGTTCTTTCTTCTAAGAGGATACAGTAGTATATTTGGGTGGCTTGTGACATGACAGTATCTCTTATTTTGACCTCCCATAGCATTTAAGCATTTATTGTCTGTAAATGTTTAATTATGTTTTTCTCTCTGTGAATTTCATGTATGATTAAAGTATGCTAGTCATAAATCATTCAAGATAACACTAAGCTCTTCAATGGCAAGGGTTATGAATGAATAGCCCAGGGCCTGAACACAACCTGAGAACTGCTATTTTTTTTTTTTTTTTTTTTTTGAGACAGAGTCTCGCTCTGTCGCCCAGGCTGGAGTGCAGTGGTGCAATCTCAGCTCACTGCAGGCTCCACCTCCCGGGTTCACGCTGTTCTCCTGCCTCAGCCTCCCGAGTAGCTGGGACTACAGGCGCCCACCACCACGCCCGGCTAATTGTTTGTATTTTTTTTAGTAGAGACGGGGTTTCACCGTGTTGGCAAGGATAGTCTCGATCTCCTGACCTCGTGATCCACCCGCCTTGGCCTCCCAAAGTGCTGGGATTACAGGCATGAGCTACCGCGCCCGGACCGAGAACTGCTATTTTAGGGCATAGGATGAAAAGAGAAGTCAATGAAGAAAACTGAGGAGAAGTGAGAGAAGCAGGAGGAAAAACAGCAAAATGGAATGTTAAAGAACCCTGATGAGGAAAGTTTAGGAGAGACAGACAACAGGATGTAAGCTTCAGGATATTTTGGAGGGTTTTGGGCACATTTCATTTACAGGGTCATAAGGGTAGTGAAGTTGGAATCCAGCACTGTTCTCATCAGTGTCAAGGAGGGCAGGACCAGCTTTCTCTTTATGTAAACCCTCAAACTTTAATGGGCACTAGAATCCACAATCCTGGGCCTTACCTACAGAGATCCGGTTTCAATATGTAGGACCAGGAACTCTGTATTTTAACAAACATCACAGGTGATCATGATGCTGGTGGTTCCAAAAAAAACATGGGTCTCCGGTTAACAAAGTAGTCCAAGGTTGTATTGGTAGTTTGACAGCCCTATCATGTCTTGTGATGAGGTAAAGTCCCTAAGTCACAAAGTCAGAATGATAGAAGGGCCCTTAGAGGGATGATCTACCAACGCAACTCAGTGGGGGCACTGTATTAGTTCGTTCTCACACTGCTATAAAGACATACCTGAGATTGCGTGATTTATAAAGAAATGTTTAATTGGCTCACGGTTCTGCGGGCTGTACAGGCTTCTGCTTCTAGGGAGGCCTCATGAAACTTACCATCATGGCAGAAAGCGAAGGGGAAGCAAGCACATCTTCACATGGCCAGCAGGAGTTGGGTGAGGTGCTACACATGTTTAAACAAACAGTGCTAGGAGGATGGTGCTAACCCATTACAAACTACCCCCATGATCCAATCACCTCCCACCAGGCCCTTCCTGTAACACTGGGGATTACACTTCAACATGAGATTTGGGTGGGGGCACAGAGCCAAACCATATCAGGCACTATTGGAATTTTAGGTGGGACCATGCTTCCTTGCAGGGGACTGTTTGTCCTGTGCAATGCAAGATGTGTAGTACACTTTGTTCCCACCAACTAGATTCCAGTAGCACCCCTCAGTCATTCTGATGACCAAAAAACCCCAACCCCATATATTTCCTCATTCCTCCTAAGGGGGCAGTACCATCCCCACTGAGAACCACTGCCAGTATAATCCCTTCATTTTATGTGGGAGGGAAATGGGTCTCAGAGCAGGGGAGGAATTCTTCAAAGTCCCTCAGTGAGCATTTTTGAAGTAATATACTCTCAAGTCTGTTATTCTTCATCCTGTATTTCTGTAACTAAGTTTGGGAACCTAAATGCAGGCTTGCCTCCCCAGTTGGATGGTCAGCTTTACTAGAAAAGATAGAGACAGTCATCTTACTAGGTCCCTGTTGTCTCTGACAGCATCAAGTATCATGCTGGCTACACACAGGCACCTCCCAGATACTCACTGAACTGAATTGAACCACAAAACTCTGTGGAGCTCCTTGAAGATGAACAAGATTCAGAACCCTCCTAGGCAGTAAGTCTTCTTTCAGGAGGGACCGAATTGTTTGTTTAGATTGCACTTTGAAGAGAAACATTAACTCATTAGCATATTCTTGGTACATCAAGAACATTCATCTGGACCCTGAGCCCCGCTAGAGTGTACATGCCAGGAGGGCAGGGAATGTTGCCTTTCTTCATTGTTTATCTTCAGCTCCTAGACTGGTGCCTGGTACATAGGGAGACACTCAGTAAATATTTATGTATGAAGAAATGGCTCCACCTTACAATAAAAGATTGTTTACTTTCTTCAGACAAGTATAAAATAAGCAAATGTTTTCAAGGATTATTATGTCCTTGGTGAAAAGTAAAAAGTAAATATGAGTTAAAAGAATATGAGTACCTTGTATTTGCAAAGAAGATTTCTAAAATTCAAAGGCTTTTCTCATCTACTAAGGAAAAGGTAGAGAAATGTGCCCTTTTTGAACCTACAGTGACCGATGCTGATGGCTAGACTAATGTCCTCAGAGAGAGGCTGCTGGTGCTGGTGCTCAGCACACCATCCCTTCCTCTGACCTGTTCAGCACTGTCAAGAGTGACATGGAGAGACCACCGATGGCCTGTGAGGAGATTCACAGATGGGGGAGCTGGGCAGCCAAGTGAAGGCATCGGCTCACACAGTCATTGGCTGTCAGAAAGTAACAGTAAACCAAACCCAAGAGGATGAAATGTAACAGGGAAATGTGGGTTTCAAACCCCAATGAACCACGCAAGAGTGATCTGCTTTAATAGCACCAGGTAGGAGGAAGCCTTCAGGGTTTCAATTGATAGAAAGACCAGCAGTACCTAACAGGTTGATGTTGCTGCTCCAAAAGACTGAGTGACCTCAAACCACCTTACTGAAGGCTAGTGCCTAGAGTACAAGAAGCAGTGGTCCATACCTGCACACACCTGTTCTGTTTACTTCTTACTTGTGTTCCTGTCATACAAGGCACCTAGACAAATGAGAGTCCATTCAGAAAGTTACCAGGATGTGGATGACTTTGTAACCTGGTTGTATAGAGAACAGTGGAAATAACTGGAGATAATTTACTTTAATATTATGAGAGGAGTCTGGGGACCATTATAGCAACTTGCAAAGATTTGAAGGGTTGACATGTAGGGCAAAGAACAGTCTGGTTCTGTAATCTCCTGAGAACAGAATCAACACTAACGGATTGAAATGCCTGCAAGTCAGATTATTGGCTCAACACAAGGGAAAACCTTCTAATGACTATGCTATCCACGACTTCGGTGGGCTAGTTCATTTGGTAGTGAGTTCCTTGTCACTGGAAGAGTTCAAGTAGTGAACTGACCACTTACCTGGCAGGGAAGCCATAGAGGGGGTTTAAACGTCTGATGAGATTGAACTTTATGACTTTTAACATTTCGTTCAAGCCTGAACACAAGCCTGTTCAAGTTTGGGTTTTGCATTTTCAAGGTGATAAGTGAATCTGATTCAATATATGTGAATATTATCTATATTGAAATATTCAATATAGATTCAATATTATATAGATATCTGTAATATATTATATATAATAATATATTATATATAATATAATATATTTAATATTATATATAATATATGTTATATATAATATAATATATTTGATATATATAATAATATATTATATATCATATATAATATATAATATATGATATATAATATATCATATATTATATATAATAATATATAATATATCATATATATAATAATATATTATTATATCATATATTATATATAATAATATATTATATATAATATAATATATTTAATATATTATATATAATATATTTAATATATTATATATAATATATTTAATATATATAATAATATGTTATATATAATATATTTAATATATATAATAATATGTTATATATAATATATTTAATATATTATATATAATATATGATATATAATATATAATTATATATTATATATCATATATGATATAATATATTATATATAATTATATATTTTATATCATATATGATATAATATAATATATCATATATGATATATAATATATATCATATATAATAATATATAATATATATCATATATAATAATATATAATATAATATATGATATAATAATATAATATATATAATATATATACTATTATAATATATATAATATATATAATATATATACTATTATAATATATATAATATATATAATATATATATTATATATATTATATATATCTGTCACCAAAGTAAGGTAGAGTTATGATTTGGGACATAAGTGACCATCACTCTTTAAATGCCTATCATTGTGTAGATTTTAGAAAATTTCATCAAATCTCTTATAAGAACACATGCTTAATGTGCACTAAGAAACCTGATTATCAAAGCAGTCCCTCTACCAAGAAAACCCCCTGCACTCCCTAGCTCACCTTCTACCCACCCAGGTATTTTCATTTTTATCTGTGGGTGTCTAGATCAGGTTTGCTCAGGACTAATTCACAGCAAGGTGAGAAGCAAACTAATACAGGTACCTGTGATTTGGACAGCACTGCTCTCAGGGTCAGGGTCAAGATCAAGGGCCTTACTTTGTTCTCTGGCCTGTCTTGTTTGCTTAGGTCAGGGCAGTCTTGCTTATTTTCTGGCTGTTGAGCATCTTGTGCTGTTCCTTCGACATTTTCACTCTTCACAGTTACTAACTTGTCTTCTTTTGATAGGTTCTTTTTTTTGTTAAGGTAAGACCTACATGATAAAAATGCAAATAAAACAGAAGTATATTCAGTGGAATGTAAGGCCCGCCTGTCCTAACTAATCCTGTGTTCCTTAGTTCCCTCCTCCAGAGGCAGCTGCTATGATTACCTTCTTTCAGATCCTTCCATAGTGAGTCTGTGCAAACATAAGCACTATATAGATATCTGTGTGGTCTTAAAGCCTCCCATCTGGCTCTGCCCACCAGTTTGTGTGATCTTTTGCTCATCTTCAGCTCCTACAATAGCTCATTTATTTGGAGCCAACCCTCTCTGCTAACCTGTCTTGGCTTCACTATTTTCTACTGCTCACCTGCTCTCATACTGCCACTCTGACTTGGTAAGACCTTAATCTGGGACAGGGAGAAGTAGAAATCATCATTTAGGAAGAGTAAAGCATTTCTAGTTTCTATTTCCATTCCATATTTTCTAGCCCTGTGAAATTAAATTATGCCTGTTCATCTGCTACTGACTCACTATATTCCACAAGCAAGCAATTTGCATTTTTCTTCACAGCAGCATCTTTTTCCTCAGGATGCTGTGGCAACTAATGTTTTAAGATTCTAAGAAAAAGTCATAATAATAAAACCTTTCCATCCTAGGCATCTAAAAATTGAATTGTGACCAAAGCATAAAGAAATATTATTAAAGAAGCTCAACAGTTTACAAACCCAGCAATGCCATGTTGAAGATTAAACCTCGTAGGTTGGGAATTCATTTAGGGCACATTTGCATTCTGTGTTTTTAGATGTGGCTACATGCACAAGTCACCTAACACATCACCACAGAATACAATGTGTCAAAGTATTTAGAATATGAGAGCATCACACAGATAAGGGAGCAGTTTTTATCTGGGAAGGTGAGAAAAGGGAGTGAGGGAGTAAATTGGCCCATAGAATTTTAGAGTTTGAAGGGGCCTCAAAGATGAGCCAGTAGTGTAGGCTAAGTACCTTTGGCTGCATCACTACCAAGTGGTTGTCTAGCCTATGGTTTGAGTACCTCCACTGACAGAGTGCTCGTTATATCTCAAGGCAGCTTATTTCATCAGGCTGCCCTATTAGAAAGCTTTTCTTTAGGCCATACCAAAATCTATTTTCTACTGCTTGTTCCTAGATTAAACTTCTTCGGGCTACACAGCCACACCAAATTCTTTGCAAGTATGAAAGCTCTTTATACATGTAAAAGCAGTTTTCAAGTACTCCTGTCTAGAGTAAGCATTTAAAATTCCTTCAGTGGACATCAAATGACATTGTTTCCCACCCATCCATCATCTGTGTGGGCACAAAACCTTCACCTATGGAGTAAAATGTGTCAGTTGCTTCTCTTGTGTCTTGTTTTTGGCCTAAGTAAGTTCAATGAGATAACCACGAATTAAAAGAATCTTGGAAAGGAATCAAATATGGAAGTATTTGAGAATGAGATAATAAAGGCAAGTCTGGTCATACAATTTCAGAAGCTTATGCCTTTAATCAGTTAGGCTAATAGTGAGGCCATGAGCATAGACATCAGAAAACTAGGGATAACCCTCACCATGATCTGCAGAATGAAGATGTTAGGAAACCATAGACTCTGTGATAGGAAAGTCCTTTAGCAATCAGCTAATGAAACTCCATCATTTTATAGATAGGGAGACTGAGATTTGAAGAGGCCAAGAGACATGCACAATGTCTTACAGCTACATTGGCAGAGCAAACACTAATTAATCCATGTCTTTTGATTTCCAATTCAGTGCTTTTCTGTATGTGTTTTCTTAACTTGAGACACAAGCAACAGCCAGATAGTAAAGGATATCCTTTTATCACCTTCTCTCCAGTCACTGTTAACCAATTGTATTTCACTCCAAAATATATTTCAAAAGTTACAGAGTTACGTAAGAATGCTCTTAAGATTCTTGGACCGATCTCCAAAGCATCCCTGCCTTATTCACCAAAAACTTAGCAGTTTGTGTCTTTTTGAGTTTTGAATTAATGTGAGCATCAGTGAGGATAAGTCCCCATTACTGTGAGGAATTTGTACAATGAGCGTCTAATAACATGGATACCACAAGGGAGTATTGATAAGACATTTGGGAATAAGAAAGGAAATATTGGCCAATAATGCATATTATTGCGTGATAAAACCCTGATGTCATATAATCATGTTATGGCAACATCATTCTAAACAGAAACTCAAAATCGCTGAATTCCTCCGGACGTGTGTGCAATGTACATGGGTCTTCACGTGTACATTGGAAATGCACATTAAAGTGGAAATGGGGAGCTGTTGCTGGGATTCCAGGATATTGGAGACAGACAAGGTATTCACCCTGCAGGCACTTCGTGGATATTTTTAATTTGAAAAACAAGGACAATCCCAATGTCTAGATTTCCCATTTGTGTAGCCCCCCAAAAGATTTCAGTAGCAGACCTCCTATGAGTCTAGGTCCTTCTCAAGCCGAGGGTTCTCAGGTAGAAATTATACTGATTGAGATGAGCCGTTGGCCTTATTTGAGAATGACCCAAGTCTGGTTTTGTCAGACTTGGGTCATTCTATTTAAATTCAGGTATAGACCCTATTTTCTAGACCCCATTTTCTAGAGAATCTGTGCCAACAAAACTTTGAAAATTTGAAGACAAAATTAACATTTGAGAGAAAGGATTATAGAAAACCTGCTAAATGCCTTCTTAAAAATGGGCCCAGTCCTACTTTCCAATCCTATAAGATAGCATGCCATCACTTATCTATGCCATAATTTATACTGTATTGATTTTATTGTCACAACTTTGGGAATACTCTGTCATGTGTATTTATGATGGCCCATAAATCTTTGGAATAACATTTAGAGACCAAGTCACTATTTGGAGTCAAGGAAATAGAGGGCTGTGTAGACAGATTAGAGCCCATTAATGGACCCAGTGTGTAGACCTAAGAAACCTGCCTAAGATAACTTCTCTTGAAAATTGAGTAAAAGAAGCCCTTAAATAATAGTAGCTCAAAATGGAAAGCTGTGAGCTGTGTAGCCCAAAGTGATGACTCTATTTGAAAGCCCTTATTTTTTCCTGTCCAGGAATCCTCAAATGGTATGTTTGTAAAAGGAATTGACAAAAGCATGCAGCTATACGAGGCAGCAAGATTCTCTGGATGAGCAGATCACAGCTTTCACATATTAGCATGTCCTGAACATGTAACTCCCAGTTATAGATCTGGAATTACTTGCATCATCAATTCAATACTTTGGGACTTAGGGCTCCAGTTGTATTGGTGCCAGATGGAGAATTAATATGTTGTCTAACTCAGACTAGTTAAGGGGTTTTGCTCCTTGGAGGGAGTGGGAGAGAATGTGACTGTTTTGCTCTCATTTTCCTCATCCTGCATTAGAAACAAAGCAAAAAGTTGGCTGGAATCAGTATTAGCATTGCCCACAGCTGCTGAACTCTGATTTAACCAGATGCCATAGCTATAGCAACGGGGAAATATTGGAATTTTGAAATTAACATGCTACTGAAAGTTGCTAAATATATCACGCTTTGTGGAGGGGTTCATATTGTAGGTATTTCCATTATTTCTCAAATGACAAAGTAAGTCAGGCTTTAGACAGAAAGTTAATTTATTATATATGGTGGTTGCTGAAGTCTCCCCTACTTGATCTATATCTATAAATGTGTTTTTTGAAGCCAAATGAGATAAATCAGTTTGATTGTCCAAGGCATAGATGGAAATTGGGGCTGTCATAAAGCCATCTTCAGATGCGTGTGGGTGTCAGAATATTCATCTTTGGGGTTTAGTGGAAAGAACCTCAGGCTAGGAGTCAGGAAACCTAAGTCTCAGCCTCTATGATTAAATTATTAGGTGATCTTGGGCAGATCTCAGGTTCCCCATTTTTTAAATGCCAGGTGTTGAACTCTTCTGCCTTCCAATTCTAGGATTCTGGAATAGTTAGGGTTCTATTTCCCCCGGCTGTGGCTCTAGGGGGTACTTACTGACATCCTGTGAAATAAGAAAGAGAGACCCACATCCCAGGATCCCTGGATCAGAGTGGTGGGTGACATGTAAAGAGAACTGTGATTTCCCCCTACAGGCTTTTCCCTGGATAAGAAAGTGTTTTCTCCACTCAACAAACCCTATAATGGGCCTGTTGGCTTCATGCTCCTTCAGTCCTCCTTTCCCCACAACTGGGCCTATGTGACTCTCAGAATGAGGCCCTGCACCTTACTCCACTCTACCTAGCAAGGCTCTGAGGCCCTACCTTGTAGTCAAGAGAGATCTGAAGGATCCACAGTCTTAAAAGCAGGTCATGGATGCAGTATGGCTGCAAGTTGATCTTGGACTTTTCCCCTCAGTCCTAATAAATAGATTGTTGCCACCTTCCTGGGACTGGCACACCTTGCCTTCTCTTCCATATCCAGGAGCTCATTATCTGTCTACTACCTACTTTCTTTAATTATTAGAGAGCCTGGTCCCTACCTTGGCTTTGTACTTGGTGTCTTTTTCCACTGAGGACTGAAATTCTGTTGTCCTTTTCAGTCTTCCTGGGGTCTGTGCTTGTCCACTGCCAGAATTCTCTGGGATCACTCATCTGCCTATCCATGGAGATATTTGTCTAAGGCTTCTGTCCAAGACTCCACAATGTCTCATAGCCTACTAGCCAGCATAGCCTTTTGTTGCTTACTGTTGATCCTCAGTGAGGCTGCTGGCCTGCCTTGCCTGGACCTCTGCCTGCTGCTTATTACCAGACCCTCTTAAGGTGTGCTTCATCTGCTCTGTGGGGACATTGCCCTCTAACTCATGTCTGGGCCTACACAACACAGATTATTAGTCTCTACTTCTCATCTCTTATTGGAGACCCTAACCTCAAAGCCATAATGGGCCTGCCTAGTCTCTATGTTTTAGATTTCCCCAGGCTGGTCTATTCTAGTCCCAGCCAAGTTTCAGTTATAACTTGTGAAGACTATATGGGCAGTCCTTGGGCCAGGTTGCCCTGCCTGGGCCAGGTTTGTGGGCCCATCCCTTGAGATGAAAGCTACTGTGTCTAGTTTCTCAGTCACTATGCACCAGTTAATGAACAACCTTGTAAAACTTTGCTTTTGATGACCTTGTAGGCTAATTTCAAGTTAATATTCTGAGATGGATGATGAAGGAGAATTTTTGTGTCTTTGTAGCCTACAGTAGGTAGAGGGATGCTGTTGGGAATTTTTGAGCCACCCTGAGAAAATTAGGTGAAGGTGAGAAATGCCTGTGTGATCATTTTGGAAGCTAAGTTGCATATGAATCTAAGGTGGCATTGTTAGTAGTAGTAGTACTTAGTCTAGTAGTATTCAGCTCCTTGCCAAGGTGCTTCTGGCTTAATGAAATGACCCAGAGCTTCAGCTCCATAGCAGGGTCACGTGTATTGGCTAGCTACATGTCCTTGTGTTGAGGACTTACACTTTTTGAACCTCAATTTTCTTACATGTCAAGTGAGGTTTTGTGGATGATATCTTTATAAGCTTTCAGACAATGTCAAGGAATACCGGTTAGTGGGTAGTGTATGTGAAAGTGTTTTAAGAACTGTAATGCATCATACAGGTTATCTAGTCTTCCTTCCCAGATGGATGGAGTTTACAGACATGGGACTTCTTTCCCAGCATTGGTGGACAGAGAAGATTTGGATCAACATCCTGAGGTCAGAGTGAAGGCAAACAGCTTGACATGGAGCTAGATGAGACCAGCGAGACAGTACACAAAGCCAAGTACTTCGGGGCCAGCAGAGCTAATGCATGAGGAAGTTTGAAGGAGAGGAATTTCCTGAGTGGAGAGGAATTTCCTGACCTAGAGTACAGGGGCTACTGGCTTCTTTTTGTTTGGTGCCTGCTGTTGCTTGTCTGGTAGCTTAGACTCAAGTTATTCTGGAAGCAGTTAAAGGGTAGAAGAAGAGCAGACCTAATGTGTGGGACTATTCTTATAAGGTATGACAGGATTTAGGGACCAGGCAAAGGGTGCAAAGCCAGTATCAGCTAGTCCAAGGTAAACCCAGTTCAAAGGAGAAGAGTAAATGACCTAAGTGAGCAGCAAAGGCAGACCATATTTGGACACTAATAATGGTGAATTTTATGTGTCAACTTGACTAGCTTATGGTGCCCAGTTGTTTGGTCAAATACTAGTCTAGATATTGCTGTTTAGGGATTTTTTTAGATGAGATTAACATTTAAATCAGCAAACTTTGAGTAAAGCATTACCCTCCATAATGTGGGTGGGCCTCATCCAATTCATTGAAAGCTTTGAGATTAAAAAAAAAAAATGTGGTTTCCCAAAGAAGAAAACATTTGGCCTCAAAACCGTAACATGGAAACCCTGCCTGAGTTTCTAGGCTGCTTGACCAGCCATGCAAATTTTGGATTCCAGACTGTAACATCACTTCTTACCCGGGTTTCTAGCCTGTCTGCATGTGCAGACTTACCATCTCCCACAATCATCTGAACTAGTTCCTTAAAATCTCTAACACCTGAAAGGAACAGGACTCCACAAAGACCAACCTCTCTGACAGTCCTGCTGAAATAGTAAAACGATCAAGCATAGAGTTTTTGTGCTAAACATTCCAGGGGTGCTTATTTATTGAGGAACAGTGTTTCTAATCTTCAAGAAATTTTATTCCCTGAGAAATTTCCCCATTTATTTTAATTTGCTTGTGCAGTCTTTTAAGTGGGTTATATTACTTTGTACATGGATCGCTTTGCTGTGCTTTTATATGAAAATCATTATTAGTAGTCAACATAAGATACAAAGTGTACTGCTTCTATAAAGCTTATCTTACAGCATATATATAGCCTGCTGAAAATATATTGCTCATTTGTTATTAAAAATCCTACCCAAGTAAAAAAAAAAAAAAATCTCTCTCTCTCCCTCTCTCTCTCTCTCCATACGCAGACACACACACACACCCCCATGCACGCACGCGTGCATGCACTATGGTTGGAATGTTGTTTGTCCCCTTCAAAATTCATGTTGAAATTTGATTGCCATTGTGACAATATTTAGGAAGTGGGGCCTTTGAGAGGTGATTGGATCGACAGGGCTCTGCCCTCATGAGTGGATTAATGCTGTTGAGTAGGAGTGAGTATGTTATAAAAGGGCAAGTTTGGCCCCCTTTTGCTCTCTCCCTCTCAGCTCTTTTGCTCTTCTGCCATGTGAGGAATAGTGTTTCTCCCTCTGGAGGATGTAGCATTCAAGAAGCCGTCTTGGAAGTGGAGACAGCTTTGACTCGATGCCAAATCAGCTGGTACCATGATCATGGACTTCCAGCTTCCAGAACTGTGGAAAACATATTTCTGTTGTTTATAAATTACCCAGTCTGTGGTATTCTGTCAGAACAGCACAAAATGAACTAAGACAATGTGTTTGTGTGTGTTTATGTGTGTGCATGCACATGTATGAGCGTGTGCATGTGTGTGAGTGTGTGTGTGTATCTCCTATTTGTTCTCTCTGGATAACCATGACTGAAACAGATATCATGAAGATAGCAATGCGGCTTTGAGCAGAGACAGTTGCAGGATTATGGAGAGCCTTGAGTGAGCTGTCATTATGAGTTCTTTTACCCCAATAGTCATAAAATATTGAGTAATATTTGAGTAATAATAATTAATTATTACTATGTCTACTAAGTGAGCATATATTGTGCCATAGAGGTTGGTTGGCATGATTTCTATTGACTCAGATTTCTGAGATGCTAATCCAGAGCCTGAGTGGAAGTCTCTCATCTTCCTGTCAGAGAAGCTTTACTCTCCTGAAGAGAGCACCAAAAGCTGGGTATCCTCCATCAGGGAATGGGGATCAGACTAGAAAAGGCCTCCAGCTCTGTCAGGTTAATACTGGGATCAAGAAGGACTTTTTATATTAATGGAGTCAATGCCATTGAAAGTTAGCATTCATTTAGTCCACTTCTTCATTGTATACATAGGGAGAGTGAACCTGAGAGAAGAGAAGCCACCTTTATAGGCCACACAGCAAGTTGGTGGCACAGCCAGGCCTCACACTCACATCTCCTGACAATAAGTAAGGTAGAGAAGAAAGGAGAAGGAAAGAGATAAAGGTTGTTTGCTAGAAGAGAAGTCTGGATTCCGGTTGTGCTTTTTCTATGAGCCATTTGGTGAGTAATTGTCCCAAAGTTTGGAAGTGTCCCAGTTTTCACAACTGGATAGAATGGAGGGAAAATAGAAAAGTTTGAAAAGTAAAGTGAAATAACATAGACAACATATTTATAAGGGCCCCTAACTGCTAAATTACAAAATTGAAAATGATCTATATAGTTTTCATTGATGAGTAAATCTGCTTTCTGGTGGACTTCTCTAGTGGCAACAAGGCTACTGCACTCAGTCTCACCACCTTGACCAAAGGCCAAGTTTGCCCTTGTTAAAATAAAGGTACACTGTGCTTGCTGTGGGGCCAGGCTTCCTTATTTCTCTCCTATATTTGTTCAGGAATTTGGTTCTGTCCCATGAGGATACTAAATTGCATTGATCAATGAAAATGGCATCTGTGCTTGTTTGTTTTAACTTGACTTTGATAGCTTCATCCATTAAACTTTCAATGAAGTTGTAATTTCTTTAAAAAAAAAAACCCTAAATTTAAAAACATGCTGGCAGTTCATAATTACCTTGGTATATATCAAGATGAATCAGTGAAGGTGACTCTCTTTCCTTTGCATTTAGTATTGTTGCTTTGTGCCTGTATTTTCTATTTAGGATTTATTAGTGTAAATCCCCCTTATACATCATTGAAAGCATTAGGATTTATGTAGTGTTAAATCCATATCAGGATTTATATGGAATTAAATCCAATCTAAGAGACAGGTGGATAACCTAGTGGGGTTTTGTACCCATAATTTCTACCGCTCTTTGTGGAAAAGCATTTCATTACAAACTTTCAGATTTGGGAAGGCAGTGTTCTGCAAATGGCACCTATTAGTACCAATGTGGAGCGTTTTACTGCACTTTCCATGTAGTCCCTGGGCTCCTCACTGAGAAGCATCCTCATGGCAAAGCATCTTTCATGGCCACGAGGAGGACATTAACCTCTTCTCTGCTCCTTCCCTGTTTGGAGCACAGCACAGCTTTGATTAACTCTTTAAAGAGCCTTCTGTTTACACCCTCTCACAGATCTGCAGACAGTATTTGCAAAGCACATTGCAATTTTTGACAGCAGGCACCACTGGGGTGGGGAAGATACTTGTCAGCTTTTTCCTTTGGTGACTTTCCTTCCATTTTTTTTTATCTTTTGAGGGAATGAAAACTGCTCCAAGTTGGTGCTTGCTATTCTCCTTTTTTATTTCTTTTCTCTTCTTTGTATATGCTTTTCCCCATCCCATATACCAACTGATGGGGTGATTGAGTGACTTTCATCCATTCAGTCAAGTATTTACTGAGTCCTACTTCATGCAAAGTACTGTACAATGTACTGAGTTTTTAGAGTTATTTCT
The DNA here is from genome assembly GCF_000001405.40 of Homo sapiens. Taxonomy (NCBI): domain Eukaryota; kingdom Metazoa; phylum Chordata; class Mammalia; order Primates; family Hominidae; genus Homo; species Homo sapiens. The sequence continues at coordinate 150,011,238 of NC_000023.11, forward strand.
TTCTGGGGTTGTTGTCCCTTTTTAAATTATAAAAATAATACATACTTATGGTAAAAATGCACAGTACAAAAGCATATAAAATGAAAAGAAGATCCTCTTCCACATCAAGCTCCTAGTTTCACTCCTTTGTATAACATCAATAACAATTTCTTACATATCCCTATAAAAATTTTCTATATGTATATAAGTGTGTATGTAATGTATACATTCATACATATATGTACATATAGGTAACATACACACATTTACTTATATATGCTTTCTTAGAAAACTCAGACTGGAGCATGGTAAACACAAGTTTTGTACATCCACTTCCATGTTGTATCAGGCCATTTGCTTTGCTATAAAGAAATACCTGAGGCTGGGTAATTTACAAAGAAAAGAGGTTTAATTGGCTCATGGCTCTACAGGTTGTACAGGAAGTTTGCTGCTGGCATCTGCTTCTGGTGAAGCCCTCAGAAAGCTTACAATCATGTGGAAAACGAAGGTGGAGCAGGCACATCATATGGTGAGAGAGAGAACAAGAGAGAGACGGAGAAGGTCCCAGTCTCTTAAAAAAACAGATCTCATGTGCACTCAAAGTGACAACTCACTTATCACCAAGGTGATGATGCTAAGCAGCTAAAGGGGCTGACCAGTCACCTCTCACCAGGTCCCACCTCCAACATTAGGAATCACATTTCAACATGAGATTTGGAGAGGACACACATTGAAACCATGTCACATGTGTATCTTTCCATGCTTTCCATGTCAGCACATGCAGTCTTGCTGACTCCCTTAAAGGCTACATGGTTGAAATGTAACTTTAGGAAAACCCTGAGGTTTTGATAAGTTTTGTATATAGGGCACTGAATTTGATTTTGAATGTGTAAATTCAGTGTTCATTTGCTGTCTTCAGGTTTCTTTTACTTTTTCTCTATATTGAGGGCACTACCCAGTTATGCATTCTGACACTTGAAGACTTCTGGTGGCTTGCAAATGCTCCATGGAGATGAAAATTAACTTGATTGGTTTTCCTTCCTGAGCACCATGTGTCCACTCTGGCCTTGGGCGACTCTCAAAGTGGGTTTCAAACCAGGCTTCAGAGTTTGTCCCAATACTTTCTAATAGTTTATTTTATCCTTTTCATAAGTTTTCTCCTACCGCTTCAGTCCATATTTTCTGGTCTGGCCTTATCAACTATAAAGTTCTTGTTTATTTGGAACTTGAGGTCAGTGACTTCTGACCTCACTAGCTTTCATTCTAGCTCACTCTTATTTAGGCATTTACTATATGCATAATTTCCTTTAATCCTCATGACAAACCCATGAGGGAGGTGCAGTAATTATCTCCAAAGTGACAGATGAGGCACAGGAAGGCTAAGGACATTGTCTACGGTCACACAGCTGGTAGATGGAAGAACTAGAATTTGAACCCAGGTTTATCTGACCCTAAAAAATATGCTTTTAATCAATATATATACTGCCTCCCTTAAATCAGTATTTCTAGCTTTTCTATGAGCCTGCGATTCTCTAGTGGCAAGCCACAATAATAGCCACACTGTGAACATAACACTGCATGCCAGACTCCATACCAGAGGGTGGAGCTGAGTTTTCTCATGCTGGAACAGCATTTTCTTACAAGCTAAACCATGGGAGGGATCTTGGGTGGGAAGAAGCACTTCCTGCTTATAATACAAGCCAAAAAGAGATTCCCACAGTATGAAGCCCACAGTTTTTCCTGTGTAATGACATTATGAAGACCTCAGGCAGAATCTCCAGCTATTGTGCATTTTTGTTTAATACATTTATACTGTAAATTAGTTAGAGCTATGGACTTGCAACTCCTACTTTGACCCAAAACACCAAGACACAAGAGGGAATGGTCTTTTATTTTATTTTCCTGATCAGAACTCTCTAGTTTCCTTATCAGTGTTGCTCACCCTGGGTGTTGCCTCTGAATTCAGATTTGTGTGAATGGGGTTTTCTAAGAGAAACCTTGGTAACCAAGAGACAGTTTCTGTCTCTGCCTTCTTCTGGTGGACTCCAATCCTGGCTCTCCAGCTGCCTTGCCTTCACGTTTTAGGGATTCAGAATCAGGATGCGATCATGGCCCAATCACAGAATTGAACATTTCTAAGTTCCTCAGTATCCAAAAGGAAAGGCATTTCAGATGTTAGGTAACTGTCCTTTATTCACTGTCTGATAGAAATTTAATGGTTACAAAGGGGTTTGTTTTTAGGTTTTTAGTTTTATTATTTTTAGTTTATTTCCAGCACTGGAAAATTAGCCTGAAAATCTGGAAAGGGAAAGGCCAAACCGATCACAGTTGGCCCTGGAATCGTGGGGGCATTCCCAATAATAAATGTCTAGATGGTGTGTTTATTCCAGTTCCAATCCAATCCAATTCAATGAATATTTGTTGAATGCCTGCTGTGAAGAAGATAAAGAATGAATAAGACATGGCTCTCACTCTCCAGGAGTTCACACTGTAATGAGAAATTGACATGTGCACTGTTAATTCTCATACAAAGAAGGCAATAATAAAGGTCTATACAGAAGTTTAAACAAGGTGTTAAGGGGATATTGGAGGAGTAAAAAATTATGTCGAATTAGAGTATCTGGAAGGAATGCTGTTTGAAAGAAGGTGGTTTTGAGCTTTGTCTTAAAGGGGTGATGAGATTATTATAGGAAGACATTGAGGTGAAAGGTAGTTTAGTTTGAAGAACCACACACTCTGCAGGTGTGCAGTCCCAGGGAACGCATGGCAATTAGTCTGGTAAGGTGGAGAGCAGCATGGCATACAGCTGGAGCGGTAAGTCCGACCCAGTTTATGAAGAGCCTTGAATACTAGACTAAGAGTTTGGACTTGCTCTGTAGGTTAAGGGGACTCTTGAATACCTACCCCTCAAAATCACAAAGGAGTCTGTTTCCTGTCATCATAGCACTTGGTTCTTCTCGGTAGCCCCTTTTACAGACAAATTCCTTCTAGTTACATTTGTACTCATTTGGTGAAGATTCTCTATGGGAAATACTTGACTTTAAAAAACTTGACACATAGTTTGATGTAAACGACTCTGATATATCAATAATGTATTTTATTCATTTATCTCCCAATTGTGTATGTAACTACATATACTTTGTATAATCATTGACTATGATTACAGTCTGTGTTGATATAACCTAAGAGTGGTTATGCATGATCTGGGTGGTATTGCATCTGGAATTTATCCTACTCTGTAACATGTTCCATTGAGCTTACACCAAACCAGTCTAGCTATGCCATCAGATTTCTCTTTACCAGCTCTATTTATGGTCTTTCTCTGACATTACTATAAGAATGTCAGGTTAAATTATATCAGATGCTTCTCTCTCCAAGATATGTTAACTTTGCTCCATCCTCTTTCACCATTCAGCTTGTCATTCTATCATGAACAGGAATTAGCTTCGTTTGGCATGATTTGTATTTGAAGAATCTGTATTGACTACTGTTTATCACTTGGGTTTCCCCTAGATACTCATAAATGACTGCCTTAATAATTGTCCTCACAGCTTACCAGATATTGAAATTAAATTTATGAGTTTAATTCCCTGAGTTCCCTGGGGACTTTTTTTTTTTTTAAAGAAAAATGGAACACAGCAGTTTCATGACTCACAACAACTCTTCCATAATAACCAATGTGATAAAAACATTTTTTCAGGGAAACAAATTTCAGTTTTAGCCTTCCAAATGACTATTACGAAAATTAACAACTAATAAAAAATTGAAATACTAAAAGACATCATGTATCCTCTCAAACTATTTATTTATTGTACTCATACATATTCTTAAGTGCAATAAAATCTGCCTAGAAATCATTAATCCACTAGTATATAGTCCTTACTTGGTGCTGGCAACTGAAAATTTGGTCTTTTTATATACAAATTGTTACACGCATGAAAAGTAGTCCAATAATGGCACTTTTTATAGGTTATTTCATAAGTACTCTTGGTTGGACATATGCTAAAGTATTGTTACAGGTTGCTGAGGCAACCCGCCTGCTACAGTTGTGGTTAACTCTAAAATTTACTGATAATGCTGACCTGAGACTTGAGTCTTATCTTCACTGAATGCAGTACAGGTGTATTGTAGGTAGGCTGTAGGAGGACCATAGCTACCTCTAAATCTTTACAGAAGATTTTGAATGTGGCTTTTGTTGCATAGAAAATAAATAAAATAAAATAAATCTCTACAGAAGACTGGCAAGAGATTGGTGCATATTTAATAGCAAACAGTGGGATGCTTTGAAAGGGATGGATAACATAGAACATTGAACAGCAAGAGCTTTAGTGGGGTTTAGGTTTTAGTAGTTGTCCAGCCAAGACTCTGCCTGTTACTGAAGCTAGGGATATGTGGAGTGACCAATTTACATCAGTCATAGTAGAGAAGTAATTGCTTTTATCTGACAAAAGCAGTCTGGACCCAGTCAACAACATGCTGATGCTACAGTCCCTATTCTTGATGTTTTATTGGAAAGTGGTAAGACTTCTTTTTCTCTCTGAGCTGGTACCACCAATTTGCAGTGGTATGTTCTAGAAGCAAATCATATTTCAGAGCTCTTTGGTTGTGTAATTTTTTTCAATAGGCATGATGAGTATTCTGGAAGCTGTATCATGGTGCCTTTTGCTTGGCTGTGTGTCATTACTATAATGCATAGGTTTTTTACTTGTTTGTGTGATTGTTTTTATTCCAAAGACTGCCATCCAGGGCCATGCAGCAAACAAGCAACAGGGAAATATCCCACTATGCAATCCTATTTTGAGATGATATTTAGGATGAGAGAACATGCATTAGTTACCTACCAGCTTGACAGGAATGGATTTCCAAATCTGACACACCATAGCCTGAATTCTCACCAGTTTGCTCCTGGAAAGGCCCGCTCATGGTAAGCTCCTTAGAGTTTGTTAGTAGTGGGGAAGCCTTGAGTTTCAGGAGAACGTGTTTGGATGGCATTTTAAGAAGCCATTCCATTTTTGGTAGAGTAGAAAAAGTCTGCATCTGAGTCTGTAGTACAGTCTGTTCTCTGGATGAACACAATGTCTCTCTCACATTTTTCTGATATTTATTCTGCAAATCAGCAGCATGAGCCCCTGCCACTCTTCTAAATAAGCTTCCAGGCATTACCTGCATGCTGTGTTCCTGTGGTGGGATGGCAGTAATCTCTGCTAAGATAAACGGGAGCTTCTGTGGATAAAGCATAAACGCAGTGAAGTGTGTGTGGCTGGAAGATTTAATGCCTCTACAGGTAATTTTTTTAGAGGGGGATCTGGCATTTGATCAAATCCAGAGTCATTATGTAAATTTAATCACCTTGCAACACACTAGTAATTTTATTATCTCCTTTTCATTTGACAGTGCTTAGATACAAGTTGAGCTTGGAATTCCAGAGGTAGAGCACTGCTGATTGGAGACATATTAAGTAAAATGTACTGTGGAAATGAGATAAAACCTTTATTCTTGCTAATGATTGTCATTGTATGTATTCAGGTGTCCAACAAAGGATTTTAGAATAAAGTGTGCCTTTAAAGTTTCCCACCTTCTTAAAGCTCCCAATGAATTGCAAAGGGCCTGTTTGGAATGGACTGTATTAAATCTACTTCAAATGAAAACCTTTACACTGAGTGAAATATGGTTCAACAATTCTTAACACAAGGCCTTTACACTTGTGTAGCCCATTTTGGTTTGGCCTATCTTGTCACTAGAATGCTGTCTGAGCTTGGATTATTTATGCCCTAAGATTTACTTAAAATTGAAGGGAGTATTTCCATTCATCAACACTAGTTTTGATAGATGCTTAAAAGGTGCAGTGAGGTTGATGATCCTGAATACACAAATTATTGATCACCACATCAAGTTGGATTTCCCTAAAGATGTATGGCTTTCTGACCTTGTGATTTACACTAATGATTATGTCTTAATAAAAGTAATAAAGCTAAATACTTTATACGTGATCTAAGGAGTGAGATTAGAAAGGAAGCAAGAGGAGAGACATACTGTGTTGAACTGACCTTGCTAAGGCAGAAGAAATGGCATTTTATGGTGTTTTTTTCTTTCCTTCACTTCTCTGTTTTACTTCTTCCGCTTTTTATCTCTTAATTTGAAAGAAACTCTTGGGAATATCTCTTCTCCTGCAGACAAAGACATCATGAGCTCCCCCATCCATACCCTAGAACATGTAGGCCCTTGGTCAACCATAGAGTCTTTCCTTTAATCAGGTGATATCTCTCCTTTTGTACCTTGCAGGCACGGAAGCCAATGACTTGGGCAAATGCCCCTAATTCAGGATCAACTCAGATGACCAGGTTTCCCCTACCTAGAGTGCTACTTATTGCAGTGAAAACTTTTCTTCTTTCCAAAAACCTTTAATTAAACGTTTAATAACTCCCTGACTCATAATATGGCTTCATAATGGGACATCAAAATGGTATAATCTAGGATTAAGATTTAAGTGCCTTACTATCTAGTTTCCCGTTGAGCTGAGTATCTGTTCTCTGTTTACCACTCATGCCTCAATTTTCTTATTCTAAAATGGAAGTAATGATCACTACCTACCTCCAAGGGTTGATACAGGATTCAGTGAGGCATTTGATGTGAAAGTATCCAACACTCAGTTTGGCATAGAATATATGTTCAGTGAAGGCAAGTGGAATTTGAGTGATCTTGTGAGTGCTAAGAGGTTATAATCCAGGGTTAGTATGCAACCCTAATAGTGGGGCTACCATGCACAGTCACAGTGAGGGTCTGAGTCAAATGAGGATAACTGGGCTCTGGCTTTGGTGTCTCCTTTTGTGGGTTGCAGCTGGTAAAATAAGTCCTCTTTTGTCACAACATCATACAAAAGTAGGTTCACACATGTACACTCACACACACGTGGTTTGGGTGAGAGAGTATATCAAATAATCCCACAGTAGAGAGATGATGAGATTGCTCTTAAGGGATGTCCTAATTTGGATAAAACTTGTGTGACTTTAGGAAATGGACTTACCCTCTCTCTCTCAGTTTCTTTCTGTCTCTCTCTCTCTCGTCTATCCATTCATCCAACCATCTGTCCATTCATCCAATAAGCACTTATGAAGTATACCCATCACTATATTTCTATCACCATTACTGAGTAGCGATGATAGAAAGACTGATACTTTTCCTTTCCTTAAAGAGCTTATACTCTTGTTGGAGAGAGGGACAAGCAAACAGTTATAAAACACTCTTAATCCATTTGGGCTGCTATAACAACATACCTTAGACTGGAAAATTTTATAAATATCATAAATTTATCACCAACAGTTCTTGAGGCTTGAAAGTCCAAAAATTGAGGTGCCAGCAGGTTTAGTTGTCTAGTGAAGGCTCTCTCCTTTATAGATGGTCCCTTCTTGCTGCATATTCACACGGTGAAAAGGGCAAGAGGCTAATAAACTCTCTGAGCACTCTTTATAAGAGCACTAATCCCATTCATGAGGATCCACCCTCATGACCTAATCACCTCCTAAAAGTCCCATCTCTTAATATTATTACTTTGGGGATTAGGTATCAACATGAATTTGGGAGTGACACAAACATTCAGACCATAGCAAATACTATTTCAAAGTGACAAAAGCATGCAGAGGGTATCATGGGAATAAAGAGAAGGTTCCTTTCCCAGCCTGGAGTGGAAATGAATGGTCAGAGAAGACTTCAGGAAGAGGTGATGCTTGGGCTAAGTCCTAAAGGGTAAAGAGGTGTTTACATAGTAAAAAGTGGCGGGGGCGGGTGGAAGTGTGTGTTTAAGCTGAGGGCAAACCCTCAGGAATTGCTCTGCAGTTCCTATACTGTCCAGTACTGGTAAGAGTTCTGATCAGATTTGATAGCCATACATGAAATGTGGACTCAGTGTTTGTTTGTAGCCCACCAGATGTGTTGAGAACACTGTGGATAAGTGCATATTTTAGTGCTTCTGTAAAGCCCTAGAAAGTAAATATTTTAGGCTTTGAAGGCCATGAGGTCTCTTTTGCAACTATGCAACTATGCAGTGCTATCTCATCACAGATTTAATTTGCATTTTTCTAATAGTTAACAATGTTGAAAGTATCATGTGCTTATTTGCTATCTACACATCTATGTTGAAATGTAATGTTGAAATGTTTGATGTATTTTCCCCATTTTCTAAGTGGACTTTTTTCTTACTACTGAGTTTTGAGAGTTCTTTATTATATTCTAGATAAAAGGCCTTTGTAAGATATGTGATTTGAAAATATTTTCTTCTAGTCTGTAGCTAGTCTTTTCATTCTCTTAACAGTGTATTTCACTGAACAAAACTTTTTAATTTTGATAAAATCCAATTTATCAACTTCTGTTTTTATGGATCATGCTTTTGATGTCATATCCAAGTACTCTTCAAGTAACTCAAGGTCAGGAAAATTTTCTCCTATTTTTTTCTAAGCATTTTATTGTTTTATGTTATATGTTTAGATCTATAATCCACCTTGAGTAAATTTTTGTTTAAGGTGTAAGGTTAGGTTAATGTTATTTTTTTTCATACTGTTATACAATGATTTCAGCACCATTTGTTGAAAAAACATATCATTTCTCCATTGAAATGCTTTTGCATTTTTGTCAACAATGAGTTGGCTATGTTTATGTGAGCCAATTTTTAGACTCTGTTTTCTGTTTTATTGATCTGTGTGTCCTTCCCTTTGACAATACCACACCGTCTTGATTACTGTGTATATACAGTAGGTCTTAAAATCAGTTAATGTTATTTCTACAGTTTTATTCTTTTTCTTTAAAATTGTTTTAGCTCTTTTAGTTCCTTTGCTTTTTATATAAATTCTACATTCCACTTATCTGTAAATACAAAAAGTTCTATGGGATATTGATTAGAATTGCATTAAATTATGCTGTTTCTTTCAGTCCATAAGCATGGTATAACTCTATTTAAATCTTCTTTGATTTCTTTCATCAGGGTTTTATGGTTCTCAGGATGCAGAGTCTGTACATATTTTGTTACACTTATACCTAAGTATTTAAATTTGTTTTGAGCTATTATAAATTTTAAATGTATACATATATTTAAATTTTGGTTTTCAGTGGTGCATTGCTGGTATATAGAAATATGCTTGATTTTTGTGTGTTGACTTGTATTCCATCACCTTTATAGTACTCACTTATTTTTAGGAGTTTTTATGTAGACTTCTTGAGATTTTCTGTGTAGATAGTCATGCTGTTTACAAACAGAGTTTTCTTTCTTTTTTTCTGATATCTGTGCCTTTTATTGATTGATTTTTGCCTTATTGCATTGGCTAAGACTTCCATAATGATGTGGAATAGGTGGTAAGAGTGGATGTCTTACATTGCTACCAGTCTTCAGGAGAAAACATTTAGATTTTCACCATTAAGTATGATGTTATCTGTAGGTTTTTTGGAGATGTTCAAGTTGAGAAAAGTTTACTTCTATTTCTAGTTTGCTGAGATTTATTTTTAATAATTAATGGATGTTGGCTTTTGTCAAGTGCTTTTTCTATATCAATTGGTACAATTATGTGGCCTTTTTAGACTTAGTATGATCAGTTATATCAATTGAATTATTCTATTATTGAAGCAACCTTACAATCTTGTGATAAACTCCACTTGATTGTGGTGTCAGAAAGGGCCTCTGATAAATCTCCAGATATGTACTCAGTTTATTTCTCTTTGCCCTGTAATGTAAATGCAGTTATACTGGTATCATAAGGGTACATTTCGGTACTAGGGAAAGGTCAGAGAGAGAATGCTGAGAGGTGGAAGGCATTCTGCTTGAATGAGGAGCCAAGGAAGGCAATGGAAGCTAGGGGAGAGAATGTAAGAACTGATCCGTGAGCAAGCCAAAAGTGAGCCAATCCATCAGGCTACAACCATTGAGTGAGTGCCTGCTATGTGCCGAGCAGTTGACACAGGCTAAAAGGTTCTAAAAAGAGTCAAGATTGGATAACAAAGAAAGAAGGCCCTTGAGGAACTTGATCATGCTGGGGGCTAGAAGTGAGAGGGTTTGTATATTCTAGTTCTGGAATTTGGCTGATGAGCACTGGACCCAGGACCCAGGTGGCTGCCTGGAGCAGCCTGAGGTCCTTTCTTGGCCTGCTGGTAGGTAAAATAAATGAGAGGAGAAGAGTCTGGGAAAGGTGGCCTCTGTGGCTTATCTGGCACCTGCAATTTGATTAGATGTATATAACCTGTGTCTTAAAATCCCTCGCATTGGGCATGGCAGGCCAACATGCAACCAGCAGGTACTGAGATAGGACCATGGGCTCTGAGAGGGAGAGATAATTAGAGATTTTCTTCAAAACTGAGGACTTGACCTTCCTGCTTACTTACTGTGATCACTATAATGCCACTGCCTTAGGCAATGATACCCAGTTTGATCTCCTCTCAGATACTGTTAGGTCAGTGTCTCCATCCATTATTTTCTGTGGAAGCTCTGGCAGCCTGAGAGTTTGAGCAAAACCAACCTGACCACCGATTTTTTAGTATATAGCTTGGTATTGTCAACCATGATTGCACATTAGGATTGCCAGAGACAGAACCAGCTTAATAGACATGTGACCAGTGCATTTACACAGGACCCCATGCTCAGAAGGGAGGGCCATGCTGGGAGATTAATGTTCTATTATTATTATTATTATTATTATTATTATTATACTTTAAGTTTTAGGGTACATGTGCCCATTGTGCAGGTTAGTTACATATGTATACATGTGCCAAGCTGGTGCGCTGCACCCACTAACTCGTCATCTAGCATTAGGTATATCTCCCAATGCTATCCCTCCCCCCTCCCCCCACCCCACAACAACCACAATGAGATACCATCTCACACCGGTTAGAATGGCAATCATTAAAAAGTCAGGAAACAACAGGTGCTGGAGAGGATGTGGAGAAATAGGAACACTTTTACACTGTTGCTGGGACTGTAAACTAGTTCAACCATTGTGGAAGTCAGTGTGGCGATTCCTCAGGGATCTAGAACTAGAAATACCATTTGACCCAGCCATCCCATTGCTGGGTATATACCCAAAGGACTATAAATCATGCTGCTATAAAGACACATGCACACGTATGTTTATTGTGGCATTATTCACAATAGCAAAGACTTGGAACCAACCCAAATGTCCAACAATGATAGACTGGATTAAGAAAATGTGGCACATATACACCATGGAATACTATGCAGCCATAAAAAATGATGAGTTCATGTCCTTTGTAGGGACATGGATGAAATTGGAAATCATCATTCTCAGTAAACTATCGCAAGAACAAAAAACCAAACACCGCATATTCTCACTCATAGGTGGGAATTGAACAATGAGAACACATGGACACAGGAAGGGGAACATCACACTCTGGGGACTGTTGAGATTAATGTTCTGTGGTTTCCATTTGAAACTTAATGATTTTTATCTTTTTTATCTTCAAACCTGTGTTTTGTAAGTGAAGTGTAATGAGACAATGAAGCATGTACTGGGGGCTTGAAATCTTGATTCACATATGGATCTACCTCCTACAAACTCCCCACATCTCCAGGATGGGTTTTTGGCCACCACTCCCTTGATTTCTGGTGCCCGTGGCCTTACCTGGGCCCCCCTTTCTCATCCTTGTTCATCCATCCCCAGCAGGAGCCTGGATGTTGGGAGAGTCAGGATCAGATGCATGCACCTTGCAGCCCCTCTAGGGAGGGCATGACATCGATCATCTCTGCTCCAGTTTCACAGCACCAGGCACATTCAGTGGGAAACACAGTGGCAGCAAGCCTCTTGTCTATCCCTGATTTAGGTACCTAAGTGTACCCTGGTAAAGAGGTTGTAATATCCTTGGGGGATGTCTGTCTTCTGTGGGAGGGGATGGTGGGCCCATGGGAAGAGAGATGCTAAACCTCAATTTCCTTACCTTCTGATAAGGCACAGCATGTCAGTCTGATGGCTGGTGAAAGGGACCCAGTAGTTGTCAGGCCCAATCACACACCCAAGACACAAGTCATTGGGTGGAGCTCCTGGGTGCCTGCAAGGGTCTACCCTCAGCCCATGAATATCCCCATGCCCAAGAGAGTATCGTTTGGGCCTGCTTCATGTCTGGAGAGACCCTCTCTTTCTCCTTTCAACCTTCCTGAATCTGACTTGCATTAGTCTCTTCTAGCCAGCTCAAGGCACCTTCCAGAGATGAAGTATGAAATACAAATTGTACAATGTTGGTGATTCTGCATAGGAGTTAAATGCTCTGATATTTTAATTTAAGATATCATTGTGTCGTACAATATAAAGATGAACACTAAAATGTCTATTAATGATTTAAAATTTTACTTTTTCTTTACTTAGAGTGACACTGAATAGCAAAGAGGAAACACCATGACAGGTTGAATGAGAAACCACAGAAGAAAGGAAAACATCTGTATATTTTAGTACCTTTAAAGACACTTTTTCTCTGTTTTTTGAATAAGGCACACCACGTTTTCATTTTGCACTGGGCCCCAAAAATCATGTATCCAGTCTTGTCTGGGGGTATATTTAAAATATATGGATATATCCAAATTAATTGGCATTGGATAGGGCTCTAGGCATATGCATTTTTAAAGGCATTCCAGAGAATCTGTTGTAGAAAGAAAGTAGAAATAAGCAAAGAGCGAAAGCTAGAATAAACCCTGTGATACTAGATTAGCGTCAGAGAGATCAATATGAAAAATCAGTAAATATGTCTGTCTATCTGTCTATCTGTAAAGATAAGTAGATACAGAAATGAATGTTGATATGGTGTTGTCATAGTCTGTTCAGGCTACTATAACAGAGTGCCTTAGACTGGGTAATTTATAAACAATAGAAATATATTGCTCACAGTTCTAGAGTCTGGGAAGTCCATGATCAAAGAGCCAGCAGATTCTGTATCTGGTGAGGGTTCTTTGCTTCATAGATGGTGGAAGGGGTAAGGAGCTAAGATGCTCCTTTAGACCTCTTTTATAAGGCCACTAATCCCATTCTTTAGGTTTCTGCCCTTATCACTTAATCACTTCCCAAAATGACCCACCTCTTTATACCAACACATTAGGAATAAGATTTCAACATATAAATTTTGGAGGGACACAAATATTCAGACCATAGCAGGTGTATTCATGGATATGTATCTATGTGTATATGTATATGTATATAGTTGTCCCTCCATATCCATAGGTTCTACATTCGTGGGTTCAAGCAACTGTGGATTAAAGTATTTGGGAAAAAAAACAATAAAAAATAACAATATAACAATAAAAAACATACAAAGGAAAAACAATATGGTCTAACAACTATTGACATAGCATTTACATTATATTAGCTATTGTAAGTAGAGAGGATTTAAAGTATACAAGGGGATGTGTGTAATTTATATGCAAATACTACACCATTTAATATAAGGAACTTGAGCATTCATGGTATCCAACATGGATTTTGGTATCCACAGGGAGTTCTGGAAGCAATCGTCTGTGGATACTGAAGGTTGACTGTATTTCTTTTCTTTTTTTTATTTTATTTTATTTTTATTTTTTTATTATTATTATACTTTAAGTTTTAGGGTACATGTGCACAATGTGCAGGTTAGTTACATATGTATACATGTGCCATGCTGGTGTGCTGCACCCATTAACTCGTCATTTAGCATTAGTTATATCTCCTAATGCTATCCCTCCCCCCTCCCCCCACCCCACAACAATCCCCAGAGTGTGATGTTCCCCTTCCTGTGTCCATGTGTTCTCATTGTTCAATTCCCACCTATGAGTGAGAACACGCGGTGTTTGGTTTTTTGTCCTTGTGATAGTTTGCTGAGAATGATGATTTCCAATTTCATCCACGTCCCTACAAAGGACATGAACTCATCTTTTTTATGGCTGCATAGTATTCCATGGTGTATACGTGCCACATTTTCTTAATCCAGTCTATCATTGTTGGACATCTGGGTTGGTTCCAAGTCTTTGCTATTGTGAATAGTGCCACAATAAACATACGTGTGCATGTGTCTTTATAGCAGCATGATTTATAATCCTTTGGGTATATACCCAGTAATGGGATGGCTGGGTCAAATGGTATTTCTAGTTCTAGATCCCTGAGGAATCGCCACACTGACTTCCACAATGGTTGGACTAGTTTACAGTCCCAGCAACAGTGTAAAAGTGTTCCTATTTCTCCACATCCTCTCCAGCACCTGTTGTTTCCTGACTTTTTAATGATTGCCATTCTAACTGGTGTGAGATGGTATCTCATTGTGGTTTTGATTTGCATTTCTCTGATGGCCAGTGATGATGAGCATTTTTTCATGGTCTTTTGGCTGCATAAATGTCTTCTTTTGAGAAGTGTCTGTTCATGTCCTTTGCCCACTTTTTGATGGGGTTGTTTGTTTTTTTCTTGCAAATTTGTTTGAGTTCATTGTAGATTCTGGATATTAGCCCTTTGTCAGATGAGTAGGTTGCGAAAATTTTCTCCCATTTTGTGGGTTGCCTGTTCACTCTGATGGTAGTTTCTTTTGCTGTGCAGAAGCTCTTTAGTTTAATTAGACCCCATTTGTCAATTTTGGCTTTTGTTGCCATTGCTTTTGGTGTTTTAGACATGAAGTCCTTGCCCATGCCTATGTCCTGAATGGTAATGCCTAGGTTTTCTTCTAGGGTTTTTATGGTTTTAGGTCTAACGTTTAAGTCTTTAATCCATCTTGAATTAATTTTTGTATAAGGTGTAAGGAAGGGATCCAGTTTTAGCTTTCTACATATGGCTAACCAGTTTTCCCAGCACCATTTATTAAATAGGGAATCCTTTCCCCATTGCTTGTTTTTCTCAGGTTTGGGTTGACTGTATTTCATAGCTCTGTCCACTGAGAGGGCCTAGAAGCAGCAACACTGAAGTAGAATTAAGCTTACCTAGAACTACATCTTGTTTCCTAAATACCATTCTCAATTAAAAAGAATTAGACCTCCTTAGAGAAATAGCTAATGAGAGAGAGAATACACCACAGTAGTAATCTCAGAGGACAAGATATTTACATAGCTACAAACTATTAGCTCCCAAATTTGTATTAATTACTATGGTGGTTTTAATATGTGTTCACAAATTATTTGATACTCCTCCCTACAGGTGGTAGAGATTAATTCCCCTTCATTGAGTGTGAGCTGGACTTTCTGTCTCAGTTCTAATAAAGTATGAAACGGAAATTTAGTAGTTTTACCATTTACTATTTATATTTTCTATTTGATATATAAGTAGGTTGAAAGTAAAAAGATATATCACACAAATATTCAGAGGAAAGTGGGAATGGCTGTATTAACATTAGGTAAATAGACGCAAGAACAAAGAAAATTACTAAGGTAGAAGGGGTCATTAAATGATGATTAAATTGTCAGTAACCAAGAAGACAGCAATCCTAAATGGGTATGTGCCAAACAACAGAGCTGCAAAATATGTGAAGCAAAATTCAATAGAATTGAAAACAGACAAATTCACAATTATAGTTGGAGTCTTCAAACTCCTCTCTCAACAACTTATAGAACAATTAGAAAGTCAGCAAAGATATAAAAGAACACAACAACTCTATCAACCAACAGAATCTAGTGTTTATAAAAACCTCCACCTCACAACAGCAGAATATACATTTTTTTCAAGCATCCATGGAACATATACCAAGATAAACTATATACTAGACTGTAGAGCAACTTCAAGAAGTTTAGAAGAATTGAAATCAACAGAAAGATACCAGGAAAATATCCAAATACTTGGAAACAAAGCAGCACACTTCTCAATAATCCATGGAGCAAAAAATAAATTAATCAGAGTGAAAATAAAAATACAACATATCAAAATTTGTGGGACACAGCTAAAGGAGTATTGAGAGGGAAACAAATAGCAGTAAATGCTTATATCAGAAAAAGGGAAAGATACACTAAGATCAGAAACAAGGCAAGGATAGCTGCTCTCATCACTCTTATTCAATGTAGTATAGTACTAGAAATTCTAGCCAGTATAATAAAGCAAGAAAAAGAAATAATAAGCACTTGAATTGGAAAAGACAAAATAAAGCCCTCCCAATTTGCAGGTGGCATGATTGTCTATGTAGAAAATCCCAAAGAATCTACAATAAAACTTCTAGAGTTAATAATTGAGTTTAGTAAGGTTGCAAGACACAATGTCAACCCACAAAAATCAACTACATTTTCAAATACTGTGAACACATCAAAACCAAAATTCAAAACACAATACCATTTACAATTGCTACAAAAAAAATGAAATACTTGGGTATAAACTTAACAAAATGTAACAAAACATGTAGAGGATATGTATGCCAAAAATTACAAAATGCTGATGAAGGAAATCAAGAAGACTTAACATTAATGGAGAGAAATACTGTGTTTGTGGATTGGAAGTCTCAACCCAGTAAAGTTGTCAAATCTGCCCCAAATTGATCTACAGGTTTAATGCAATTTTAATCAAAATTTCAATAAAGTTTGTTTGTAGGTAAACTTATTCTAAAATTTGTATGATGCCCCTCTTTATTCCTGATAATCTTCCTTGTTCTGAATTCTGCTTTGTCTGAAATTAATATAGATACTCCAGTTTTCTTTTATGTTAGACTGGTATATCTTTCTCCATCTCTGTACTTTTATATAAGTCTTTATATTGAAAGTAGATTTCTTGGAGAAAAGATATAGGTGTGTCTTGTTTGATTTTTTTATCCCCTCTGTTTTAATTGATGCCTTTAGGTCACTCAAATTTAAAGTTATTATTGATATATTAATATGGATTACATTTGTAACTATTTTCTATTGTGTTTTCATTTTCATATCCCAACTCTTTTGTCTGCCTTCTTTGTTTTTAATTGATATTTTATATAATTATATTTTATCTCTTTTCTTACAATATCAATTATACTTCTTTTAAATTTTTTAATGGTTGCCCTACAGTTTAAAATATACATTGCTAACTATGAGTCTACCTTCAAATAACACTGTAACACTTTACTCATAGTGCAGGTGCCCCATAACAGAGTTATCAAATCTTCCCTCCAATCCTCTGTGACGTTGATATTTATTTCACTTATCCATATGCTATAATCAACCAATACATTGTTGCTATTGTTACTTTAAACAGTTATCTTTGGGCTGGGCATGGTGGCTCATGCCTGTAATCCCAGCACTTTGGGATGCCGAGGCGGGCGGACCATCTGAGGTCAGGAGTTTGAGACCAGCCTGACCAACATGGAGAAACCCCGTCTCTACTAAAAATACAAAATTAGCTGGGCGTGGTGGTGGCAACCTGTAATCTCAGCTATTTGGGAGGCTGAGGCAGGAGAATTGCTTGAACCTGGTAGATGGAAGTTGCAGTGAGCAGATATTGTGCTATCGCATTCCAGGCTGGGCAACAAGAGCAAAACTCTGTCTCAAAAAAAAAAAAAAAAAAAAAAAGGTGTTCTTTTAGATCAGCTAAGAATTAGAAAAATAAATAAAAGATTTTATTTTACCTTCATATATTCCTTCTCCAACAGTCTACACTCATCCTTTCTTTCTGTAGAACTGAGTTTCTGATCACTATAACCTTTTCCCCCTAAAGAACTCCTTTTAACATTTCTTGCAGGGCCAGTTGGTTTTCATTTCTGTCAGTTTTTGTTTTGTTTTTCTGAGAAAACTGTTTCATTTTCACTTCTGAAGGATACTTTCACTGGATATAGAATTGCGGTTTGCTGGTTTTTTTTTCTTTCAAGACTAAATATTTCACTGTACTCTCTTCTTTTTTGCATGTTTCCTTGAGAAGCCTGATGTAATTCTTATCCTTATTCCTTTATAAGTTGTTTTCTCTCCCTCTCTTGTCTTTCAAGGTTTTTTTCCTTTGGTTTTCTGCAGTTTTGCTAGAGGGGACTGGAGTAGGTAGGAGCAATGCCCTTCCCCAGCTCAGATAAGGCCCTAGAAAAATCTTTTCCCCTGTAAAGTTGTCCTATGTTAAGGGGAAGGCATATATCACAATGATTATTTTTTACTCTCGCCGACAGACCCACAAGATAATTTTACTCAGATCTTTACTGTAAGAACTTGTTGGATTTTTTTGAAGGTAAAGACAACAAAATGTTGGGGTTTTCCCTATGCCTGCAGTCCTCAATTTGTCATTCTCATAGTAGTCTACACTCAGCCTGCAGCAATTTGTTAAAATTACCAGTTTTGGTATTCCTAGTTTGTGACTCCAGTGACTCTGGTCCAAGCAAGCAAATTGCAGCTATGTCTCTCTGGATGTTCCTGACTCTCTAGATTTCAGGGTGGTGGTTTGCCCTACAACCTCATTTGTCTGAAGGATTCATGAAAAGTCATTGATTTTAAGTTTGTCCAGCTTCTTCTTGTAAGGATGGGAGTGATGATTTCCACGATCTTGTCAGAACTTAAATCAGAGTAATATTCCAAAATTTATATGAAAAGACACAGGTCCTAGAATAACTAGAACAATTTTGAAAAAGAGTAATAAAGTTGGAGGAATCGGTCTACCTAACATTAAGGCTAACTACATAGCTGTGGTAACCAAGACCATGCAGTATTGCCAGATGAGTTAGATATATAGGTCAATGGAACAGAATAGAGAACCCAGAAATAGACCCACATAAATATTCCCAACTGAATTTTAACAAAGATGCAAAGGTGATTCAATGAAGGAAGGATAGACTTTTCAACAAATGGTGCTGTGTTGGAACAACTGGATATTCATAGGCAACACAAACAAAGTTCAACTTAAGCCTTACACCTTATGTAGACATTTACTCAAAATGGATCATGTAAGTTTTTAAAACATAAAACTAAACATATTTTAGAAAACTGGAAAAAATCTTCCAGCTCTAAGGCTAGGCAACAGATTCTTAGACTTGACACCAAAAGCATGATCCATAAAAGGAAAAAGTAATTGGTAAATTGGAACTCATCAAAGTTAAAAACTTTCTGTGGAAGTTTTTATGAAACATCCTTTTAAATATGAAAATACAAGCTATAAACTGGAAGAAAGTATTTGTAAATCATATCCAACAAAGAATATATAAATAACTCTCAAAACTCAATAGAGTAAAAAAAATCCTATTAGAAAATAAGCAACAAACAGCAACAGACATTTCACTGAAGAAGATATACAGATGACAAATAGGCACATGAAAAGTTGTTCAATCAACATCACCATTAAAGAAATATAAGTTAATACCATAATGTGATATTACTATACCTCCATGCATGGATCTTTCCACATTGCTTATGGGTAATAGTATGACCACTCTGGAAAATGGTTTAGTGGTTTCTTACAAAACTAATAATACACCTACTATACTATTCAGCAATCATATTACTGGGTGTGTATCTCAGAGAAATGAAAACATACATCCATACAAAAACCTGTACATGAAATTCGTTCATAGCAGAGCTGTTTTCAATGATCAAAAAACAGAAACAACCCAGGTGTTTGGTTAATAGGTGAATGGTTAAAAAAATTATGGTACATCCATACCATGGAATACTACTCAGTGATTAAAAAAAAAGAATGAACTACTGATATATACAACTTGGATGGATCTCATTGGCATTATGCTGAATGAAAAAAGGCAATCTCAAAAGGTCACTGTTAGGTTCCAGGTAGGTGGGACATGGCTTTATTCAGCAGTTTCTTCACACTGTCGGTGCTGCATTTATGCACCTCACAGACCATAATGGCTCAGAGGCAGGTGATGAGCCCTCCCACGTTATGGCTACATAGCTGTGATTATGTAATGCATGGGATTGTGCGCCTGTGCTCCAATCCCACTGTGTCATACTGTGCAGGATGTGTACCTCAGCCTATACTTGACTGCAGCACAGCCATTGTCCTTACAATCACATACTGTAAGGACAGTATGTGATTCCATTTATATAATAGTCTCAAAAATGATAAAAAGATGGAGAACTGATTGGTGCTGTACAAAGGTTAGCAGTGTTGGTGAGGGGAGTTGTGACTATAAAGAGGTAGCATAAGGAAGATATTTGTGGTGATGGAATAGTTCCATTTCTGGATTGCAGTGGTGGTTACAAGAATACAGACGTGATTAAATGGCATAGAATTACACATATGCTTTGCACCAATGCCAATTTCCTGATGTTGGTATAGTACTATAGTTACATAAGATGTATCCATTAGAAAAAATTGAGTGAGAGTTTCACAGGACCTCTCTGTATTTACAACTTCATCTGATTCTACAATTATATCGATAAAATACTTCTTAAAGTAGCTTACAGTGGAGAAACCTGGCAGAAATCTCCTTAACCAAGGAATCAAGACTAACATCACTGGTAAGTTTATGTTCATATCTTGAACCCCTTATACTGTGTCATAAGAAACGCACTTCACCTCTGTGCTATCCTTCCCCAAAATATATAATCCCAGTCTAATTATGAGAAAACATTACACAAACCCAAATTGGGGGGTATTCTACAAAGTACTTGACCATTTATCTTTAAAATTATTGAGATCATGAAAAACAAGGAAACATTAATAAATTTCCATAGATTGGAAGCAAATAAGATATGATGACTAAATGTGACATAATATTCTGGATTGCATCCTGGAACATGAAAAGGACATTAATGGGAAAACTGGTGAGCTACATTATACAAAATAACTGATCAGTGCTCTTCAAGGTGTCAAGATTATCAAAGACATAAAAGAATGGATGAACTGCCATAGATTGGAGGAGACAATGCAATGTGAAATCCTGAATTTGACCCTGAACAGAAAATGCAATGTAGTGGAGAAACTGGTAAAATGCAGATAAAATCTAGTTTAGTTAATCATATTGTACCAAAGTTCATTTCTTAGTTTTGATAACTCTGATGGTTATAAAAGATGTTGACATGAAGAATGCTGGATGAAGTGTGTGCAGCAACTGTTTGCTGTTTTTGCAACTTTTCTGTAATTTTAAAATTATTTCAAAATAAACTTTTAAAGAAAGCCTCCTGGGAGATTCTAATGTGTAGCCAGAGCTGAGAACCACTGCTACCTCATTCATTTGGTCCTGCCTCATGGGTTTCCACTATACTCTCCTACTCCCTAGTCTGCCCTTCCTCCATCAAAATTGCTGTGCTCTGAAGGGATGTTTTCAACTGGCTGCTGGCCTAAATAGGATGAGACAAAAATTAAAACGTTTCTACCACTATCCCAGTGGGAAACTAATTCCAAAGCTAATAGCATATGGGCACTATCCTATCTACTCTAGCCAGGTGTCATTGTACAGTAAGAATTTCCACCTCAGAGATTGATTCCTTTTCATAAAGCATCATTACATCATCATTTTTCAAGCAG
Source organism: Homo sapiens (assembly GCF_000001405.40). Lineage (NCBI taxonomy): Eukaryota > Metazoa > Chordata > Mammalia > Primates > Hominidae > Homo > Homo sapiens. The sequence goes on from NC_000023.11 coordinate 150,032,552, forward strand.
CACTTCTGGATGTCAGCAGATGAATTCAGTAAGAATTATGGGTCATGCGAACTGGTGTATCAGGGCTTTTTCTGTAACACCACAAAACACTGGGCTTCTGTGGAGGAGAGAGCTAAATTTGTCTAGCGTCTCCTACAATCCATTTTAACTCTCTAGACAGGAAAGGAAAGCCCTTGCTTTGAGGCAGGAGGCTGGTTTTGCAGGTAGTTAGAGCCAGGTACTTAAAGACAGCGAGAAGAAAGGATGGCCTTAGAGAGTGATGTCCTGGTCGTAGAGAACTGCCTTAAGTAGAGATAGTCCACATCTTGAATAGCAAACTCCTGTTGCTATGACAGCTTCCAAGAGCATACTTGTCTCATCAGAGCCTGGGGCTTATTCAATTGGCTCCACCCTCTTCCTGGAGTGCACTGTTTATTAAAAGGGCCCTGCCCTTTATTCTACTAGGATTAGTCATTATGTGTTAGTGAACTGCCCTTTTTCTCCCTCCACTTCAGCTTTTCATCTGCATCCTAGAAGCAAGGGCCGTGTCTTTGGGCCTGCTGAGAGTCCTTCAAGAGAGAAAATTAAGAACAGCTAGGGGTAGGCACAATGCCTTCATATGCCTCCAGCAAAAAGGGCAGCTCAGATACTCCAAGAAGGAGAGAAAAATAATGAGAGTTGGAGAAACGGGCTGAGACATGGGAACTGTGCAAAGGCTGATTACTGGATAAGATTAGGCTCAGGGCAAAAGTGCTTACTGAGATATTGGAACTCTTAGGACTTATTAATCTAGTGTTTAGCACTTGGAGTCTATAGATTAACAGGTAAAACTAAACTGGGACAGACTGGCGAAAGCTGTGAAAATGCCCTGAGGCAGCTTATAGTTAAGAATAAGATTAACAAGAAAATGATTAAAGACTGAGCTTTACTGCACAGTAAGTTACAAATTGGACCCTTTGCATACAGACTTTCATCTTTTCCCTGTTGTTCTGTGTGGGATTGCATGGTTTACATGTAAAAGTAAATTTATTTATTTCTTGGTTTGTTTATTCTAAAGAAATAGATTTCTATACATAAAATATTGATGTTTATTTGGAGTAGTATATCCTTATGAAACTAAATGATAAACTTATAGAGTGTGAAGGGATGTTAGAGTTGACATACTTTGACACTAAACATTGTATTTTTAAGTTTAAATAGCAATATCTCACAATATTTAGTGCTGTTGTCTAATTCAAGAAACTACACACAGAACTGATACTTCAAGCTATGCAACCACAGCAGTAACAACCACAGTGATGCCTTATCTTATTTGCAAGATTGTCTCTTTAATGGGTGAACGAACCTTTGGAAGGATGAATGTATGACCTAAACCTAATAGAATGAGAGTAGGATCACTGACATCAGTCTGAGAAATCTGTTTTGAAGTGATAACCAAAGTGGTCTCCTCAGTCAAAAAACTGCAGTAAGTATTCCCCTTCCTGTGTCCAAGTGTTCTCATTGTTTGGGGGAGGGATAGCGTTAGGAGATACACCTAATGTAAATGACGAGTTAATGGGTGCAGCACACCAACATGGCACATGTATACATATGTAACAAACCTGCACATTGTGCACATGTACCCTAGAACTTAAAGTATAATTAAAAAAAGGAAAACAAACACTAACATTTCAATAAATAATGCTGCTCTAAAAAAAACTGCCGTAAGTATTAATAAATAACCTTAGAAGTTACTGAGCATCGGGTCTTCTTAAATAACATATCTTTTCAGGAGTGCAGCTACCCCAAAAGAAAGACAACAATCTTAATATACTAGACAAAGCAGAATGAATGAACTAATCAAAACAATGATTGAAAACAAACTAGAATATCATTGAAAAGTTAAGAGACAATGTTGGTAACTTGAGGCAGGAATAGGCAGTTACAAACAACATCATTCAGAAATAGCAGCTATGAAAATATAAGTTGAAATAACTTGATGGGGGGGGGTAAAAACAACAGATACAGATCAAGAATGAATTAATGACATGGAATACTAGATTGAACAACTTTCCCAGAAGTCATCAGAAAGGGATAAATAGTTGGGAAATATAGGAAAAATACTGTAGAGGAAAAATACTTTAGAAGGAGAAATGTCCAATCAGTTGAATAAGAGTACCAGAAAGAGAGAGGGAGAAGAGTATGTGGAGGGGATGTAAGTATTTGAAGAAACAAAGACCAAGAATTCTCCAATCTTAGGGGAGTATGGATGATCTCAGTTTAAAAAGATTCAGAGTTTGCCAACCAGGATTTATGAGACAAAGCGTATATCTAGACACATAGTAGTAAAATTTTAAAAAAAGAAGCCTTCCCAGGAAGAAAAAGCAGATAACCTACAAAGGAACAAAATCATATTGGCACCTTAGTACTCAAAAGCAACCCAGATAGAAGAAAACAGTGGAACGTTAATTTTCAGTATTGAGGGAAAAAACTTAGAATCTAGAATTTTATACCCAGCTAAGTATCATTTAAATGTAAGAATGAAATATTTTAAGGCATCCAAGGCCTCAAAAAGTTTGCCACAAAGACTGTCTTTGAAATAAGTTCAATGAAAGAGAATTTATAATAAATATGAGTGAGTTGACTTCCCCAGTCCCCTCTTGCAAATGTTCCTTTAATTTCTCAGATCTGTCAACCTTCCTCTTACTGTGGCGACATCTCCAGGATAGAGTTCTTTTGAGGGAGCCATTCTGGAGTTTTTAGGCTATTCTGTAACAATCTCAAGTGGCTAATTTTTGCTTTTATTACAATCTTATCTTTCCTGCTAAGCTTATAAACTACCTGAGGACACAATATTATTCATTTCTGTATTCCCAGTAGTACCTTTCTCAGGGTTTTGCACATGGGAGGTATTTATTAAATGTCTGTGCCAGAAAGGAAGAGAGGAAAAGAGGAAGGGAGGAAGTTATAGGCCAGAAGATGAAGCTAGGGTTGCTTCCATTCAAGAGAATGGTTGTTCTCTCTGGTTTTTGTGCACAGAGGATTAAGTGACATCCTAGTGTGTGTCAATATTGTGCACTTCAGCAGATCATCTCCTGTGTTAAGTCTGACTATGAGTGACTTGAAGATAATTGAGCATTATTCATTTCACCATCAAAATATTAAAAGCAGCTTAGTTTGAATCCACTTGAATTAATCATTTACTTGGTTCTCCATGACACTTAAGCTCCCTCTGAGTCATTCATGATGGAAAATTATATGCTCGCATGCTAGTAAACATTCCCAGGCCAGGAAAAAGATGGGAAAGTAATCCACAAGGGGTTCTAAGGTTGTTTTTTCGGGGGGAATTTTTCAGTGCATCTCCACAGAGTTGGTGAAAAATCTCCCTTCTTCCCTCTTCAGTGAGGCAGTACTTTTTGCTTATCTGTGGTTCTATAACAAGTGCCCACTGAGGCTGTATGGGTGATGCACACCTTTCAGCATCCAAACTCTAAGACCTGTCTTGTATTGGACCCCTTTGCTTTCCAGGGAAGAGGTGGGTAGGTAGTTAGTGTTCCACACTTACTTTCCCTTGACATTATTTGTTGATATTTGGAGGCAGGCAGAACAAGAGACATCAAGGTTGATAGGTGCATCAGAGTTAGGTCTTTTCCCTTCTGTAAACAAATGCCATCTTTTCCATTCATCTAAAAAGCATTTGTAGATGTTTAAGATGCTTGCCTGTGAACTATTTTCAGGCTTTTCCTAGTTATTTTTTTGCTAGTCCCAAAGAAAACGGGCTGGGCAGAGCAGAAAATGGCAGTGGCAGGTCGCCAAAACAAATATATGACACATGCATATCCTGGAGGCCAACATTATCACATCAGCAAATGCCAGCAGAGAGTTCTTCCTCACCATTATCTCCTCCATGTTTTCTCACCACCAATTCAGTTTTTGGTCATGTGTTTTTATAATAACATTGAGTTGAGGGTGTTAGCAGCAATTTTGACATATGGAATTAATTGCATTATTTCTCAGGTATTTGGAATTCTTAAAATTCCAGAAAATCATGTAACATTTGGACACCACATGGATTTAATTCAGTATATAGTCATGAAGCATCTGCTCAGTGCAAGGTCAGCCCTGGGCAGTGCCTAGGTACACTTATCAGTGTGAAGGAAGTGCCAAGGGAAGAGTACAAATGAATTGGAGGTTCAAAGCAGGGATAGGATTTCCTGGTGAAACAAAAGGAAAGACTTCTTGAAAAGGTAGCCTTGGGGACTAGACATAAACAACAGATATAATTTCTACAGGCAGAGGCATGTTAGGAGGCAGGAACAACTTGAGCAAAAGTAACAAGGTGGGAGATCATAGGATCCATTTAGGGCTAGTAATAGTCGCTATATATTGAGTCATCACTCTGTGCCATGCATCGTATTAAGTGTTTTACATGCATTCTCTTATATAACTGCCACAGCAGTCTCATTTGTTATAGGTAGCATCATTCCGACCTTACAAATTAGGAGAATAAAGCTCAGAACAATTATGTAACTTGGTCACCTGCTAAGAGATGGCAGAACAGGAATTCAAACCAAGTCTGTCAGACTCCAAAGCCTAGCTTTGTAGCCACTAAGTTTTATGACTCAGAAATAAACGTGACTGGGAAGAAAGGGTAGGACCATGCTGTGAAGAGCTTTAGGCTTTAGATGCTAAGCGAAGGATCCTGAACTTAAAAGTGCCAGATTGTGAAATAAAAGGGAAAGGAGTTTTCCTGTAACAGGAAATGAATAGTCAATAAGAGGTCAACAGGTTAGAGACCAATGACCAGGTCCAAAACTTCTCTGTTTTCTTCATTTGTTTTGTACCTTCCTGGGAGGAGAATGGGTTGAGTAGGAAAGAAACCTCCCTGTTCCTCTTAGAGCTTTTGTATGGAATTTCCACTTCTTGGGGGTCCTTTTTGTTTTGTTCAATTCCTCGCTATTGTGCATGGTCTTACCTCTGAGGAGGGAAGGTCAGAATCTGAACTTCTGTGGCCAACTAGAAAATTGAATTGCTTAAATTTCAGTTCCTATTGCATTATATTGGGTAACTAAAGCCCCTGTTATCTTTTTCATTTTTGATTAGTTTTGGTATTTTATGTAGCTTCTTCTCAGACACAAAAAGATAATTCATTAATTGTCCATGGATATAATCATCCTCTTCAATCTTGTCTAGAAACTGGAAGGCCCTGTTGCCCTCACCTGTAGTTAGCACCTCTTTTACCAACCTTGATGTGGGATCCTGAAGGAGCAAGTTCTTGGAGTCTTGCCTTCTGACTGACCCTGGTGCTTCCCCATGTGGCCCTGCATGTTGTGGCATGGTGTTCCCCCTCCCTTTGAAATTGTCGGTAACAAAGTATCTTTTTTCTCTCTCTCTCTTTTTTTTTTTTTTTTTTTTGAGACAGAGTCTCACTCGGTCTCCCAGGCTGAAGTGCAATGGAGCAATCTTGGCTCACTGCAACCTCCGCCTCCCGGGTTCAAGTGATTCTCCTGCCTCAGCCTCCCGAGTAGCTGGGATTACAGGCATATGCCACCACACCTGGCTGGTTTTGTATTTTTAGTAGAGATGGGGTTTCACCATGTTGGCCAGGCTGGTCTCGAACTACTGACCTCAAGTGATCTGCCTGCCTCGGCCTCCCAAAGTGCTGGGATTACAGGCATGAGCCACCACGCCTGGCCACAAACTATCTTTTCAATGACAGATGTCTCCTGATCTTTGGCCTCACACCATCTGAATAATAAACCTACATTTTAAAACAGCAGTCCCTAACCTTTTTGGCACCAGGGACCAGTTTTGTGGAAAACAGTTTTTCCATGGACCAAAAGTGGGGACTGGGGAGGTAGTTTCAGGATGAAACTGTTCCACCTCAGATCATCAGGCATTGGATTCTCATAAGGAGCCCGCAACCTAGATCTCTTGTATGTGCAGTTCACAGTAGGGTTTGCATTCCTATGAGAATCTAATGCTGCCACTGATCTGACAGGAGGCAGAGCTCAGGCAGTAATGCTGGCTTGCCTGCTGCTCGCCTCCTGCTGTGTGGCCAGTTCCTAACAGGCCACGGACTGGTATTGGTCCATGGCCTGGGGGTTGGGAACCCCTGTTTTAAAAGACCAAAAACTCTGTCAATACAATCAACCAAATCTAGAGGGTGGGGAATTCTGCAGGAAAAATGGCCTGATTTTTTACTAACTTAACTGCTTAAAATATAACTTCTATTGTTATTGCAAATTTGCTTTCTTTGATTAATAGTGAGACTGAAATGTGTGTATTTGTTTAGCAGTTATATTTCTTCGTGTGAGGAAGTGAATTGAGTATTCCTGCCCATTATCCATTTACTCAGAATGTGTTTTAAAGCAAACTGGATCAAAATGTTTCATGGACTTAAATGTAAAATATAAACTATAAAACTTTTTAGAGGAAAACATAGGAAAAAATTTCAGATCTAGGATTTGGTGAAGAATTCTTAGACTTGATACCCAAAGCATGATCTATAAAAGGAAATGTTTGTAAATTAGAGCTCTTAAAAAAAAGTTTTACAAAATTAAAAGTTAAAAAATTTTGCTCTATGAAAGACCCTGTTAAGGGAATAAATGACAAGTTACAGACAGGGAGAAAGTATTTGCGAACCACATATCCAACAAATGACTCATATCTGGGATATACAAAGAATCTCACAACTCAACAGGAAAAAAATCCAATTAAGAGATGAGCAAAAGACATGAAGAGACATTTCACCAAATAGGATTCACAGATGGCAAATAATTACATGAAAAGATGTTCAATATCATTAGGCATCAGAGAATGCAAATTACCATAATGAGATGTCACTACATGCCTATTAGAATATCTAAAATGAAAAATAGTGATAACACCAAATGCTGGTGAAGATGTGGAGAAACTCAATCTCTCATATACTGTTTGTGGGAATTTAATATGGTACAACCACTCTGAAAGAAAGTATGGAAATTTTTAAAAAACTGAGCATGCAATTACCATAAAACCTAGGAATTTCACTCCTGGACATTCATTCTAGATAAGTGAAAACTCATGTGCACATAAAAATATGTACACAAATGTTCATAGCATGTTTTTTGTTTTGTTTTGTTTTTGAGGCGGAGTTTCACTCTTGTTGCCCAGGCTGGAGTGCAATGGCATGATCTTGGCTCACTGCAACCTCCACCTCCCGGGTTCAAGTGATTCTCCTGCCTCAGCCTCCCGAGTAGCTGGGATTACAGGCACCTGCCATCATGCCCGGCTAATATTTTGTATTTTTAGTATAGACAGGGTTTCCCTATATTGGCCAGGCTGGTCTCGAACTCCTGACCTCAGGTGAGCTGCCCACCTTGGCCTCCCAAAGTGCTGGGATTACAGGCGTGAGCCACCATGCCCGGCCCGTTCATAGCAGTTTTATTCATAATAACCCTAAACTGGAAACAACCCAAATGTCCTCAAATGGGGGAATGGATAAACAAACTCTAGTACATCCATACCATGGACTACTACTTGACAAATCTTGCATGGATATTAAGGATTTGATGTTTAGTGAAAAAAGCCAATTTCAAAAGGTCAATACCATATGATTCCAATTGTATAACTCTCTTGAAATGATAAAACACAGTGATGGAGAATAGTTGTTGCCAGGGGACAGGAACAAGGATGAGGAGTGGGTGTGATTATAAAGGAGATAAAGTTGTAGCATGAGGGAATGCCTTTGTGGTGGTGCAAGCAGTGTTTTGATTGTGATGTTTATTGTGTGAATCTACACGTGATAATATTGCACAGGACTATACCTCACACACATGAGTGCATTTAAATACTGGTGAAAACTGAAAAGCTCTGTAATTTAGTTAATTGTATTTTCCTATAGTCACCTGTGATGCACCATTAGGGAAAGCCAGGGGAAGCATTCGGTGGATTCTGTAAACTATTTTTGCAACCTCCTGTAAGTCTATAATTATTTCAAAAGAAAAAGCTTCAAAAGCAATGCTAGAATTTTAATTGGAATAGCATTGAATTACCCATTAATTTGGGGGTCACTGACACCTTCACAATGTTAAGTCTTCCCAGGTTCATTCTATTTGTTGCCTTTAAAAATGTTTTTCATTTATCCAAATAACACTTTCATCAACCAAGATAAGGTAAAATAATTTAATGTTAACCTATTTCAAGTTTAAAGCAAATAATTATTTGAAAGCATTTTACTCCAAATTCTTTGCATGACATAAAAGTTCTTAGCTTTTTAGATATTCATTTTCACAGTGGTTTTTAGTGTGTGCTCTCTGAATTAGTAGTATGCATATCTCTAACTTTTCAGTCTAAGTAAAGAAAATAAGATTTTATATAAAATGTAGAAAACTTACAACATTAGAGGTCAATGTAACCACTCCCTATCCTTTTCTCTATGGTTGTCAAATGTATTCCATCTACATATGAAGCCTACAAGTAAATGCCATAATTTTTGGTCTAAGGAATCCTATGTATTTGAAGAAATTAAGAGGAATGAAATGGCTTTTTAAATATTTACCCAGATATTTCTAATTTCTGCTTTATTTTTTAAATTAATGTATGCATTTCCATCTGGATTCATCTTCCTTCAGCCTGGTGAAGAACTTCCTTTTGTCAAGAAGTCAAGCAGTATCCAGGCAGCATTGGCTTAGATGAAGCTAATTGCTTAGTGAAGCTAATAGGATCACTTGTCTAGCTGCTAGGTCAGCTTGTCACATTTTCATAGATTCAGCCAGTAAGGAAAAACAAGCCCAGATAGATTCAGTTTATTACTTAGAGAGTAACAGCAAGATCAACATGGCATTAGCTGCCTGTATCCATAGTCCAACAGGATTACACTGAACCAGAGGAACCAGATGACATGAATAACAGGTTACTCTGACACTGAAAAACCAGCTCTAAACTATAGCCAAACATGTTTATACAGCTGTGTCATAAGGGAGTGAGACAAGGTGGAAAGTTCTGTGCTCACCGACATTAGGGAGACGGATGAAAAACAGCCTTGGGATGGTTCCTCACCAGGCTGTTTATATTCCCTTGCTCCAAGAGGAATTGCATGGTGTTCTCCAAAGACCCAGGTCAGATTATGGTAAAACCTTGCCTAAGTGGCCCATATGGAGACTAAAATGATCATTGGGGCACCATGCGGTAGAGCTGTTCTCCTACAACTTTAGCATTTCTTGTGGTTCAGGTTTGCTGGCAAAGAATTTTTTCTTTCCTTATTCTTTAACAATTTCACGATTTTATGTTTTTAATTTTAAATTTTTGTGGTTATATAGTAGTTGTATATATTTATGGGGTGCATAGGCCAGTTTGATACAGGCATACAATGCATAATAACCACACCAGGGCAAAGGAAACAGTCAACAAAGTGAAGAGACAACCCATACAATGGGAGAAAATATTTGCAAACTATCCATCTGACAAGGGATTAATAACAATATTTTTTAGAATTTTGTTGTATCTCAAAGTATCTTTGTTTTGCCTTCATTCTTAAAAACATATTTTTGCTGAGCATAGAATTCTGGGTTGACTTTAAAAAATATTTTAATTTTTGTAGGTACAGAGTAGGTGTATATATTTATGGGGTACATAAGATGTTTTGAGATGAGCATGCAATGTGTAATAATCACATCATGTAGAATGGGGTATCCATCCCCTCAAGCATTTATCATTTATGTTACAAACAATCCAGCTATACTCTTCGTTATTTTTAAATGTAGAGTTAATTTATTATTGATTATAGTCACCCTCCTGTGCTATCAAATACTAGGTCTTACTCATTCTTTCAAACCATTTTCTTGTTCCCACTAACCATCCCCACTTCCCACCCACCCTTTTACTACCCTTCCCAGCCTCTGCTAACCATCCTTTTTCTCTTTGTCTCTATGAGTTCCATTGTTTTGATTTTTAGATCACACTAGTAAGTGAGAACATGTAATGTTTGTCTTTCTGTGCCTGGCTTATTTCATTTAGCATAATGATCTCAAGTTTCATCCACGTTGTTGCGAATGACAAGATCTTGTTCTTTCTTATGGCTGCATAGTACTCCATTGTGTGTAAGTGCCACATTTTCTTTATCCATTCATCTGTTGATGAACACTTAGGTTGCTTCCAAATTTTCGCTATTGTGAACAGTGCTACAACAAACATGGGAGTGCCGATCTACTGATTTTCTTTCTTTTAGTTATATACCCAGCAGTAGGATTGCTGGAAAATATGGTAGCTGTATTTTTAGTTTTTTGAAAACCTCCAAACTGTTTGCCATAGTGGTTGTGCTAATTTATATTCCCATCAACAGTGTACGAGGGTTCCCTTTTCTCTACACCCTCACCAGTATTTGCTATTGCCTGTCTTCTGGATATAAGCCATTTTAACTGGGGTGAGGTGATACCTCATTGAAGTTTTTATTTGCATTTCTCTGCTGACCAGTGGTGTTGAGCATCTTTTCATATGCCTATTTGCCATTTGTATGTCTTTATTTGAAAAATGCCTATTCAGGTCTTTTGCCCGTTTATTAATCAGTTTAATAGATATTTTCCTATAGAGTTATTTGGGCTTCTTATATATTCTGGTTATTAATCCCTTGTCAAACGGGTACTTTGCAGATATTTTCTCCCATTCTGGGGGTTGTCTCTTCACTTTGTTGATTGTTTTCTTTGCTGTGCAGAAGCTTTTAAAACTTGATGTAATCCCATTTGTCCGTTTTTGCTTTGGTTGCCTGTGCTTGTGGAGTATTACTCAAGAAATTTTTGCCCAGACCAATGTCCTACAGAGTTTCCCGGATGTTTTCTTATAGTATTTTATAGTTTGATGTCTTAGATTTAAGTCTCTAATCCATTTTGATTTAATTTTTGTATATCGTGATTTGATTTTGATTTGATTTTTGTAGGGGTCTAGTGTCATTCTCCTGTACATAAAACCAGTTTTCCCAGCACCATTTATTGAAAAGACTGTGTTTTCACCAATTTATGTTCTTGGCACCTTCATAAAAAATGAGTTTACTGTAGATGTGTGGACTTGTTTCTGGTTTCTCTATTCTGTTCCATTGGTCTATGTGTCTGCTTTTATAACAGTACCATGCTGTTTTGGTTACTATTGCTCTGTGGTATAATTTGAAGTCAGGTAATGTAATTCCTTCAGTTTTGTTCTTTTTGCTTAGGATAGCTTTGGCTATTCTGGGTCTTGTGTTGTTCCATATAAATTTTAAGATTTTTTTCTACTTAGTGTTTTTATAGGAATTGCATTGAATGCGTAGGTTGCTTTGAGTAGTATAGATATTTTATTTTATTTTATTTATTATTTTTTTTAGACGGGGTCTTGCTCTGTAGCCCAGGCTGGATTGCAGTGGCACGATCTCGGCTCACTGCAAGCTCCGCCTCCTGGGTTCACGCCATTCTCCTGCCTCGGCCTCCCGAGTAGCTAGGACTACAGTTGCCTGCCACCATGCCCGGCTAATTTTTTGTATTTTTAGTAGAGACAGGGTTTCACCGTGTTAACCAGGATGGTCTCGATCTCCTGACCTCATGATCTGCCCACCTCAGCCTCCTGAAGTGCTGGGATTACAGGCGTGAGCCACCGCACCCGGCCAGTATAGACATTTTAACAATATTGATTCTTTAAATCAATGAACATGAAATACCTTTACATTTTTTTGGTATCCTCAATTTCTTTCATCAGTGTTTTATACTTTTCATTATAGAGATCTTTCACTTCTTTGGTTAAGTTAATTTCTAGGTATTTAATTTTATTTGTGGCTGTTAAAAATGGGATTACTCTCTTGATTTCTTTTTCAAATTGTTCACTGTTGGCATATAGAAATGCTATTGATTTTTGTGTGTTGCTTTTGATTGTGTCCTGCAACTTTACTGAATTTGTTTAACAGTTCTAATAGTTTTCTGGTTTATCTAAGCTGAATCTGCTTTAAAGGGGCTTAGATACAGCTTAGATCACAACACCCAAGTCCTTTCAAAGTCCACTATCTCTGGGCCCAGTTCAGCACTAGGATTCTCCCAGGAGTTGCTGCTGTTTTGGCTTAGACTGCCTTTCAAGTTTATTTAGAGACACAGAGCACTTTAACCTGTGGTTGCGAGACTAGCAGGAACTCAAGTTCTGACCACTGGGACTGCTGATTCCCCTCTGGCTAGGTCTGGCTTAAATGTTCCCTCCATTCAGCTGAGTTTGGTCTGTTTTTGTTTTCTGTTATAGGGCAGCACTGAGTTCAATGCCTAACAATTGCTGCAATCTTGCTCTCCATGACACACAGGAATGCTCTCCGAACCACACTGCCACTGCTGGGAGATGAGGGAGGGGTGGCTTTGGTGATTCAAGACTTTTTCCTACCTCTTCAGTGCCTCCTTTAGAAATATGAAGTTAAAACCAGGTGCTGTGTGTGCTCACCTGATTTTGGTTCTTATGAAGGTGCTTTTTTGGTGTGTAGATAGTTGTTAAATTCATGTCCTTGCAGATGAACCATCAGGAGAGGTTTATATTCCACCACCTTGTTCTTTCCCAAGTCCAGGTTGGCTTCTTTTTCTTACCACTTTGAAGATGTTGGTCTTGTCTCTTTTGGCCTCCATCATTTCTGATGTCAGTAATTGAGTCATTTTTCCTCCTCTGTGTGTAAAATGTTGTTATTTTCTGGCTGTTTTTTTGATTTTCTCATTATATTTGGTTTTCAGCAGTTTGACTATATTCCAAGACTTTGTTTTCTGTCCTCTTGGGATTTGCTGAGCCTCTGGAATCTTTAAATTTAGGGAAATTTAAACCATTACACATGCAATTTTTTTCTATCCCATTCTCCTCCTCCTCCTCTCCTTCTAGAACTCTAACTTCATGTACGTTACACCTTTGGATATTGTCCCACACATTCCTGAGGCTTTGTTCATTTTTTTTCTCGTGTGTTTTTCTCTTTGTTCTCTGTATATCTATAGGAACGCATGATTTTGAAAGTTTCATCTTAAGTTTACTGAAACTTCCCTCTTTTATTTCCATTCTGCTGTTAAGCCTATTCAGTGATTTTTTAAAGTTAGATATTGTATTTTCCAATTGTGTAATTTTCATTTTTTATGGTTTATATTTCTCTGCTGTGATTTTCTATCTTTTCATTTATTGTGAAAATACTTTCTTTTACTCCTTTGAGCATAATTCTACTAGTTGCCTTAAATTTATTGTCTGCTAATTCTAACATCTGAATCATCTTAGGTTTTCTCTTTGTTGATTGTATTATCTCTTGGAATGGATCACAATTTCCTAGTTCTTCATATATTGAGTAACCTTGGATTGTATTCTGAGTCTTCTGAATATTATATTATGGAGACTCTGGGTTCTGTGTCTGAAAAATACTGATTTTATTGTTTTAGCAGACAGTTAACTTGGTTAGACTGAAACTAAATTCTGTCTCTTGGTTGGTAGCTAAAATGTGAGTTCAGTGCTTTTATCTTTAGCTAAAGTCTGTCCCATGTATGTGTGGTTCAGGGGCCAACTGAGACTTGGATAGTTTGTATATACAGGAATTAGTGCTCCTTCTATCTTGCCCTCTCTCTCCTTTACAGGATTCTCCCCACAACTGTCCAGTGGCTCAGTTTGTCCCAAGCTCTGTTCTTTAGTTCTTCATATCAGAATGATTGTCAGTTTATTCTTAGTGTGCTAGCCACTTGGCAGCTTTGGCTTGCCCTCAGTCTAAAAGCTGTAAAAATAGGTTGCTCATGTTATGCCATACCTTTATTCAAATGTCAACTCCTTTTAAGAATATGTCTGCTTCTGTTCACTTTCCAGTCTCTTCATATCATTGTTTCTTTATATTTTGTTCAGTGTTTAAAATTGCTGTTTTCAGGAGGATTGCAATCAGTAGGAGTTTATTCAGTCATATCAGAAGCAGAAGCAATGATCCTGCTCAATTTTGATTTCACTCCTAGCAGCTTATCTTTAATGTGGTATTCTGTCCTAGAAAGGAATCTTGACAAGTCATTTTTGAGAGCTCATAGTGGCTAGATTCCTACAGCCTCTTTAGTCCTTCTTGCCGTAGGCCTTTTATACTCACTTAGTACTGGAGAGTGGACAACCTCCACCAGTTTCAGCTGCTATTCTCAATTGTTCCACTATGCTTTTCAGTGAATATTCATTAGCCGTTTTTCCTTGTGAACTCCTGTTCCACTAGGGTTTTGGCTGTCTTGGATTGTAATGTGTAACTATGGGGAGCCACTAAAACTTAAGCCTTGCCTAGTGCGCCTCCCAACCCAATAAGTTTGATGGTGGGGAGCTATGTTGCTGGGGAGAGAGCCTCTAGCATAACAAATGGTAACTCAGCCTTGGCATTGCTTTTTTTCAGAAGAATCCTCTGTAGTTGTAGTTCTCTAGTTTTCAGGGTGTCGAGATACAGGTAGAAGTGGGGAAAAAACTCTTAAAGGCTGGCCAATCCACATGCAGTTGATATCTAGTACCCATCATCTCAGCCAGCCCTGAGTTCACACCTAGTGGGTACTAGTCTACTGTTTAAATGTCTCCCGGTGGCAAAGCAGGGAAAAGAATGGTGTTCTCAGGGTAGTAAGTAGAGAAAATGGGCACATTAAAAAATTGTTTTCCTACCTTAACTCCTGTCCATTGTTCTTGGCCCTCTTCTTTTCTAGGCTGCCTTTTCCCTAATTTACCCTACTCAGATTCCTGACCTATCCACAGGCTCTTCTGTTTTTCCAGTGGTTTCCTCATCATTTTTTAGCTATTTGGTAGAAATATCCATCTCTGGATTATGTGACATGGCCAGGGTTTGGTTCTAGAGAGAGGACTAGTTGTAATTTTGCAATTTTGATAAGAACTGGCATAACTGCTTCTATCTATAAAAAAATGAAATTACCTAAAATTCTGTAGGTATGTATTTCAGGACATTTCAGGACATTGGAACTTAAAAAGGTGAGATTCCTGAACCCTAGAAGACCCTTGATAATTTAAAACAATGGTAACAATGAAGAATAATTAATTGATCATCAGCTTTGGATTCTTACCCAGTTAATGACATAGACATATTACCACCAGGGGTACAGATGTAAAATACATCTTTACAGACATAAGATCTAATGGCATAGGAGATAATTTTCATTTTTGTAAAATGTCTCATCGATAGGCTGCAAAATAATGAACGATTTTTTTCTGTGGCATTACTGACCAGACATTGGGCCAGGGTTGTAATATTTGTTATCTAATAAAACTAAAAATATCTGGTTAATTATTTTTTCCTTTGCTTATGGGCTTTGCTTATAGTCTGATGAAAGTAAGTTATACTTTATAGTTTCTAAGGAGATTAGGATGATAGAAAGTTTGAATGAAAAAAGCCATATCAAATTACTCTAGTTCTTAATTTTGCCAGAGCCATTAAAACCCAATTAGATACACACCAAATTCCTGTTTATTAGAAGCTGGCATAGTTGTGGGAGCACTTTTAACTACATGCGGTCTTTTGCAAAAAGGCATTGCGTCATTTTAATAACAAGCACGTTTTCCATGAATATACTCATTCACATCAACAAAACAGCTTCAGCCATTTACAATCCAGTGATTCGAACTGTTTAAGCAAATAAGTGTATGAGCCATTAGACAGCTTCTTTCCTTCTTACATCTTCTCTCTCATTAATACTCCATCCCCACCCCCATGCCTGTTGAAGCACTATTCATGTCCTCCAGGAGCAGCTCAAATAGTATCAAGCCCAATCATTCCTCCACAAGACAAAATTGATTGCTTCCTTTCTTATTCTTCTCCCTATCTCTAATGCCAAGTGCAGAACATGGCCTGTAGTAAATATGTTAAGTGAATGCAGTAAGAGTAAAACCAACTGTGAAATGGTACCATTTTGGGAGACTGGCCGTGAAGATGGTGCTTTCAGAAAGGCCTTTCTCCTCTACTGCCAAGACCCAAGCAAGCATGTTAAGACGGACTACTTACCCAAGACTGGCTATGGCTGTTTCTAATAGAAGCAGAGAAAACCAAGAGATATGGCATTTACCCACAAACACTGCTATTAACTTGCTTGTGCTTGGGGGAGTAGGGCAAGGTACTCCTGATTTGTGTGCTTGACCAGGGCATGCCACGGACATAGAGTCAGGCCTCTTTCATCAATCATATGCTTCTGTAGCCACCATTGTGCAATAGCATAGGAGTGGATAATCACCGTGTTTTGATGATTTTTCGAAGGTGGAATAAAGAGTGGTATTAGAATCTAAGGTGTTGATTGTCTTCTATAGGAAACATCCTCTCCTGTTCCATCAGAAACTCTTCAAAATTCGAAACCTTTTAAATTAGAAGTTATTGGAGATCCCTTTCTAGTTACATTGACAAATGAGTTATTTACCTCTGCCCTCTCCTTATTATGTATTTCATTTGAGGTAAACACAATGCTTATTTAACTTTTGCATCCTCAGATTAACTGCAAGTGGAACAACCTAATACATTTCCCCAACATTGGAGTTTGAATTCTTTTTTTTTTGGATATATATGATTTTATATTTTCTCAACATTAAACTCAAGGAAAGTCACTGTTTTATCTCTTTTATCTTACTCAGACCATGGTGGAAAATAAACTCATTAATTTTTGTTGTAAAGGAGAGGAGAAGCTGGTGCATGTCAATTAAGTGAAGTTTATTTAAAAGATCTTATACGTATAATTAATCTATCCTAAAATATGATCTTTCTCTATTGCATTGTGCCTTTGTGGACGTCAGTATTATCAAATAAAAATAAGTTCCAATTTAGTGTGTTAATAGGTGCACTTTAAATATATTTTAAAAATTTCTTTCCAAAGCAATTTAAAGTGTATATAAGGAAAACATAAATAACATATTTCACAACTTAAATGCTTTTTTATGCAAATTCTAATATCTGTTTCAGAAATCATTTCTATAAGAAAATGAAATCTTAAAAGCTGTGCAATACAAATGTGCATTTTATTTAAAAAAAAGGAAAACAGAGAAACCAATGAAAAGAAAGAGTGTTTAAGAGCTATTTCAGAGTAAAAACTTAATATATTAATTCTTTGAGAAGTAATTTTTGTTGGAAAGGAGGAGCTGGTGCATGTCAATTAAGTGGAATTTATTTAAAAGATCTCATAAATATTATTAATCTATCCTAAAACATTATCTTTCTGTACTGCATTGTGCCTTTGTGGAGTTTGAATTCTAAGGACAACATTTTTCATTCTCAAATGAAGCTGACTTCAAGAAAGAACAGCAGACCAAGCAGCAATGCTGGCCTCCTCTGTCTTGCAGAGCACTCTTATAATGAAAGGGCTTGTGGAATTTGGCTCCATTTCCTACAGCCATGGGATAAGGGTTGCATGTAAACAATAATATCCTGTGCTGTTTGGGCCTCATTTAACTGTCTTTATTACTTTAGAAGGAACTGCCAAGTGGTGCTGTTTCTCATAGCTCATGCTTTACATACCAGCGGTATTGTAGGGTCTGCTTCAAAGATGGCACTCCACACCACGAAGCTTGTGGCTGTTGGCACACTTGGTTGTCACCAGGCTTCATGTTGACACATTCCTTCAAGTCACACCAAAGGTGCACTTTCCATGAAGAATGAATCTGGTACACTGAAGGTGGGCCTGTTATTGCAGAAGGCCTTTGCAGTTACCATTTGGGTGTTTTCCTAGAAAGCTATAGCAGCTCTGCACCTAGAATGACTGTGTTTGCTGAATTACAAACAGAGAGGTGATTTTTGCAAAGTAAGCTGTTACATTATTGACAGAGCACTAAGCTGGAGTCAGGAGATCTATGCTGTACTCCCCAGCTGACTAGCTCTTTAGCTCTAGGGGAAACATCCTTGATTTCCCTGGCTTGTTTTCTAACCTTGAAATGATGAGATTATGCTAGATAATCTCTAAATTCCTCTCTGGCCTAAATTTGATCAGGCAAATTAAAACAGTAAACAACAAACAGTGAGTCAAGAAACAGAAGTTCCCAATCCAAGCTCTGCTGCTCAGTAATTGTGACTTGAGACAAGTCATTTAACCATTCAGACTCAGGTCTCCATTGCTGGGGAGACCAAAGTCTTCTCTACCTGCCCCACCTGGTGGTTGTGCCTGTTGAATAGGGAAACATCTTTTTCACTCAACACATACTGAACAATTGCTCTGTGGCACCAGCTTGATAGATAGCGAAGAAGCACAGGTTATTAGATTATCTGTTACTACTACTAATATTAACTACAGTTTAGTGATCACTTTCTATTTCCAGGAATGTACATACAATATTACATTTAGTCTTCATTTTATGGAGGAGGAAATTTGAGGTTCAGAGAGGTTTAATAATTTGTTCAGACTCATGTAGCTCTGCAGAGCTGGAGCTGAGATTTGAACCAGCATTCTTCTGTTCTTTATTTTAATGGTTACAAAATATCTCACCTCTGACAAGGAGCTTGTGTTACTATCATTATTTTTCTGGGCCATAGTGTCTGAATCCCAAGATCTAAAATCTGTTGGGGGGCAGGCAGATGAGGGGACTGATCTGGCTTGGGCTGAAGGAGAGATTCTCTTTACAGACACAGGCTGAGGCAGCACAGCCAGGGTAGTAAAAATACCTGAGGGACAGCCCTCAGGTATTTTTCAAGCCTTTCTCTGGCTTGTAGACTTATTTTCAAGTCTACAAGCCAGAGGAAGTCCAAGTGGATTGCCCAAACTGAGGAACCAAAATCAGCAGTCACTGAGATGACTGGTCAGGTGAGTGCGGAATAAAGCAAGCACTGTGAGTCACAGGAAGGTGAGAGTGCTTTGGTACAGTTTCCAAGGCTTGGCATTGTTTGCAACGAGTTTTGAGTGAAGCTCATGGTATGGTATGTGGTTAGAGCAACCCCTCTAAAAAGCCATGCAGAGGGCAGAAAAAGCCCTCAGTTTTCTCACCAGTAGAAGAAAGGCTCATTGGCTAAATGAGCTCTGAGTGCATCCCTTAGTCAAACATTCTCTTAGCCAGCAGATATGCAGAGCTGGGCTACACCAGGGTTCTGAGCAATAAACAAGTGCTCTTGGTAGGCCATTTTTTCTCTCTTTGGAACGTGACGCTGAGTTTCTGAGATGCTGGGATTCGCTTTTGGTGTGTCAGGAGCTGCACTGGCAGGTCCCCATCCCCCACAAAGCAACCCCTGTTCTGTTGGCCAACACTTCCCAGGGCAGCCCTCCCATCAAGGGAAGTGGGCTTTCTAGCCTTTGGGAGGTTGTACAACTGCACCTAGTTGCCATAGACACAGCCAAGCTTTTTGTATGTCTGCTTCACTCCTCCAAGACTGCTGCTTCTCAGACCATACTGATGATGCTTTCTCCTACTTCCTAGCCTAAAAGAGAATGGTTTGCTTACTTGGTCTTTGGTTTAGAAGTGGCTGTTTGTCCTAACATTGGACTCGTGCACCTGAAATCATGGCCTCAATGGCAGAAGCAGGCCAGTCAGGGAGGAGAGAGGGCTGACCCCTGGTATTGGATATGGCCACTAACCAGGACCCAGGCTTGGGAAAGTGGCATTGTTACAGGCAAAGGCAGACAAGAAGGTGAGAAGAATACTCTCCACGCAGACCTAGGTGCCTCGGTGATATTCTAGAAAATGGTCAGTGCTGAGGAATACAGCATAACCAACATAATAACAATAATTACAATAGCACAAGAAGACACTTGTATGGACACTGGTAAGTATTTAGCATACACTAATTCTTTTGGTCCTCACAACAATCCTGTGAGGCAGCAATATTATCTCCTCACTTTACATAGGAGGTAACTAAGGCACAGAGGAGTTAAATAACCTATTCAAAATCACACAGCTTAGGGAGTATGTGGGTATTACTTGGCTCTTCTGCCAGTTGGGCAATCATCATCTGCAAGACCTCTAACCAGTGGCCACACCCTAGCCACTGAGTCAAGGTGCCAGTTCCAGAGAGAAAGGTGGGCAAAAACAAGGCAGGGAGAGTGACTCATCTATCCAGCATTAGTCTAGTATTGAGGACCATCCTCTGTGCCAGGTGTTGAAGGAAGATTTAAGTAAGATGATATCTCATTTAGGCTAGCGTTTAGTTTTCAAGGAGGGTAGGAAGGTAGGCAGGACAACTCTAGGACTTAAGAGTGGGAGTTAAGGCAGAAGACCAGCTGTTAAGCATGGGTCAGTGTAAGAGGTAGGCTTGGGAAGAGTTCTAATCTGGGAGCATTACAGATCTTTCAGGCAGCTGTTCTAGGGGGTCCCAGACAGGGGAGAGCACCCTAATTCTAATGCTCCAGCCCAGGGCTGAAGCCAGGCATTGACTTCATGCCTGTGAATTGGCTGGTCAGGGAACTGGAGTGAGCCTTAGCCTCTAGGTGGAAGCTCCAACTGTAGGGATCTGAGTAGGAAAAGGGAATTGAATTGGGGGCTGATGGGAAAAAATCTAAGAATAACACCCCAGCTCCTGTGGAACCTGATTTTCCTTCTCCTATCCCTTTGGCAGCATAGGTGCCAGATGTGGTGGAAAGGGAAATGAATTTGGAGCCAAGAGATATGGGCTCCATATGTTAGTAGAAACTATGATGTTTGAACATCCTTGTTGGGATAGCTGAAATTCTTAGTAGAAATTGCAGAAGACCAGAGGACATCTGGGAAATATACATGGATTGAAGTGGAGAAAAATAATCTTTTGGGGAAAATCTCCATGACCAAAAACCATCTTATTGTTGTTTTTGTCTTTTAATTGTTTTCACTAAGGGGGCATAATAATCAAGTCATGTATGTAAAAGGCTTTCTAAGCTGTATGGCAGAAGCCCTGTGCATGACCTTGTCAGCATCTTCATTGTTACAGATTGGAGATTGGCAACCTCAGGAGTTCACAGGAGGAGACTGGAACTTTGCTTCTTCCCACCCAAGCCCCTTTTCTCTGTAATGGGAAAGTATCATTTGGAGCTGATTCACACTTCTTTGCTGTGCTCACTTGTCTCCTCTAGAGCCATCAGCAGGGGCCACTGCTACCTGCAGGCAGGGCTTGCATAGGTGCATGAAGAGGAGAGCAGAGCCCCTTGCCCTTGGCTGGCAAGCTTAGCTAAGAAAATTGGGAAGTTAAGTATCTGTCATAGGATATTACGAGGGTAACCTGACAGCCTGGAAAGCACTTAGTGAAGCACCTGGCCCACATCAGCATTTGGTAAATGTTGGCCTTCGCTATTCTCCTTTTCCCCTCCTCCTCTCCATCATCCCTCTCATTCTCCTTTCCCACCTCACCCCACCATCCCGCATTTTCAGAGGGCTTTCTCAAACCTCAGGCTAATGGCTTGATGGACTCAGGACCAAGCTGACCTGGCTCCGACCTAGTGGCCCAGTTTGGGTAACTAGATTTTGGGCCCTGGACCCTTGCATTCCCAGCATGAGCACTCTGGGGTTGAGATATTGCCTGGCCTTTGGCGCTTCCCCTTCCAGCCCCTGTGACTTACGCCCTTCCCTCTACTCTCAGAGCTCCCTGATGCCAGTCTCTAGCTATCCCAACACATTTGTTGGATATGACTTCTCCTTTGGTAATAGTGGCCCACACAGCAGAGATTCCCACTTGGGTGTGGAGTCTTTTTGTCCTCACCTGCCATCCTACACAGTGACTCTATACAATGACCTCTAATTAACCAAGTATTTATCTCAGAACCTTCCCAGCAACCCTATGTAGTTGCACAGTTCATTCATTTATCCATTTATTCATTCAACAAACACTCATTGAGCACCTACTGTGTGCCCTGGGAGGTGCAACCAGGGTGGCACAGTGGAAAGAGCATGGGAAGTCTTGGAAGAGGCCTTCAGGCAGTATGGCAGAGTGGGTAAAGCCTGAACTCCTGAGTCTCACAAACCCACACTTGAACCCTGGCTCTACCACTCACAGCTATATGGCCTTGAGCAAATCACCTCATCTCCCCATGCCTCAATCTCCTCATATGTAAAATGGGCATATGAATATCCCTTACCTCACAGGACTTACTCATAAGCCTCATTTCCTACTCTGTGCTGTCATATAATTTGTATGTTCCTTTTATTTCTACATCGTATCATAACATGTTATAATTCTATCTGCCTTCCAAGCTATATTCTGAGCTCCCAGCAGGCACAACTACTTGTTTATGTTTGTATCTCTAGTGCCTCCCATAGTGTCTGCTCCAGAATATACATTCAATAAGTCGTTGCTGAAGTGTTAACACTATGCTGTAATTATTTTTCCAGGCCTGTCTTCCTCATTAAGCTGTGAGCTTCTGGAGGGACGATATTTCATTTGTCTCAATATCTGCAGAACATAGCAGGGGTTTGGCTTGGAGTAGACACTCAGTGAATGTTGGTTAAATGAATGACTGGGGAGTGGGGGATTGAGGGAAGGAATGAATGAAGGAACAGATGGAAGCTGATGATTAAGACAGTGTCTTACAGGCTCACTGTTAGTGAGGTCACCATCAGCTTCAAATTAATTTGGATATATGGTAGGAATTTGGGGTAAGAGATAGTTGCATTTTCTGAGGCCTTATCCTCCTTAACCTTGTAGAATTTAACACTGTTGACCACTCTTTCCTTGGCATTATTTCCCTCTTTGGCCTCTGTAAGACAAAACTATTTTGGGTTTCCTTGTGTTTTTCTGACTCTTTTTTTTTTTTTTTTAAGACGGGGTCTCACTCCTCTCATCCAGGTTGTAGTGCAGTGGCACGATCACAGCTCACTACAGCCTTAACTTGCTGGGCTCAGGTGATTCTCCCACCTCAACCTCCTGATTAGCTGGAACTACAAGCATGTGCCACCATGTCTGGCTAATTTTTGTATTTTTTATAGAGACGGGGTTTCAGCCACGGTGCCCAGGCTGATCTCGAACTCCTGGGCTTAAGTAATCCACCCATGTCAGCCTCTGAAAGTGCTGGGAATACAGGCATGAACCACTGCACCCAGCCAAGTCTTTTTTTTCCTCCTGCTTCCTCACCATTACCTCTTCCATTTCCTCCCTACCACCGCTAGCACCCCAGTGTGATATAAATATTCTCTAGGGCTTGGACCTGGCCCTGCCCTCTCCTTTTCTGGTGAAAATTAATCTAATCCCAAGGCTTTGCTCTTTAGAGGCATCTGTATAGATGACTCCCAAATCTCTCTCCAGTTCTGACATTTCTTCTGAGCTCCAAGTCTGAGTCTTCAGCCTCCTGCTGCATATTTAAACCTGGTCCTTTGGCTGACTTCCCAAACTTCATGTCTCAAAATCCTCATCTTTTTTTCCCCAAACTGACTTCTCTTCCCATCTTCTCTCTTTTTATTAGCAGTAATACCTTTCAGTTTTTCAGTTCTTCTATCTTCTCATATAGCGATAATGCCTATATATATTTTCCTTATACAATTCACAAGGAATATATATATGAATTATTATATATAATGAATTATTAATTGTGATAATGGCAGAGTCATTTTATATATATATCACAACTAGTAGTACTAGTTGTGATATATATTATTGATGTGATAATGGCAGAGTAGTTATATATATTATATATAGTTATATATATAGTTATATATTATAACTATAATATATATTATAACTATATAATATATTATAACTAGTTATATAATATAATATATATAACTAGTTATAATATATTATATAACTAGTTATATATAATATAATATATATAATATATAGTTACATATTATAACTATAGTTATATATAATAACTTTTAAGTTAAATCTTTTAAGTTGGCTTCTGTTTCCTTTTGTCATGATAGCTTCCTTGATTTTTGGTTATATAGGATGTTTCAGGCTCATCTTATACAATTCCAAACCCAAACTGGGGGTCAACCATTTATCCAAAGAGCTCTAACTCCCCTTAATGGGAAATGATATTTAGAGAGCACAGTCTGAGAGCTGGGTTTCCTCATAGCTACTAGATTGTCATGTATTTTCTTTTTAGTGAAAGAGCTGGGAGATACATATTTTTTAAACAATAGAAGTGATGAGTTTATACTGATATTTCAAAGTCAAATTTAAGAGGATAGGGTTTTTACTTATCTTTTATGTTTGTAACTGTATCTCTTCTCTCTTACTCTAAAAGTCTTGGTTCCTAATGACATCAACAAAATTACTTGCTTTACCCTACCTGATATTTGTAACAATTTTAAAATAACAATTCAAGTGTTACTACTAAGACTATGGAATGCAGTTTAAGATTGCTTTGCTATTTTGTTGTTCTTAAAGTAAAGTCCTGTTAGGGAGGTAGTCAAAGTATTATATTTTAATGTCGGTTGAACTAATTTCTTTCCCTGTGGAGTTATGTTTCCAACTTGATACGCAGTTTAATTCCTTTGCTTCATTTTTTCCCTCAGTTTTAGGGATTGTTTTCCTTTCTCTTTTGGATTTATCTTTACATTGATTATACGTTCCAAAGTTGGAATCATGTAAGAGAAGATATTCTTGAAGTCTTGTTTCCATTCTGCTCACCATTCTTTTTCCTTCTTCCCTTTTTAGCAATCATTTTTATTAGGTTTTGTTTTATAGATCTATTATGTGTTTGAATATTAAACAAATGAGAGTTAGTAGTTGTATTCCACCCATATTTCTTACACAAAATGTATCATGTGCTATAAACACTGCCCTGCTTCTTTGTTTTTTCCACTTAACAACATGTCCTACAGATTATCATATGTCATCGTATGGAGCTCTTCCTCATTCCTTTTTTATAACTGCATCCTATGCCAGCCTGAAGAGAAATCATAGCTTGTTCAACCAGGGAGTCCCTGTTGACAGATATTTGGGTTGGTTCTAATCTTTTGCTATTACAAAGAATGCTACCATCAGTAATTGAGGTGCCTGTCTCCTGGTTCTCCTGGCTCCAAGCCTGCTTTGCCTTCTGCCTCCTTTTGCACACGTGATCACTTCAGAACCCAGCAGTTCTTCCTTTGTCCTCTTCTCTGTTTCTGCTTTTCCATCCGTGCTGCACTCAACCAATTTCACATGTGTTGTCTTTGCCTGAATCATAGCAGTAGCAGTGAAATCCCTGCTTATCTTTCTCCCCAATCCCAGTATGTGCTGAATACCATGGCCATATTCATCTCCTGAAATATTATTTTCACTATGATCTCTTCTCACCCTACTCAAAAATCTTCAATAATAACATACAATCCAAGTTCCTTAATTTGGAATAGAAGGGCCTCCATGAACTAATCCAAATCTCCTTTCCCAATACTTATTCCCTCTGCTTTGGTCTGTAGATACATTACTCAGCATATGTGATTTCCCAAAATTCATGTTAATTATTGCCTTTATACCTTACCTGTTCTTTAAACCTCCAATTAAATTCTAGAGCCTCATATACTCTTCCAGAATCCCAGGCATTCTCCCCTGAACTCTTACTCTGTGTGATATCAGTTTCAAACTCAGCAAAGACTTAGCCCCTAGGCAAATGGAAAATCTTATTGAATCTATCTGTTCACTACTGTGAGATCTAAGAAATCTATTGATACATTCATCAAGTATTAGATGAACACCACAACAGCATCCAAAGGTGAGGCAAGTGGGCCCTTTGATTGCTTAGGGCTCCTTCTGGTAGTGAGCAAGAAGTATGTGGGCATCTGTCTGCCTGGACGCACAGATAGGAAGATATTCCAGGGTGGCAATACTTGACTGAGAGACATAGTAGTAGACTGTGTGTCTCTTACAAAGGATAATTTCTTTCCAGTTCAAGAAGAATAAATTGGACCCTTGTCTGGGGAAAGGGGCTCATCCACTGGGCCGGAGTCACAAGGTCCCCAATCCTGGGAGTTTCTACCTTTCGCCCATCAAGACAAAATGTGGCAGTATGTTCTGTGAGGGCTTGAAACTCATGTAAACCTGACATTGTCCTGGCCACCAGCCATGTGCATGGTGGTTGGCAAATCACACATTACTGAACACTGCATTTTATACTGCTTTCTTTGTGCACTTTTGTTGTTTGGACTGTATTAGCCTTAGTTTCTTACAATTCCTTTTTAAATTTCACCATCTGGGGCTAGAACTATTTTTGGTTTATTTATTTACAATTTAACCTCCTCCTCCCTTTATTTCCAAAAGGATTTGCAGAAACTTACCAGTTTAAGTATCATGTAAAGTAAGACATAGAGAAGAGTTGCATGTTTCAAGAAGGAGTAGATATTACCAGATACCTCATGATCAGAACACTATGCATGTTGAGCACTGACTTTAACTGAATTTTTTGCAGTCAAGGGTGAGGGTTACAGTGGCATAAATAACTTGAGAACCAGAAGAGGGCTATATTCCTCTTTAAATGTCAACTTCTTCCTGACACAAAACTCAAATAGGGATTTGTCACAGGAATATTGAATAAACACATTAGGTAACATAGTGATTCATGTCTTTAATTTTTACAAACAACACAGAAATACCAGTCAAATCAACACTGCTTATGTGAACTGAAGTAGGATTTTGTTTTCATTCTTGTTATTGTGTATATCCACAGCTAATTGAAGGGTAAGCTGACACAACCACTTTCGAAAGCTGTTTAGCAGTATCTACTAAAGCTAAGCAAATACCTACCCTATGACCCAGAAATTTCACTGCCTGTGTTCAGCAAAAGACATATGCAAGAATGTCCATTAGAGCATTAATTTAGTACTGGTCAATTAATGAAAATAACCAAAATGTTCATCAACAGTAAATATATAAATAAATTGCAATACATTTACACAATAGACTACGCTACAGTAATGAAAATGAACAAAGTATACCTACATGCAAGAATGTGAAAGGCTCTGCAAACATACTGATTGAAATAAGTCAGACCCTAAATAATACATACTGTCTGATTCAATTTCTATAAAGATTTTAAAAAAACAGATTAAACTAAACTGTGGTATTAGAAATCAGGATAGTAGTTAATTTCCAAGGGGAAAGAAAGGAGAATTATAGGTGCATGATGGGGCTTTTGGAGACTGGCAATGTTCTGTTTTGGGTCTGGGTAGTGGTTACTTGTGTGTATTCACTTTATGCTAACTCATTGAACTGTACAGATATGGACTGTGCCCCTTTCTATATGTGTGTAATGCTTCAACAAAAGTGTCAATAGTGATGCATGCACATGTTAAAATTTCAAACTATATTAAAGAGTGTGCAATTAAAAGGAAGTTATCCTCTCACTCTAAAGTCCTATTTCCTCTCTTCAGTCTATCATTACTACTAGTTTCTAGTATATTCTTTTAGAAATGTGCTGTAAAAGAACAATGATGTGTATGTCTCTACAGGTATATATTTATTCTTTTTGTAATTTACAAAAATATAAACTCACTACATATGTTATTCTACCACATGCTTTTTTTCATGTAACAGTATGTCTTAGACATCTTTTCCTATTATTGCGTGGAAGCTATCAACCTTATTCTTTGTAATGACTCCATAAATTATTCTACTGTGAAAACACACCATGTTTAACCAGTTCTCTGTTAGTGAACATTTAGGATTTTTCCAGTTTTTAAATATTACAGTGACATATTAAACATTAAACATATCTTTTGACACATGTCCTTGCACACATGTATAGGTATGATGGACTTTAACACCCTTTGGCTAGATTCTTTAGCACATAACGTAAATATCCCATAGAGTCAAAACCACCCTTAAAACTTCCTCAGGAGGCTGGGTGTGGTGGCTCACGCCCGTAATCCCAGCACTTTAGGAGGCCGAGGTGGGCGGATCACGAGGTCAGGAGATCGAGACCATCCTGGCCAACATGGTGAAACCCTGTCTCTACTAAAAATACAAAAAAACAAAAACAAAAACAAAAAAACAAAACAAAAAAAAACTAGCCGGGCGTGGTGGTGGGCACCTCTAGTCCCAGCTACTCGGGAGGCTGAGGCAGGAGAATGGTGTGAACCCAGGAGGCGGAGCTTGCAGTGAGCCGAGGTCACGCCACTGCACTCTAGCCTGGGCGACAGAGCAAGACTCCGTCTCAAACAAACAAACAAAACAAAAACAAACAAAAAAACTTCCTCAGGAAGGCTGACATGCCATATCTTCATTATTCCAGCAGAGCCTATTTGCCCCCAATATTGGAGTAGATCACTGAGTCATTGGCTAAGCACCAGATGAAGAGGTTAGCTTGTGGTTATGAGCTATGTTGAATGAAATATGTGTGTCTTTAAACACCACAATCACTGTGAGATGCTCACTGTATGAGAGACACACAGGGACTGAACCTTACCGATGGAGTAGAAGAACCACAGCTTTTACCTTATGTTCTCTCTAGGGCACAGCAGGATCATTGAGCGGAATGGTGGGCACAACCTGCTACGCCATTTCAATTGTTGTCTTGTCTTTCCCTCAACTCTCTCCTCTCTCTAACTTTCTGTCTCTGTCTCCCTGCCTCTCTCCTCTGTATACCGAGTGTATATATTTGAATTTACATAACTCACATATGCATATGGTATGGTTCCACTCTGTATCCACAGGATCAATTCCAAGAAGAGGAATTTTGGCATATATATGCATGCATGTATCGTCAAATCATGTACGTGTGTGTTGTATAGATACATCTTTTTAATTATGAAAAATTTCAAATATATACAAAAGCAGATAGAACTATATGAGTCCCCTATACCCATCATCCAGCCTCAACAATGATCAACACCCAGCCACTCTTGTTTCATCTGTACCCACATCTGCTTTACCTCTTTTTGTAATCTCATGAAGCCATTCACAGACATCATAACACTTGATCTGTAAATAATTCAGTATGTATTTCTAAAGGATTAAGATTCTTTTAAAAACATATCCACAATACAAAAATTACATCTAAAAATGAACAAAACTGTGTTAAAATCTACAAATATCCCGTCAATGTTAAAGTTTCCAACTCTCTTACAGTTGTCATAAATGGATATTCATTTGTTTGAATAAAACTCCAAATATGGGCTAGATACTATAATTGATATGGCCTTTAAGTTTCTTTTAATCTACAGGTTCCCCTCCTTCTTTCTTTTTGCCATTTATTTTTTGAAGAAAATGAGTACTTTTACATGTAGCATTTCCTATACTGGATTTTACTTATTGCATTTTTGTTGTTAAGTTTAACATTCTCTGCAGTCTTCTGTGTTTTCTCTGAATTAATAGTTGGTTTTAGAGGCTTAAGTTTCTTTGCTTTTTGTTTTGTTTTTGGTCGACTATTTCATATACAGTTTGTGCTCTACATTTAGAGGCACGCACTATCTGGTTGTCTCTGTTTTTGTGATGCTAGCAGCCACTGACAATTAAACCTAGATTCATTCATTCATTAAGGGTTGCAAAAATGGTGATGTTCTTATTTTGTTATTCCTTCTTTATTTGTTAGCTGGAATATTTCTGTACATCTCCTACTTGGTTATCCAGTGGTACAGTTTATATAAGAAGGCAGGATAAATGCCTAATTCCAAATAATGAGCTAGCTCACTATCCACTAATATAATCAATGAGTGATTATTTTCAAAATATAATAATGAATTCATGGATTTAAACATATTTTATGTGTTTTGATTGATTGTTCTTATATTGAGGCTCACATTGGCCCCTCTTTGGCCATAGGGAACCTCTTTAAATTGGCCCCTGAGTCCTTTTTACATGAATCTTGTGGTTTTTGAAAGCTTCCTTGCTAGGCATGATAAGATATTCTGGGATCATTATGTAAATTTCCTGCCCCAGATCTGAAGACCTATATTTTTAGATACCAACATGGTATAGTGAAAAGATCACAGTCTTTGGAGTCAGAGAAACTGGGATTGAATCCTGGCCCTATCTCATGCTGCCTGTATGACCATGGTAAAACTACTTAATATCTACCCACTTTAAGTTTCTTCATTTTTATACAAAGCAGGAGGTACTCAGAAATTCAGGTTCCCTCTCCATTTCCTGATCTCTTCTTACTCAGATGACAACATCACATCTATTATTACTTAGGCTTCTGTGCTTACAGCATGGAATGTTCTCTTTCACATATGGTAGACACTCAATTCATACTTACAAATTGACCTTGAGGATAGATGCCATCAAATAGATGATGCCAACACGTGTTGAGCTCTGTGAAAGTAGGCACTGTCTCAATGCAGCTGTTTTTTTTTAATTTCTCCTTTATTTTCAAACTACCCATTACGAATATTAGTAAATAGAATCCTTATCATCTCTATCCCCTCCCCAGAATTGAGGTGGGATGATGATGCCAGCTTTCAGTTGTGTTAAAGGAGGAAATAAAAGAAGCATGAATAATTCAAAAGGATAATCCAAGGCAATGAGTCACCCCAAAGTCACTCGTTTCAGTTTGAAAGACATTATTTGATATATATAGCAGATTTCCCTTCTTAAATTAGCTTTACTTACACTACTATTAAAATGGCTTTTCATTCCTCGAGGTCACGGAAGCTAGAGAGGGTAATAAATCCAAAATGTGCTGAACAAGCCACAGAAGCCAACTCAGGATGAAGTGTTTACACTGGATATTCTGCCCTGACACTCAAGTGTTGCTATGATGCTGTCCTCAACTTAGGATCAGAATTACGAAATTGCCAGGCGACCTCAACGTTCCAGCCCTGGCAGCCAGGGGAGCAGCAGCTGTTGCAAAGAGCACAGCCTTTTGACAGCTAACTGAAAGATACTAAGTTAAGGTGGAAAGAGAGATGAGAAAAAGAGTCACCTTAATTAAGCAGTATGCTGTGATGCTAAGCTGATGCCATAGATTTTGGGGGAGCTCACTGGAGAATTCTTTTGCCTTGTGGCTACTTTCCTCAAAGTATCCAGTGAACTACATGACAGTATTCACTCAGAAGGCACTGACTAGGGAAAGCTGTTTGACCACCTCCTACAGGGCCTGTTTTTGAAGCTGTTGGTTTTGTGGTGGAATGGAGGCAGCTGGCTGAGGTGACTAGAAAGCCACTGAGTTTCCTGAAAGCTAAATTTTGGGGCTATTTCCTCTCTTGGGCTGGCTACCCAGGATCCCTTTTCCCATAAGCTCCAAGAGTAGATTCCTAACACAAGGGCTTACTCTGTGCCAGAACTTTGAGGGGCTCTTTCCATGCATTCTCTCATTGAATCCTCATATCCAGAATGGCAAGGTGCGTGTTAGATATCCATTTGTTAGACAAGAAATTGAAGGTTCAGAGAAACTCAATGACATGTCCCCCTGCCCACCCCAGACAGGATCACACATCCAGCAGATAGAAGAATTACAATTTCAACATGAGTATCTGACCCCAAAATGGGTGTTCTCTCAAGGATGCTGTGCTGCCTTCCTTCAGCTTAGCTCCTCTCTCCTCACAGGTCTCACAGGCACTTGTCTCCCTCCTTTGCTCCGGCTACTCTCCTCCTAGGTTTCACTTCCTGATTGTCCATACTTTCATTTTCGGGGACTTCATTGCCAATCAGCGCCTAATGGGCAGGGAGGGAAGAGCACACATACCAAATAGGGGAAGGTGACCAAGATTGTGAAGGCCTTGCACCATTTTCTTCCCATTTGCTCTCTGTTCATTCTCTTCTTATCGCTGGATCTGAAAGTCTCCTAGCTCTGAAGTTAAAATTCTAGATCGGTGTTCTGCCAAGGACAAATGTATTTAAGGCCTGGTCAATTAGGTCAACTATTAGAAGCAGACCTATCCCAGGAAACCTGTTATTCCTGGTTAATATAACTTTGATTCCTTGCTAACTCCTTTCCTGCCCTCTTGTCATTTACTCTGGTGGCCCTCCAAGGAACAGTGAAGTGACCCCGGGACTCATGGGTATAGTATGGTTGGGGCTGCTAGCTGGACCCTGGACAGACTGCACCTGCATTGCTCTTACTAGCTTAGCCACACACCTCAGGATTCATGATGGAACAAAAAATGTGTCTCCAAACGATATGTCTCCCTGTAAGGTTGTGGTCAAATGGAGAAGGAAAGAAAACTTGTGTATGAACTATTTAACCTGAGAAGCAACAAGCTAATCAGACCCATGGAAACATTATGTCAACATCAAGAAACTGTCAGGAGTAGATATTATTTAAGCACATGCTCATTATATTTAGCATTTGTATTGTCTGTTTTACTTTGTGGGTAAGCATTACAGATATATGAGAAAAATGAGAGGAAGTTTTCATTTCCTACTGAAGTTTTACTTCGTCTCAAAAGATTGTTTTCATCACAGGGCACCTTAAAAATGGGTAATAACCATTATTAAATAGAATAAATTTTTTGAAAGAAGAAAAGAGTTCAACTCAGAAACATTTTCTTTGGAAATATCATTAAACATTATATTTTTAAAATATTCATTCTCCTCCTTTCACGCTGCTTGTTCATGCCTGCTTTCTGTCGATACTAAACAGTTATAATAAATCATACTCTCCTAACAGAATTATTATTATTCTGTCATTTTTTCTAAGTATTTTAGATCACAACACTTTGCCCCTGTGTGTGTGCGTGCATGTGCATTAGCATAATGACCAACTATTTTGAAATTAGATTTAATTCATTGTCTTTGAAACCTGAAAGCTCTGCAGCTCTGGATGTTTCTATAGAAAACCTCCTCCCCTCCTTACGAGAAGGGCAAAATGAAATGTCAGAGAGATGACTATTCATCTTTCCATTTATGGGCTTATTGTCTTTGACATTCTTTATACTACTTCATCAACCTCTGCTTAGGCCAACCTAACACAAAGGACAAAGAGACCATATTGCTATCTCTACTGTTTCTTTATTTTAGAAGATCTCACCATTATAACCTCCTCTCCATTACTATTGTCCAGCTGGGAACATGCACATATTTTCTATTAACTGTACTACATGAGATACATTTTAGGTGACTGTCACTGAGCTACCAAAGATTGCCCCGTTTTCTCTTTTTTGATATGGTGTCTCACTGTGTTACTCAGGCTGGTGTCAAACTCCTGGGCTAAAGTGGTCCTCCCGCCTCCGCCTTCTGAGTAGCTGGGATTACAGGCAGGTACCACCGAGTCCAGCTCAGAACTCTTTTTTTTCACTAGTAAAGATCTAGAGCGGGGATCAGCAAACTTTGGCCCACAGGTGAAATCCACTGCCTGTTTTTGTACGGTTTTATTGGCACACAATAAACATCCATTTGTTTACATATTTCTATGAATGTTTTTGTGCTGTGACAGCAGAATTGAATAGATGTCACTACTTGGCTTTTGTGTTTGCTTTCGTGCTACGACAGCAGAGTTGAGTAGTCACTACATTGGATAGAGAGAACGTATGTCTCCCAAACACTAAAATATTTACTATCTGGCTCTTTACAGAAAATGTTTGCCCACCCCTGCTGTAGAGAACAGATGTCCAGCATAACGTACCCAAAACATCTCAGAATGGGTTTGCAGGTGTTTTAGAGGTGAAGGTGAAAGACCATCAGGAAGATATAGCAAGAGCTTCCCCCTGGGAGGCAGAAAAGGGATTCCAGTCCCTTCTCTACCACTATTTGCATCGATCTGGGCAGATCCTGTTTCCTCCCTAGCCCAAGTTTGCTCAAAAGGTCAACTGAAAGAATTGAATGAGATAATCTACAGGGGCGCTTCCAACTTGGAGATTCTGTGATTCCAATGTTTAGTCTAATGAGATTTGTTACAATCACAGATGTATACCTACAGTTGAAACTACAAGATCCTCAAATTTTTTTTTATTATACTTTAAGTTTTAGGGTACATGTGCACAACGTGCAGGTTTGTTACATATGTATACATGTGCCATGTTGGTGAGCTGCACCCATTAACTCATCATTTAACATTAGGTATATCTCCTAATGCTATCCCTCCCCTGTCCCCCCACCCCACAACAGTCCCCAGAGCGTGATGTTCCCCTTCCTGTGTCCATGTGTTCTCATTGTTCAATTCCCACCTATGAGTGAGAACATGTGGTGTTTGGTTTTTTTGTCCTTGCCATAGTTTGCTGAAAATGATGGTTTCCAGCTTCATCCATGTCCCTACAAAGGACATGAACTCATCCTTTTTATGGCTGCATAGTATTCCATGGTGTATATGTGCCACATTTTCTTAATCCAGTCTATCATTGTTGGACATTTGGGTTGGTTCCAAGTCTTTGCTATTGTGAATAGTGCCGCAATAAACATACGTGTGCGTGT
Source organism: Homo sapiens (assembly GCF_000001405.40). NCBI lineage: Eukaryota > Metazoa > Chordata > Mammalia > Primates > Hominidae > Homo > Homo sapiens. The sequence continues at coordinate 150,066,594 of NC_000023.11, forward strand.
GTCTTTATAGCAGCATGATTTATAATCCATTGGGTATATACCCAGTAATGGGATGGCTGGGCCAAATGGTATTTCTACTTCTAGATCCTTGAGGAATCGCCACACTGACTTCCACAATGGTTGAACTAGTTTACAGTCCCACCAACAGTGTAAAAGTGTTGCTGTTTCTCCACATCCTCTCCAGCACCTGTTGTTTCCTGACTTTTTAATGATCGCCATTCTAACTGGTGTGAGATGGTATCTCATTGTGGTTTTGGTTTGCATTTCTCTGATGGCCAGTGATGATGAGCATTTTTTCATGTGTCTTTTGGCTGCATAAATATCTTCTTTTGAGAAGTGTCTGTTCATATCTTTTGCCCACTTGTTGATGGGGTTATTTGTTTTTTTCTTGCAAATTTGTTTGAGTTCATTGTAGATTCTGGATATTAGCCCTTTGTCAGATGAGTAGGTTGCAAAAATTTTCTCCCATTCTGTAGGTTGCCTGTTCACTTTTGCTGTGCAGAAGCTCTTTAGTTTAATTAGATCCCATTTGTCAATTTTGGCTTTGTTGCCATTGCTTTTGGTGTTTTAGACATGAAGTCCTTGCCCATGCCTATGTCCTGAATGGTATTGCCTAGGTTTTCTTCTAGGGTTTTTATGGTTTTAGGTCTAACATTTAAGTCTTTAATCCATCTTGAATTAATTTTTGTATAAGGTGTAAGGAAGGGATCCAGTTTCAGCTTTCTACATATGGCTAGCCAGTTTTCCCAGCACCATTTATTAAATAGGGAATCCTTTCCCCATTTCTTGTTTTTGTCAGGTTTGTCAAAGATCAGATAGTTGTAGATATGTGGCATTATTTCTGAGGGCTCTGTTCTGTTCAATTGGTCTATATCTCTGTTTTGGTACCAGTACCATGCTGTTTTGGTTACTGTAGCCTTGTAGTATAGTTTGAAGTCAGGTAGCATGATGCCTCCAGCTTTGTTATTTTGGCTTAGGATTGACTTGGCAATGTGGGCTCTTTTTGGGTTCCATATGAACTTTAAAGTAGTTTTTTCCAATTCTGTGAAGGAAGTCATTGGTAGCTTTATGGGGATGGCATTGAATCTATAAATTACCTTGGACACTATGGCCATTTTCACGATATTGATTCTTCCTACCCATGAGCATGGAATGTTCTTCCTTTTGTTTGTATCCTCTTTTATTTCCTTGAGCAGTGGTTTGTAGTTCTCCTTGAAGAGGTCCTTCACATCCCTTGTAAGTTGGATTCCTAGGTATTTTATTCTCTTTGAAGCAATTGTGAATGGGAGTTCACTCATGATTTGGCTCTCTGTTTGTCTGTTATTGGTGTATAAGAATGCTTGTGATTTTTGCACATTGATTTTGTATCCTGAGACTTTGCTGAAGTTGCTTATCAGCTTAAGGAGATTTTGGGCTGAGATGATGGAGTTTTCCAAATATACAATCATGCCATCTGCAAACAGGGACAATTTGACTTCCTCTTTTCCTAATTGAATACCCTTTATTTCCTTCTCCTGCCTGATTGCCCTGGCCAGAACTTCCAACACTATGTTGAATAGGAGTGGTGAGAGAGGGCAACCCTGTCTTTGTGCCAGTTTTCAAAGGGAATGCTTCTAGTTTTTGCCCATTCAGTATGATATTGGCTGTGGGTTTGTCATAGATAGCTCTTATTATTTTGAGATACGTCCCATCAATACCTAATTTATTGAGAGTTTTTAGCATGAAGGGTTGTTGAATTTTATCGAAGGCCTTTTCTGCATCTATTGAGATAATCATGTGGTTTTTGTCTTTGGTTCTGTTTATATGCTGGATTACATTTATTGATTTGCATATGTTGAACCAGCCTTGCATCCCAGGGATGAAGCCCACTTGATCATGGTGGATAAGCTTTTTGATGTGCTGCTGGATTTGGTTTGCCAGTATTTTATTGAGGATTTTTGCATTGATGTTCATTAGGGATATTGGTCTAAAATTCTCTTTTTTGGTTGTGTCTCTGCCAGGCTTTGGTATCAGGATGATGCTGGCCTCATAAAATGAGTTAGGGAGGATTCCCTCTTTTTCTATTGATTGGAATAGTTTCAGAAGGAATGGTACCAGCTTCTCCTTGTACCTGTGGTAGAATTCGGCTGTGAATCCATCTGGTCCTGGACTTTTTTTGGTTGGTAAGCTGTTAATTATTGCCTCAATTTCAGAGCCTGTTATTGGTCTATTCAGGGATTCAACTTCTTCCTGGTTTAGTCTTGGGAGGGTGTATGTGTCGAGGAATTTATCCATTTATTCTAGATTTTCTAGTTTATTCACATAGAGGTGTTTATAGTATTCTCTGATGGTAGTTTGTATTTCTGTGGGATTGGTGGTGATATCCCCTTTATCATTTTTTATTGTGTCTATTTGATTCTTCTCTCTTTTCTTCTTTATTAGTCTTGCTAGCGGTCTATCAATTTTGTTGATCTTTTCAAAAAACCAGCTCCTGGATTCATTGATTTCTTGAAGGGTTTTTTGTGTCTCTATTTCCTTCAGTTCTGCTCTGATCTTAGTTATTTCTTGCCTTCTGCTAGCTTTTGAATGTGTTTGCTCTTGCTTCTCTAGTTCTTTTAATTGTGATGTTAGGGTGTCAATTTTAGATCTTTCCTGCTTTCTCTTGTGGGCATTTAGTGCTATAAATTTCCCTCTACACACTGCTTTGAATGTGTCCCAGAGATTCTGGTATGTTGTGCCTTTGTTCTCTTTGGTTTCAAAGAACATCTTTATTTCTGCCTTCATTTCGTTATGTACCTAGTCGTCATTCAGGAGCAGGTTGTTCAGTTTCCATGTAGTTGAGCGGTTTTGAGTGAATTTCTTAATCCTGAGTTCTAGTTTGATTGCACCGTGGTCTGAGAGACAGTTTGTTATAATTTCTGTTCTTTTACATTTGCTGAGGAGTGCTTTACTTCCAACTATGTGGTCAATTTTGGAATAGGTGTGGTGTGGTGCTGAAAAGAATGTATATTCTGTTGATTTGGGGTGGAGAGTTCTGTAGATGTCTATTAGGTCCGCTTGCTGCAGAACTGAGTTCAATTCCTGGGTATCCTTGTTAACTTTCTGTCTCATTGATCTGTCTAATGTTGACAGTGGGGTGTTAAAGTCTCCCATTATTATTGTGTGGGAGTCTAAGTCTCGTTGTAGGTCTCTAAAGACTTGTTTTATGAATTTGGGTGCTCCTGTATTGGGTGCATATATATTTAGGATAGTTAGCTCTTCTTTTTGAGTTGATCCCTTTACCATTATGTAATGGCCTTCTTTGTCTCTTTTGATGTTTGTTGGTTTAAAGTCTGTTTTATCCGAGACTAGGATTGCAACCCCTGGCTTTTTTTTTTCCCATTTGCTTGGTAGATCTTCCTCCATCCCTTTATTTTGAGCCTATGTGTGTCTCTGCATGTGAGATGGGTTTCCTGAATACAGCACACTGATGGGTCTTGACTCTTTATCCAATTTGCCAGTCTGTGTCTTTTAATTGGAGCATTTAGCCCATTTACATTTAAGGTTAATATTGTTATGTGTGAATTTGATCTTGTCGTTATGATGTTAGCTGGTTATTTTGCTCATTAGTTGATGCAGTTTCTTCCTAGCCTCAATGGTCTTTACAATTTGGCATATTTTTGCAGTGGCTGGTACCTGTTGTTCCTTTCCATGTTTAGTGCTATCTTCAGGAGCTCTTTTAGGTCAGGCCTGGTGGTGACAGAATCTCTCAGCATTTGCTTATCTGTAAAGTATTTTATTTCTCCTTCACTTATGAAGCTTAGTTTGGCTGGATATGAAATTCTGGGTTGAAAATTCTTTTCTTTAAGAATGTTGAATATTGGCCCCCACTCTCTTCTGGCTTGTAGAGTTTCTGCCAAGAGATCAGCTGTTAGTCTGATGGGCTTCCCTTTGTGGGTAACCCGACCTTTCTCTCTGGCTGCCCTTAACGTTTTTTCCTTCATTTCAACTTTGGTGAATCTGACAATTGTGTGTCTCGGAGTTGCTCTTCTCGAGGAGTATCTTTGTGGTGTTCTCTTTATTTCCTGAATCTGAATGTTGGCCTGCCTTGCTAGATTAGGGAAGTTCTCCTGGATAATATCCTGCAGAGTGTTTTCCAACTTGGTTCCATTCTCCCCGTCACTTTCAGATACACCAATCAGACGTAGATTTCGTCTTTTCACAGTCCCATATTTCTTGGAGGCTTTGTTCATTTCTTTTTATTCTTTTTTCTCTAAACTTCTCTTCTCGCTTCATTTCATTCATTTGATCTTCCATCACTGATACCCTTTCTTCCAGTTGATCAAATCAGCTACTGCGGCTTGTGCATTTGTCACGTAGTTCTCGTGCCGTGGTTTTCAGCTCCATCAGGTCCTTTAAGGACTTCTCTGCATTGGTTATTCTAGTTAGCTATTCGTCTAATCTTTTTTCAAGGTTTTTAACTTCTTTGCCATGGGTTCGAACTTCCTCCTTTAGCTCGGAGTAGTTTGATCATCTGAAGCCTTCTTCTCTCAACTCGTCAAAGTCATTCTCCGTCCAGCTTTGTTCCATTGCTGGTGATGAGCTGCGTTCCTTTGGAGGAGGAGAGGCGCTCTGATTTTCAGAATTTTCAGTTTTTCTGCTCTGTTTTTTCCCCATCTTTGTGGTTTTATCTACCTTTGGTCTTTGATGACGGTGACCTACAGATGGGGTTTTGGTGTGGATGTCCTTTCTGTTTGTTAGTTTTCCTTCCAACAGTCAGGACCCTCAGCTGCAGGTCTGTTGGAGTTTGCTGGAGGTCCACTCCAGACCCTGTTTGCCTGGGTATCAGCAGCAGAGGCTGCAGAACAGCGGATATTGGTGAACAGCAAATGTTGCTGCCTGATCGTTGCTCTGGAAGTTTTGTCTCAGAGGAGTACCCGGCCGTGTGGGGTGTCAGTCCACCCCTACTGGGGGGTGCCTCCCAGTTAGGCTACTCAGGGGTCAGGGACCCACTTGAGGAGGCAGTCTGTCCATTCTCAGATCTCAAGCTGCATGCTGGGAGAATCACTACTCGATGCTCAAATTTTTAAAACCTTTTTATTTTGAGATAATTTTAGGTTTTCGAAAAAGTTGCAAAAACACTGCAGAGAACTAACTGCAGCACACCCATAAGCCAGCTTACCCGATGTCAACCTCTGCATAACCATGGTACAGTTCTCAAAATTAAGAAATTAACCTTGGTACAATACTATTAACTAAACTATAGACTTTATTTAGATTTTACCAGTTTTTCCACTGATGTCTTTTTTCCATTTTAGATCCAATCCAGCATATCCCTTTGCATTTAGTCATCATATCTCCTTAAGTATCCTCCAGTCTATGATACTTGATCAAAACAGCACCCATCAGTTATTTTGTAGAATGTGCCTCAAATTTGATTTGGTCTGATTTTTTTCTCGTGATTAGATTGAAGTTATACATTATTGGGAAGGCCACCACAGAGGTGATGTGCCTTTCTCACTCTGTTGTATCAGGGGATACATGATATTCATATGTATTACTGGGTATGTTAACCTTAATCACCTGGCTAAAGTGATTTCTACCAGGATTCCCTACCAGCAACTTATAATTCCCTCTTCCCCACCTTGTTAATTACTAAATATTTTAGGAAAAATACTTTGAGAATACGCAAACATCCTATTCTGCTTAAGCTTTTGCTCACTCATTATCACATCCATTGATAGATTCCTCCTGTGGCATTTATCACTGTGGTGTTCTAATGGTGATATTGCTTCCTTCATCCCTCCTACATCTATTTAATTGGAATTTTTCTCTCTCATTCACTTATTCATTCGATTATTTATATCAGAATGAATTCATAAATTTTATTTTATGCTTTAACGTATAATCTAATACTCTCAATATTTATTGCTCGTTGCTCAAATTGCTGCAATTTTGACCATTGGGAACTTTCTCAGGTTGGCTCCTGTGTCCTTTCAATATGCCCCTGTTATTTTTTTTTTAAGGCTGCCTAACTTTTATTTAAAAGGGGGTGTGTTTCTGGGTTGCTACAATATTGAAAGTTTGGTTTTCAACCAAGGGCAATTTTGCCTGATCTCTCAGGGTAAATTTAGCAATAAGTGGAGATATTTTTGGTTGTCATAACTGCCAAGCATCCTACAGTGCATAGTACAGCCTCCCACAGCAAAGAATTTTCCTGTCCAAAATGTCAGTAGTGCTGAGGTTGAGAAGCTCTGGTCTAGAGCATTATTTTCTTGATGCTCAGATGTATGGTAGCAAAACCAAATATTGTGAGGAATAAAAATGCTTTTTAAAAGTATATTTTTAAAGTATTAAACATTTTGTGCTTGGAAGAATATTTAAAAAGTAATATAATAGGAGACTTTCTCTTCCATCCATGATAGAATATCAGGGACTAATTACCTTCCATCTTAAACAACTAGAAAACCAGAGAGAAAATATGAAATAATGGCTTTTAGACATTGGACAACAGGCAGTACAAAAGTACAAGATGGTGATTCCTGACAGAGAGAATACAAGTAAGGTGAGCCCTATGATTTTCGTAGCTTATTGCCTGGAGTAATTTTCTAGGCTGCAGCAGAGAAAGAGAGGACCAAAACCAATCCTAGAGCTCTTGATCAGTAAGGCAGACAAAGATTAGAGTCCAGGGAGACCACGAAGGCTGGAAATTGCAGGGAGCAAGATTTGTATAGAGAAAGCTCCAGAGATGTGCAGAGGGTCCCCTCTAGTCTTTGGCTGAATTCTGACCTGCAGCTCATGTATGAGGAAAAAAAAATCTACCCTTGGGCAGTGATAGACCATGAGAAAACAATAGACTGAAAAATTAACAGGGCTCACACAGGTCTGGGAATAGACCTGTAATACCTGGAGTAGGAACTACAATGTTCCAAAGGATATTGTCTTAGTAGTAGGGCTTAGTTATTTGTAGACTAAAGGCTGCTATGGACCTGCCTTGAACAAAGCTTAAAAGTAAGCCTTGAAAGAATCAGATACCATATAAGTTGACTGCATCCCAGAACAAAACCCACCAATATTTAAAGGAATGCAACAAAATCCACCACCCAACTGTGTAAAATCCACTTTGTACAGCACCCAAGAAAACATTATTGGCCATGCAAAAAAAAAAACCTGTGGAATATGATTCTTAACCAGGATAGATGACAATCAATAAAAATAGACTTTGAAATGACAGAGATGATGGCATTAGCAGACAAGAAAGTTAAAACAGCTTTTATAAATATGCTCTATATGATTATGAAGGTGGAGAAAACATGGATATGGCTAAGAGAAAAATGGAAGATATAAAAAAGCCAAAATCAAACTAGTAGAGATGACAGATACAATATATGAAATGAAAAATGTACTGGATGAGATTAACAGTGTAGAAACTGCAGCAGATTAGTCAACTTGAAGTCATAGCAATAAAAATTACTCAAAATGATGAACAGACAGAAAAGACTGAAAAAAAAGAACATAACATGAGTGACGTGGGGCAACATAAAGGGATCTAGCATGCATAATTGGAGCAGCAGGAGGGGGAGAGGGCAGAAAAATATTTGAAAAGTAAGGCTGGGAAATGTTTAAATTTTATGAAAACTAAATATTCTTTTATCCAATAATCTCACCAAACTCCAACAAAATAAATGTAAAGAAAACTACATTATGACACATCATGATCAAATTATTGAAAAATAATTGTGGATAAAGAAAAATGTTAAAAGCAACCAGAGGAAAAGAGACATGGTGCAATGAGTAATAAAGATAAGAATTACATCAGACTTCTTGCCAGAAACCATGCAAGCTAGAAGACAATGTAGTGACATCATAAATGTACTGAAGGAAAAAACTGTCATCAGAAATCTAAACCCAATGAAATCATTTTCAAAAATGAAGAGGAAATAAATACTTTTCCGACAAAAACTGAGAGAATCATCATGAACAGATAATGCACTACAATACTAAAGGAAGTTCTTCAGACAAAATGAAAAGGGTAATAAATGAAAATTTGGATCAAACAAAAGTTTGAGTCCTGAGACTGGTAAACATGTGAGTATATTTAAAGATATTTTAAAATTATTTGTATATTCCCATTAAATGAAAATTGTCTAAATGAAAAATAATAACACTGTATTGTGATGTAATATGTTTCTACATTTTATAAATGTAGAAATAAAATGTATGACAACAATAACATAAAGGACAGAAGGGGAAATGGAAGTATAATGTTGTAAATTCCTATACATGAAGTGGTATAATATTGCTTGAAGGTAGATTGTGCTAAGGTAAACATTTTAATGCTTGAAGGTAGATTGTGCTAAGGTAAACATTTTAATGCTTGAAGGTAGATTGTGCTAAGGTAAACATTTTAATGTAAATTGTGGAGCAAGAAATAAAAATAAAAAAGAGAGCCTATGAAGCCAATACTGGATATAAAAGGGAATAATAAAAACAATTAAAACAGAAGTCCTGGAAAGAGAGAGCAAGGAAGAAGACCAGATTGGGTAAATAGAAATTAGATAGCAAGGTTGTAGACTTAGGTCCAATAAAATGAATAATTTAATTAAATGTAAAAACCTGAACAATTAAATTAAAGATCTGAATCCAATTAAAAGATAAAGATTGTCAGTTTGGTGAAAAGGCAAGACCCAACTATATGTTGTCTATAATAAACCCATTTTAGATATAAATATACACATAGCTTAAAATGGATGGGAAAAGATATAGCAAGCAAATACTAATGAAAACAAAGCTGGAGTGGCTATATTAATATCAGGCAAAGTAGATTTTGGTACAATGAATATTACTAGGGATAAAGAGAAATAGTTCATAATGATAAAACAATCGGTTCATCAAAAGGACATAATAGCCCTAAATGTGTCTGGACCTAATAGCAGAGCTTCAAAGATGTAAAGCAAAAACTGATAGAACTGTAAGGAAAAATAGTCAAGTCTAAAATTATAGTTAGGGATTTCGACATTCCTCTCTCATTTATTGATGGAACAAATAGAAAGTAAATCAGTTCGGATAAAGAATAATTAAATTACAGTATCAACCAAATTGATCTAATTGACTTTTATCGGACATTATACCCAATGAGAGCAGAATATACATTATTTTCAGGTGCACACAGAACATTCTCTAAGAAAGACCATATTCTGGACTGTAAAAAAGCCTCCATAAATTTAACAGAGTTTTAAATAATGCAAAGGATGTTCTCTAATCACCAAGCAACCAAACAAGCCATCAATAACAAATAGTTAACACTAAAAGAAAAAAGCTAAGTTTACTGTATGATAATTTAAATAATAAAGTTAAAAAATATAACAGGGCTGTAAAAAAAATAGATATCTGAAAAATTCTCAGTACATGTTTTTAACAGCTTTTAAAAAATATAATTCACAAGCCATACAATTCACTCATTTAAAATGTACAATTTGATGGTTTTTAGCACAGTGTATTCACAGATATGTGCAACCATCACCCCTGTATCCTTTAGTTATCACGCTTTCATCTCTCCACCCCACTCAGAGCAATCACTAATTCATTTTCTGTTTGTAGATTTCCTTATTGTGGACTTCCATAAGAATGAAACCATATGGTATGTAGTCTTTTGTGACTGGATTCTTTTACTTAGTGTAGTGTTTTCAAGGCTATTTCATGTTGCAGCATATATCTATACTTCATTTTTTGTGTCTGAATAACATTCCATAATATAGATACACCACATTTTGCTTATCCACTCATCTATTGATGGTAATTTGGGTTGTTTCCACTTTTTGACTATGATAAATAATGCTGGTATAAAAATTTGTATACAGGTTTCTGTGTGGGCATATGTTCTCATTTTTCTTGGGAATTAACTGGACCATTTTATAACTGTGTTTATTTTTTTAGGAACTGTCAGAAGGTGTTCCAAAGTGGTTGCACCATCTTCCATTCCCACTAACAGTGTATAGGGGTTCTGATTTCTCTGCATATTCCCCAACACGTGCTGTTATCTGACTTTTTTATTCTAGCCATTTTAGTGGATGTGAAGTGATATCTCATTGTGGTTTTGACTTCTATTTCTCTGATGACTAGTGATGTTGAACATCTTTTCATATACTTATTGGCCATTTGGATATCTTATCTGGAGAAATACTTGTTTAGACCCTGTGCCCCTTTATAATAGGGTTATTTATATTTTTATTCTTGAGTTGTAAGAGTGCTTTATATGTTCTAGATACAAGTCCCTTATCAGATATATGATTTGCAAATATCTCGTCCCATTATGTGGGCTGTCTTTCCACTTTCTTGATGGTGTCAATATATAAATATCCAACCACACATTCCTAAAAAACCCATGGGTCAAAAAACAAATTTCAAGAGAAGTTAGAAAATGTTTTAAATTAAATGAAAATAAAAACACAGTATGACAAAATTTGTGGAGTGCAGCTAAAACAAGACTTATGAAGAAAATTTTTGAATTCAGTGCTAATTTAGAAAAGAAGAAACATCTGAAAGGAACTATCTAAACTTCCACTTTAAGCAACTCTAATAGGCATTGTCAGATTGGTCTCCAAAACAGTTATGCTAGTTTATGCTTCCAGCAGCACTGCTTGTTCACATTATAAGCAACACACCTGATACTGTTAGACTTTAATATTTTGCCAAATAGATGGGTGTGAAATATATCTTCTTGCTTTAGTTTTTATTTCCCTGATTACTAGGGAGTTGTTTCATCTTTTCTCTCATGAAAAGAATGGTTTTTTGAGGGATCTCTTAAGCCTCCTGAAAGTCGTCTCATCTCCATGGATCTAACTTAACAAAGGTCATATATAATAATACTTATGATGAAGTACCTTGAACTTCATGCCTATGTGTAGAATTTAGACTGTTATGTTCCATAATTTTCAATTGTGCATTTAAGATCGACCCAGTGGTGTTTGTCTACTGTGTTCTTTTGTATTTTTATTGTCATATCAACTTGTTTGCTCCAGGTCCTAGGCATGCCAGGACTTGTCACAAAAACCCACGCTACAGAAGAATAATAAGAGCCTAAAGAGTTCCATTTCTTTGTATAGATTGAAAGGGAACATTTATAAGGGTCTTGATAACCATAGAATGACAACTATGTTGTAAGTTTCTCTTTTAGTTTGCTTTTTCCATTTTCATATTGTTCTGGAGCTGTTGTTTAGATACATACAGTAGATCATGGAAGACCATGACTACATGATGCCTGTATGTGAATATTCCTAAGTATTTAGATACATGACCAAATTGTTCTGTGTTCATTTAGATGTGTCAGTGCGGACTTTAGCCAAGATTTCATAGTCTACTATTCCATTTGTCTCTGTTATGGAACAGAAACTTTTCAGCTCTGTACTGCTTCCCTCCATACCTGGACACCTAGGATGGTTCTTTGCAATTAATCAATTTTATTTCTTAGGGTAGTTTTAGGTTTACAGAAAAATAGAGCAGAAAGAACAGAGGGCTCTCATATACTCCCTCTGTTTCCCCTATTATTAACATCTTGCACTGGTGTAGTATATTTATTACAATTGGTGACCCATTATTGGTACATTATCACTAACTCAAATCTATAGTTTGAGATTCACCTTTTGAATTTTGTCAAATACGTAATGTCACGTATTCACCATTACAGAATCATACAGAATTGCTTTACTGCCCTAAGTATCCCCTCTGCTGCATTCCTCCAAAACTTCCTCCTCCCCTCAAACTCCTGCCAACCACTGATTTTTTTTCTTACAGAGATAGTTTGACTTCCTCTCTTTCTGTTTGAATGCCTTTTTAAAGAATCTTACTTTAAGTTCTGGATACATGTGCAGAACATGCAGGTTTGTTACATAGGTATACACGTGCCATGGTGGTTTGCTGCACCCATCAACCCGTCATCTAGGTTTTAAGCCCTGCATGCATTAGGTATTTGTCCTAATGCTCTCCCTCCCTTTGGACCCCACCCCTACAACAGGCCCTGGTGTGTGATGTTCCCCTTCCTGTGTCCATGTGTTCTCATTGTTCAGCTCCCACTTATAAATAAGAACATGCAGTGTTTGGTTTTCTGTTCCTATGTTAGTTTGCTGAGGATGACGGTTTCCAGCTTCATCCATGTCCCTGCAAAGGAGATGAACTCATCCTTTTTTATGGCTGCATAGTATTCCATGGTGTATATGTGCCACATTTTCTTTATCCAGGCTATCATTGATGGACATTTGGGTTGGTTCCAAGTCTTTGCTATTGTAAATAGTGCTGCAGTAAACATACATGTGCATGTATCTTTATAGCAGAATGATTTATAATCCTTTGGGAATATACCCAGTAATGGGATTGCTGGATCAAATGGTATTTCTGGTTCTAGATCCTTGAGGAATCACCACACTGTCTTTCACAATGGTTGAACTAATTTACACTCCCACCAACAGTGTAAAAGCATACCTATTTCTCCACAGCCTCTCTAGCATCTGTTGTTTCCTGACTTTATAATGATCACCATTCTAAGTGGCGTGAGATGGTATCTCATTGAACCACTGATATTTTTTCATCTCCATAATTTGTCATTTCCATAATGTCTTATAAATGGAACAATACAATATGTAGTCTTTTTAGGCTGGCTTCTTTCACTTAGTGATATGCATTTAAGGTCCCTCCATGTTTTTTCATGGCTTGATGGCTCACTTATTTTTTATCATTAAATAGTATTCTATTATATGGATGTACCACTTAGGCCTGTTCTTAACCTGTTGCGCTTTGATGGATCATTTAACTGTGATGACAGACAACTCCCAATTCTAAATCACAAAACCCTTCATGTTCAACCATAGTCAAGTGCCTATTTGAACAACCACTTCATTTAGACTCATTTACTGGCTAATGTAAACAATTGATCATTTGGGTAAGAAAAGAAATTAGCCAAATTAATGGTCACTAATTCAAACATCCAATTCCATCAAAATGGTCAAACTGGTTGAATGTATCGGCCTAGTCTGAGAGACAGACAGCATGGTCTAGTGGAAAGAGCCCTGGCCCAGGAGTCAAGAGCTCTACATTATACTCACAGCTCTTCCACTGACCTGTCCTAGCTACCCTCCTCTGTGGACCCTGGTCTTTGAAGGCTTTGCCTGCTCTGCTGAGCACAAATTCCATAAGAACTGTAAGTCCTCCCTTACTGGTCAGCTCTCCTATCTGTAACATTGGGATGCCATTTATATGCCAGAGCATATATGCTGGGATGGTAGGACCATGCATTCATAGACACAGGACTTAGCTTCTTGCCAGGGGATGGAACTCATGCTGCATGTCCCTGAGGGCTTTGCAGAACTTCTTCAGAGATGAGCTCGTGATACACACTCATCCTAAGTCCTGTTGGAGATAGGCAAAGAGTGACTCTCTGAAAGCAGGATTTTCCTTGACACTGAAAAGGGGCTTTTTCTCTTGTAGTATTATTAAGCCAAAATTGATCCAAAGCCATTGGGGATTAATGCTGCTAGATGGAGCTGTTCTTTTTAGATGAACTCTCCTCCCCTTCTTCTTGACAACGTAAGTCCCAATGAGCTACTGCACTTCCTAAGTTTAAATTCCTCTTTGCTATCGGGAACCAACTTCCACGAGTGCTTCTAAAGTTTTAGATTTAAATATTGGCTGCTTTTCACAACGAAGTCTCCCCACCTTTCATTCCGTTTGTCTTTTGTGAGGCAGAGGGTCTTTCTGCAGTGTTAAAACAGAAGCTTGACATTCGTTCCTTCTTTTGCAAATTAATATATTTTTTCCTGAGAGACTCTTCACTACACGCAGGGCCCTGACTCTGGGCTAGGCTTGGCAGTAGGTTTTGTGGAGAGAAGTAGAAGTTCCTCTGACTTTGGAGAGCACACAGTCTGAGAAGGAGACTGACAAATGTATACAGCAGACAGAGCCAGACAGTTTGGGATTTTGGCTAGGAGGCTCATCATATCCCCAGCTGCCCAGCTAAAAACTTCCCATTCTCCCTCAGCTGCCACTCACCATTGGACCTCCGAGGTTCAGACCACTCATCTCACATGGGTGCCAGCAAAAGCTCCACCCCTTGTTTCCCTTGCTCCAGGCTGTCTCCTCCACTGCCCATGATTTAAAGGCTGTTCTTCCCACCGCAAAGTCATGCCTCCTGCTCACAAGGCCTGGATCTGTACTGACTTTGGAATGAAATCCCAACCCCTAGGCCTAGTGTTCACACTCTGGCATTCTACCTCCTGGTTACCTCTCCAGATGACTGGGCCACCACCTTCCACAGCTCCTGATGCTTCAGCTATACCAGACCTCCTTCTGTTCCCTGAACATCTCATTTACCTGTACATTGCTTTACTTTGTTTATATCTGGAGTTCTCCCTTCCTCTACTGTCTTTTCCTTTTCATTCTTCAAGCTGCAGTTCCAACATCACCACTTTGTGACACCTTCTCTAATTCCTGGAGAGTTAGTTTCCTTTCAGGTAATGGCAGAGTGATGCCAGACCCTGGTTCTGAGGGCCTTTGCCCCATGCTGTTTGGTGAAGAGAACTGGAACTAAGCATTTCCCAGAGTGACCTAAAGTCTCCAGGAACACGTGCTACCTAGGATCTCTGCTGGCTCCTTGTTCACAACTATCCCTGCAGGCAGATGCAGCTGCTCACATGCTCTGGCAGGAGCACAGCCATCTTCTGTAAGGAAGGATGTCCTCTTTGACTGGCAGAAAGCCCAGGGAGGGAGGGGCCAGTAAGCAGGCCTCCTCAGACCTATCCAGAGAGGAATGGGGCAGAGATGGCCTCCCAGCCTAATATTCTCTCCACATCCACCCTGGGAAAGGCCGCCACATACAGCAGCTCTTGACTGATTATCCACTGAGCTGGTGCTGGGCTACACTCCGCAAGGCATTTATGGCCCAATGGGGAACATAGATCTCTGTATATTGGTGTATTCATTTGCTCAGGCTGCCATAACAAAGTAGCACAGTCTGGGCGGCCTGAACAACAGAAATGGATTTTCTCCCAGTTCCAGAGGCTAGAAGTCTGAGATCAAGGTTTCACCAAGGTTGGTTCCTTCAGAGTGCTGTGAGGGAAGGATGTGTTTCAGACCTCTCTCCTTGGCTTCTGATGGTTGTCTTCTCCCTGTGTCTCTTCACATCATCTTCCCTCTGTGTGTGTCTCTGTGTCTTCATTTCACCCTTTTATAAGAACACCAGTCATACTGGATTAAGGCCCACCCTAGTGGCCCTATTTTAACTTAATTGCCTCTTTGCAGACCCTCTGTCCGAATACAGGACTTCAACATACAAACATAGGGGGACCACAGTTCATCCCATAACAATGGGTAATGAAAGTTTAGGATAATAAGGGCCATAATGGGGGAGGGTCTGCACAGAATATTGTTGGGACACAGAACAGGCTGCCCTATTCTGGCCTAGACTCTCTCGACCACATCACACATTGCCAGTTAGGACTACCAAGTCCTGCCTTTAATTGAGCAGAGTACTTGTAAGAGGCACAGATAGGTTTAAGCCCACAGCCATATGGTTCCATGTAATTATTTGTCAGTTCAGCCATGGAGTGTTCTAGTTGAGAAGCCCATGCTCCTTGCTTTCTCTGATCTGGCCCAGGTCCCCTTTGGGAGGAGAAGAGATCTCCATGAGCCTCTTCTGACTTCTCTCTTTCCCTGCCTAGCCTGGAAAAATTGAAGGAACATAAGCTGAGGGTACAGAGAGATATGAATTCAAATTTTAGTTAGCCTACTTACTATTTTTATTTATATTATGAACAGACAAATCATATCCCTGCATGAGCCTCAATTCCCTCTTCCATAAAATGGGATGATAATTATTTTCAGGCATGATTATGAAAATAAAATGAGGATATTTGGTGAAAGACAATGGGTCCAGCCTAGCCTGGAGTGTCTTGATCTCTGTCCTGGCATAGCCTGGTATGGAGTCTGACATGGGACCACACCCAAGCCAATGAGGGTCAACTGCATGAAGCATAAGTGACTGAATAGATGGATGAGGGAGAGCAGTGCTCTCCTGCTGCAAGTCCTTCTGCCAGTTGTGCCCATGAATTCAGGTTAAGGGTCTGTGTGTCCTTTTTACACCACGGCTAAAGGGAAAAATGATTTCCTCCCTTTATGGAGGGGATGGGAGAAGAAAATAGGGGATTGGGAAAGATGGGTAAAAGGCCCAGGAAATATCATTGATCTGCTTCTCATGTACCCATGTGGAATGTCACAAGCAGGGTCAGGCTGCGGAGCTGAGTGTTAGGCCAGGGCTGGGGGATGTGGGAGCAGAGGGATGGGACTGGGAGCCTAAGTTCAGATTGCTGAGGGCAAGGAAGTGAGGGCAAGCAGCAAGCACGGGTTTGTGGGAAGAAAGGGCTGTGTTCCCCCACTCTCTCCACCTTATAGCCTAGCATGGAGTAGCTAGATGGCCAATGCCAAGAGGCTGAAGGTTGTGCCAACAGCTACACTTCCCTCTGACTTGCTTTCTGAAAGTCAAGAAGGGTCTTTTAGGCCTGTGTTATGCTGTAATCAGGTACTCTCATTTCATGGTCACAAGCACTACACCTGATAAATAAGTACTCCAGGAAGCAGTAGAGCTTGGATTTGAACCCATGTATCTCTGATCCTAGAGCCTGCCTCCTATCCACTAGGGTATACTGTCTATAATGAAGAAAGAATGGGATAGGAAGGGAGAATACCTGGGTTTGAGGCCTAACTCTGTCATATTCTGGCTGTGTGACCATAGGAAGTTATTTATGTGCTCTGAGCCTCCACTTCATCATCAGTTAAATGGGGATAATACTCCCCCTCACACACACTACATGTACATACACAGGTCACTGGGAAAGTTAATCAAGGGAGCATGAGGGAAATGCTCTGTAAAGTATGCCCCAAGTTAGCCTATGGCCTGGTGTCCTATGTGGCACACAGGCTAACCTTCAGGTGCCACTTCACTTCCTTCGTGAAAGTCCCACCCTAGTTTGAAGTCACTCTGCAATGCAAATTCTGAGAACCCCTGGCCTCTCAGAGTCGCAGCTAGGTTCTCCTTTCAAAACTCCCTTTTGGGTTATCAGCAGGTACTGCCCCCTTCTCTCCCCTTCCTCCCCCCATGCTCTCTCATGCTCTCTCTCTCTCTCTCTCTCTCACACACACACACACACACACACACACACACACACACACCAAACAAGATGATAGGCCCAGTCAATCAGCCACTTGCTCAAAAATCACATTGCAAGCATCATCCATTTTCTCCATTCTCTGGGAGATTGCTGCCTGGAGTTACATGTGGGCCCATCAGACCCACAGAAAGACCTAGTTAAGCCAGGCCCTGGAGTGAAGTGCTGAGTTGATGAAGGTTGAACAGAGCATCTGGGAAGGAAGGGCCAGTCCAATGGACAAGGGCTTGGCAATAGATGGCCCTTCTCTTGTTTCTATTGTAAATAGGTCCAAGATCTGCTCATGGCTCCTCTTTGCTGGGGACATTGTCTTCAGTGCCATCTGTATCTTCCTCCTAAGTCATGGGAAGGGGCTTTCCTCAGGTCAAGCCACAAGTGATAAGGAAAGTAGCTTGTCCACCTCTAGCTCTGTGGCCCAAGTGGTGGGAGATGGCCTGGAGTAGGGAGAAGCAACATGGCCTGCAGAGTCTGGCAGCCTGAGCCCTGGCCCCAGCTTTGCCCTGCCTTGCTCTTGGTTTTCCATAAGTCCCTGCCCCTCTGTGGGCCTTGGTTCCTCTAGCTTCAGATTAAGGGAGTTGGCCTTATCCCATCTCTGACCTCCCTTCCTGCTTGAATCCTCCTTGTATCCAGGCCTATACTTCAAGCTCTATAATCAGGGAGTGGAAAGGCTTTCTGGTCAAGGTAGGAATTGTTCTGCCAGCCTGACTGAGAGTTTCGTGTCGGCCCTGGTGCCTGCTGCTGAGCTCTAACCATTTCATAACCCCAGATCAGAGACACTCATTCATTGTCCTTTGAGACAAATTCCAGGTGGGAAAAATATCATGCTTTAAAGCAGCCAAGCAGCAACTAGGCTCAAATCCATTTATTTACAAAGATTTTCCACCTCTTGGCCCATCTGCCTCTGAGTAACCTGAAGCACAACAAAGATGATATGTGTCCCAGCCCTGGATTTTGGGCTAAGCGTGCCTTAAAAATCTGCATCATACCTAGATTCCCTCCCAACTATAGCTCAATCCTGAACAACCTCAGCTGTCCACAGATATTTGGCCCAAGGAAAGCCAAAATCTCAACAGTTAACTGTCTCACCCTAATCCTTCTCTATACATGTGAAATCCCAGTTTAGAAAGGAAAAAATATTTATCACATTCTTGCATGGCCATTCTACACCAGATTGAGTGGGTGACAGGCAGGAAAACTGGAAAGGAAATGCCTGCAATATTTAGTTAATGTGGTCATCATATTTTATTTGGCTGCATCTCCCCAAATGCAAATAGAAATGTCCCACTTTATTTGCATGCAAGTCTTTTCTTCCACAGAGGGAGAGATGGGAGAGCCGCCTCGAGTCCCGCAGTGATCTTGGAGCAGAGTGAGGCATTTGCTTGGACTTAGAGCAGTTGTACTGGGTTCCAGGTGGCTGGAGATGTGGTTTCTAGGACAAGGCCACATGTAAATACTTTATCTCGATCAAGAGCAGCTTGGAAAATACCACAATTCCGTTTTTCAGAAAATCATTTTGCTGGTACCTTTAACAGAATGGAAAGAGCAGCAGGCTTGGAATAGAATTACTGCAGTCAAATCTGAGTTCTAGCACTTGACCTTAGGTGAATGGCTTAGCTTCTTGGAGCCTCAGTTTCCTCCTTGGTAAAATGGGGTTAAAAGCCCTGCTCTACTGACCTCACTGGGATGTTACGAAGTGCCCATGGGAAAATGAATGTGAAAGCTTTTGTCAACTGTTTTAGGAACATATTTTATTGTTGTTGTTATTGTTATTAAGTGAGGAGGCTAGAGAATGCCTATAGAGCAAAACCAGGCAACAGTTCTGTTTTTAGGTGGCTTGGACTCAGAACAACCCATCTTATAGATGTGATTTGGAGCATATAGAATCATTCTTTTTTTGGTGGGGGGAGAGGTAATCTTTTTTATTGTACTTTAAGTTCTGGAATACACGTGCAGAAAGTGCAGGTTTGTTACATAGGTATACATGTGCCATGGTAGTTTGCTGCACCCATCAACCTGTCATCTACATTAGGTATTTCTTCTAATGCTATCCCCCCCAGCCCCCACCTCAGCTAGTTTCCCAACAAAAAAAGAGTCACCCAATCCAAAGGATCAAGGTGTTAATATGAAAACTGGCATATTTTCAATGGGCAAGATTTAAATATACAGGAAATTCATTTTTAGTTTTTTTAATCAAACTTTTATTAATTTTGAGATCATTGTAGATTCACATGCAGTTGTAAGAAACAATACAAAGAGATCCAGTGTATACTTTACCCATTTTCCCCCAGTGGTAACTATGAATCATATCTTAAGGGCTTATGTTTTTCCTTTGTTAGGCTGCTGGGAATGCAGCCTGCTACCAGACCATGGTAGAAACCATTAGCTCTACAGAAACTTCACTTTGAGACTTCCCTTACCCTTTCTCTGGCATTTGGCTCCCTAGAAGGCATCTATCTCTCACATCCCCCTGGTCCTGATAAAACCTGGCATCCAAGATGCTGCCCAAATTGAAAACGTTTTGGTAGTGCAGGTAGCACAGTTGCCACTGCCAAAATCTGGGCACCTTCCCATTCTCAAATTTCATTCTCTCACCCAACTGCCCTGTTTTCCATCACTTCCTGGGGAGCTGGACCTCCTACACTTGACATTAAAGGCCTTTCCTAACTCATCTCTTCAGTGCAGAGCAGTGGAAAAGATGGTTGGCTGTAGATATAAGCAAATCTGGTTTTGAATGCCAGCTCTATCTCATACTCATATATGACCTTGGACAATTACTTCACCTTTCTTTCTGAGCTTCTGTTTACTCATCCATCAAAGGAAGATAATAATGCCTCACAGAGCTGTTGCAAGGATTGAAGAGATAACAATAAATGCAGAGCATCTGGCCCAGTGCTTAACCATCGTGGCTGCCTAGTTGTCAGTGGCTGTGAGCACTGCAGTGCAAGTCTATCATGCACAGTCTGGCCCCATCCAGATTTGGTCTTTGCTATTATACCGTGACTCTCTCTGAGCCTTTGCTTTGACTTCATGCCTTTATTTATGCTCGTCCCTATACCTGAGACATCTTTTCCTTTATCATGTTTGCGTATCTAAAATCAGATCTATAATTCAAGGCCCAGCTCAGAGGAAGCCCTTCTGGCCCCCAGCCTGCTGTGATCACTTCACCCTCCCTTGTGGTGCCCATCACCCTCTCCTTTGTCTCAGCATGGCCACAGCTACTCTGGTTGCTCAAGAGACTGAGCTCCTTGAGGATAGGCTCAGGGTCCGCTTCACCTCAGAGTACAGGGCTTGATATAGAGCAGCAGCTATGGCAGGATCCATGGGTGTGGGGTCACACTTGAAGCTCTGTAGAAGATAGACTTTCCAGCATTTGACTAGATCATACTGGCCCTGCTTCCCTGAGTGCCAGGGCACCCCTGCCCCATAAAGGCCAGGTGGCACCTGGGCCCCTGCTAGCAGAGTATCTAAGTTTGGATCGTAAGAAGCTACCTCATGTTCATCTACCTAGAAACAGACCCACAGGTGGTTCCATTTGGGGAAGCCAATAGCTATGAGGAGAACCTTCTCCCGATATTTCAACACCTTGAATCAGCAAGGGCTCCATCTTTCTGTGTTGCTTTGAAGTTTAGACTCAAACTGAGACAGCCCAAGAATAGGGAGATAAGCTATGTGGCAATCCAGGACTTTGGGGTCAGGGAGTCCTGGGAGGAATCCTGTCTCCCCCTCCTTACTAGCTGTGTGATCTTGGGTGAGTCACTTCACCCTTCTGTCAAGTGTTTCTGAGGAGTAAATGGGAAGGGTCAGGCACAGGGTGGGTTACATTGGGAACACTCAATAAAGGTTCATTATTGGGCTAGTGCTATCTGTCCTATCACCATAGAGGGCACTGCAGTGAAGGTGAGCATTTCTTGGGCCCCATTTAGGGGAATTTATATTCTGAAATACAAAAGCATTTCATCACAATGCAACCTTGCCCATGAGCCTATCCTGAAATATGAACCCTGAGAAGAGTAGTTCAGAGATGCCCTTGGAAATAGTGGCTATTACTGAGGACGTGTTGACATGAGGTGAGTTTGCAACTATCCCATTTAGTACTCTGGTGAAGGCTGTGCACTGGGATCTCATCAGTGTGTAAGGAAAGTGTGTTTCTTCCAGGAAGAGCTGCTTTTGACCAGTGTGATTGAGTAGCGATTGGAGGTGTTGAGGAGGATTTGGTGACAAGTGCTCCATTAAATCTGACTTAGGAACAGTCTCCACAGAGCTTCCATTTAATACTTAATGCTTTGTTCTCTGTAGCTTTGGGGGATCAGTTTTCACTCCCTTGGCAGTAACATGGATGAGCTCAATTGTGGGCCGCACTGCGTCTTTGGCCCCTTTATGGGGCTACAGAGACAGGTCCTTTCAAAAGCTGCTGAGAAGGCCTGGACGTTGCCAAAAGTGGTGAGGACAACGTGGGTGTGGCTTGTTCAGGGGCTCATCTGGTGGGTCAGCATGGCAATAGGTGCTCGGGACACTGGAAGTCTGGTGCTTGGTGATACATTGCCAGATGCCAAGTCATTCACATCAAAAGGCTGTCAGCAGCTGGGGAGAGAGGGGTTTGTCTGTCTGATGGAGGCCACACTAAAGCAGAGCAGGGAAACAGGACCTGATCCAAACACATTGGGGCTTAAGGCAGGGACCCAGGTCCAGCAAGAAGCTGGAATGCTCAGCACAGAAAACAAGGCACAGCCCACCTATATGGACTTGGCCAACATGGTGGCAGCAGTAAAGACTATTTCTCTATAGGCACAGGGTCACAGGGCTCCCCCAGCTGCACCAGCTGCTGGCTCTAGGGCAGCAAGATAGAGGCTACTGGGTGGGCCCTGTCAGGTATATCGTAAGGCCAAGACTGAGACTGTGGGTAGAGGCCTTAAGCCTGGCAGTGAGAGGTGGGCGCTGGCAGGGACTGAGGCAGATTGGCTGACCCATTCCTGTCTTAGTCCTTTGTTTATTTTCACTTGGACACCATATTGAAGGTTACTTGGCTACTTTATTCCTCATTCACTCAACCAATATTTATTTACTGGGCACCTGCTGCTCCAGTCAGGCCCTCTGCTCTATTCTGAGAAGACTAGTGACACTGATACCATGGTTCTCTCCTTACAGGCCTCACTCCTACTGGGGTTGGCCAACAAGCAAACAGACAATTAGAATGCAGTGTGGTAAGGGCAATGGTAGAGTATGCACTGGGCAACACTGGAGCCCAGCGGAGGATGCCCGACCTACAGAGGCATCTTCCTGGAGGCAAGAGAAAGCTCGCCACTGGGCGCACTTCTGGCCACAATGCAGTAGTGACATCTGTCTCTGCCTCCTTCAACAAGGACTGTCTTCTCAAATACATAATTTATTTGGTTGGGGGTGGCAGGTGGCACTGCATGTCAGAGCAAAGTGAAGGAAATTCTAGGCTCCTTACCAGGGCTGGTCTGAGTTAACTCCCACAGCGGGGACCAGGAAGTAAGCCCAAACACTCAGACAAGTAACTGATAATTTAAAAACTGTCTGTCATTAAGGATTAGCTCTGACACAGGCCAGAAACTAGCAGGCTGGATAAGAGCCTTGGAGGGAAAAGCAGAAATAGCCACCTTCACTTGGGGCCTGGGAATTTTCTCCAAGTTGGCAGCAAATCCTCTTGGGAAAATTAAACTCACAGGGAGGCCTAGGCATCTTTTCTCTCTGAGGTGAGGGGGATTTTTCCTTCAGTGAAGGATATGCCAAGGCCCTAAGTCCTCCTGGGAGATAAGATTTCTTTTCTAAACATCAAGGGATTGAGGATTTTATTCCATAGTGGGATGGAGAATGGCAAGCATGGCTTGCTTGGGACTGAGGACCACAGGGCCCAGGAATTTCAGCCCAGAAAAGGACAGTGATGCCCTGGAGCTCAGAACCTGTGGAGAAACAGCATCACTAGGGAAGCTCAGCACCAAAGGAAAGGCATTGCCATCTCCTGCCATAGAGGATGGTTACAGCACAGGAAAAAAAAATCACCAATGGCAATAATGGAAACCACTAGTGGGAATGGTTGTTTTTGCTTTTAAAAATGGTTCCACAAGCATTAGGAAGAAGATTATACTGCACCAGAATTCATGGTTGGGAAAAGAGGAGGCAGCTCTCAGTGGCTTTCTGGCCTCTTTCCATCCTGAAATGTCCTATTTTTCTGCATAGAGTAAGGAACTGTGCTTGTCCCCCTCCCTTTTGCTTCCCCCCGTTTCGCTTTGTTCCAGTTTCATAAAGCCATCGTGAGGAGCTGCGACCTTGGGTCGGCCCTAGGAATCGTGCACACCTCTGCAGCTGTCTGCTCTCTAGGCTCTTCTGCTGGTTGATTTGGCTGGCAGGACTCTGAGTGTTAACCCCTTCCTAGGCCAGTGCTGTTATTTGTAGGACAGCTCAAAGGTGCTCCCACTGAAGAACTTCCAGTTGCTAACCACAGGAAAGACTGAGATTGACAAAATCCCTCTGAGCCCAACCCTGTCTCTCCTGTTATCACTATGCAAGTTTTACAGATGAATATAAGGAAGCCCAGGACCATGAAGATGAGGGTACCCCCTAAAGGCCAGTGGGACCAGTCTGCACTGGCATCTCTTAGTATTTTCACATATGGTTGTTGATTGCAGAGCAACATGCTGGCCTCAGCCTACAGTGTAGAGCAGACTAAGACCCCTTATTTTCCCCAAGCTCATACTAACTTTTCCAAAGGATATTTCTTAGAAAATAAGGACAAAGTAGACAATCAGAAAATTATGTTGAACATGTAAGATTTGCCTCTAAAGTAATGGGATGCATCTGTGTTCGTCCTGGAGTGGTGGAAAGAGTGATAAATTAGGAAGCAAAAAAAGTCTTGAGTTCAGCCCTCCCGTTTGCTTTGGCCTAGGTATGTGACCTTGAGGAAGCTGGTTACCCTCATTGGTCCTCAGTTACCCCATTAATAAAGGGGCAATAAAGCATCTAGCCACAGGTTTGTTGAGAATGAAATAAGGGATATGGCATTGCTGGGAAATAGTGGCCGGCTCACCGTTGTTAAATATTCCAACCTGAGTTTTAAGTGAATGTTTGAGAGTGTTCCTTCAGAGCTGGCCAGCCATTCCTGGAACAGCTTTTTATCATTTGAGGGTGGCTTTTATTCTCAATAGCCCAAAAGCTTTCTGAGAGAATGTGGAGAAGGTGGATGGTTAAACCAGGGAAGTGTGGATTTGGCTCCAATGGGTGGTGGTATACATAAATTGTCTCTAAGGGCCACTTCCACAGCCCCATCGGGTTTGAGCAACAGCAGCTTTAGGAAAGTGTGTAAAGCCTCTCAAGGGGACTACTTTCAAGGGAGATATTTCCTTGGTGGTATAGATTTTGTTTCTTTTTGAAATATATATATATATATATATATATATATATATATATATTATATACTTTAAGTTCTAGGGTACATGTGCACAACGTGCAGGTTTGTTACATATGTATACATGTGCCATGTTGGTGTGTTGCACCCATTAACTCGTCATTTACATTAGGTATATCTCCTAATGCTATCCCTCCCCGCTACCCCCACCCAACAACAAGTCCCGGTGTGTGATGTTCCCCTTCCTGTGTCCTAGTATTCTCATTGTTCAGTTCCCACCTATGAGTGAGAACATGCGGTGTTTGGTTTTTTGTCCTTGCGATAGTTTGCTGAGAATGATGGTTTCCAGCTTCATTCATGTAGGGACATGAACTCATCCTTTTTTATGGCTGCATAGTATTCCATGGTGTATATGTGCCACATTTTCTTATAGATTTTGTTTCTTTTGCTTAAAAAGTCTCAGTATTGTGACAGTTCCCCTGTAAATGAGCATCTATATAAATGCCTAGTAACTGCCTCTAGGGTTGCTTCTAGTTCTGTTCTAGTCATGCTTAGTTCCAGTTATGATTCTACTTCTGGGAATAGGAGTGTGATGATATGAGCTTGCTCAATAGCAATTTGAGCAAGGTAGTGGGCAGAATAGCAAACAACAACAACAACAAAATGCTTTACTCTTCCCCTGTGGGTAAGTACTGTTATCATCCCTATTTTGCAGATGAGGGGACTGAAGCACAGAAATGTGAAGTGATTTTCCCAGTGTCACACAGCAGCTAAGAAGTGTCAGAGCCTGGATGCAAATTCAGGGAACCTAGTTCCAGAGTTCGTTCTGTGCTCTATTGGAAGGGGTCTTAGGAGCCAAGTGTTCCAGAATGCTCTTGTTCAATAAAATGGATGAGAGCACTGATTGCCCAGACCAGAATCTCTCTCTGCCTGAGTGCTGCCAGTTGAATCTGGAAAACACAACAGCTCTGAGGGAGATGTAGTGCATTGAGTGGGATCCCTCCCCAAAAGATATGTTCACCCAGAAACTGTGAATGTGACCTTATTTGGAAAAGGGGTCTTTGCAGATGTAATTAAGTATTTCCAGATGATATCGTCCTGGATGTAGGGTGGGCCCTAAATCCAATGGCATGTATCCTTGTGGAACACAGAAGAGAAAAAGACACGCAGAGGAGAAGGCAATGTAAAAATGAAGGTAGAAACTGAAGCACTGTGGCTAGGAACACCAAAGATTGCTGACAGTCACCAGAAGCTAGGAGAAAGCCATGGAACAGATTCTATTCCAGAGCCTTCAGAGAATAAATTTCTGCTGTCATAAGCCAGCCTGTTTGTGACAATTTGTATGACATCCCTGGAAAACTCATGCAGAGAATGAACCCCCATAAGGAGTCTTGATGTACTATTGCTTTTCAGAAGCAACTGAGGGGTCGGGGTCAGGGTCAGTATGGGAGTGAATATCAATGCCACCAACTCTTTGGAAGTGGCAGAGAGAGGGATAGAGGGGAAAATTGGCTCCTTCCAGGCCCACAGCCCTATTCAATCAGAGGCTTCCAGCTCAGTGCTCGGAGGCCATCATAAGTGGCAGAAACATCTGTGTGCTGAGTTGCTCAAGAGGGGCCTTGGTTCCCAGCGGTATCCAGGAAACCCCAAGAGTGGCCAGTCATAATGGCCCTCAAGAGGGCTCCTGCATTTCGATTAATTTACCTCTCAGCTCACTTGAGCTGTATTTCATCCATTCTGATGTATTTTGTTTTGTACCTGATAAAATGAAGATAAAATGGGATGGAGAGAGACTGAAGATGGGAGAGAAGTATATTTGTTTGTTTGCTGAGCATTTTAACATTGTTGGCATTAGCATTGCTCTTGCCTTGAGACATATTTAGAACAAGGGTCTTTGATTGATGCTCTCAAGACATCAGGGCAACAGAAAGTACATTGGTCCTCTACTAATTTTAGCCCTCTTTCCTAGGCGCTATGATTCTGACTCAAAGGCTGAGCTAATGCTAGCTGCTGTGTGGTTGGAGATGGCAAAAGGATGGCCAGAAGTCCAGGAATTTGAAGCCCAGACATCTGGGACTTGGCTCTGACTCCTCACCCTTGAAATGCCCATAGAACTTTTGGGGTCTAAAACTCTTGTTCACACTTGAGAAAACAGGCCCTGAGGGATGCAGGGACCTGCCCCCAGGCTGTGCACTTTGCTCACTGCCAACCTGGGACTGGATCACAGGACTCTTTCCGACCCATGTTGCCAGTCAGCCTTACATCCCTTTCCTGGTCATCATGAGAAGCCAGAGGATGGGCAAGCCTACTAAGTTCTTTTTCCAGCTACAAGTCTTCTGTCCTTCCTTGGAACCTCCTGCCTAGCGCTTTGCTGTTCCTGGGAAACTGTGACCATATTCCACTTGGTTATTTAGGCTCCTGTCTTGTCTCCTCTGCTAGACCACAAGGCTCAAGGTCAGGGCCTAAGCCTGATGTACCTCTATATTCTCCCTTCTTCTTTCAGGGCCCAGCCAGGGACTGGCATGGAGTAAAAGTTCAGCACATGCTTATTGAATAAATGAATGAATGAAAGATAACAGATATATAACAGTAAGAAATCTTTTGTGCTCAATTACATATTAAGAGTGAATTAGAATGGACTCATTTTTATACTAAATTACACTAGAATTACATTAGAATTTCAGATTTTAACAGAGAAGAAATTACAAATTTATGCATTTTCATTTGTCTGTGATGGCTAAACCCCCAGAATTAAAGGCAAGACGGTAACCTAATGTTGTCATTCTGTTTTCCCCCTGTTCTCTTGCTGCTGGACATATTGGTGAGACTATCAGTGTTTTGAAATAACATTTTGAAATACATGTCATTTGAAATACATGTCAAATTTTATGTGAGTCCATAAAGTTATGTCCCAGCTTTTTTTCTTTCCTTTCTGCTCTCACATTGTGTGGTTAATGCACCCTTTGACTGTATTGGAGGAGCAAAGTTCATTAAATGACATGAGCCCCCCTACCTAGCTAGTTTCATGGATACATGTGCTTGGCCAGTTCTGCTGAGTGCACCTGGAACAGATCCCAGGGGCGATGCCACCCTGGGTGTGGCAGGCTAGATGTGGGACAGCCTTCAGTGTGGCCTTGGGGCAGGAGAAGGCAGTGACCATGGGGGGGGAATACATCATGAAAGGGTTTATGTCAGGTAGGGTGAGCAGAGGAGAGGCCCCCATCCAGAAAACCCCACTAGGGCAGGGTCAATGGGGGCTATGCCCTGGAACTCATGTCTAGCCTTCCTGCATCCCCACAGTTTTTGGTAAAGCAGTTTAACAACCATGCCTGGCACTGGAGAATCAGTAGTTAGGAAGCAGTACAGCAGAGACAGTTAAGAGGGGAGGCCCGGGAGCCAGGTGGCAGGGCTCCCAGTCTCCATTGCCACATTTCCTATCCAAGAGATCTTGGGCAAGTTACTCAGTGTCTCTGAGCTCAGTCCCTGTTCTGTAAGCTGGAGACTAAATAGTGTCCTGCCATATAGGCATTTAATCTCTGTGCACACCTGGCACAGACCCTGGCCCATGAGAGGCACCCTGTATGTATATCTTGTGACACAGGTGGTGGTGAATGGCAGGGGTGCTCAGCATGGTGGGAATAGCAACAGCTTCTTATGAAGTACTTTGTCGGTGGCAGGCAGTATGATTGCCCTCCTCTAACCCTTGAGGAAACTGAGGCTCGGGAAAATTAGATGACTTGCTAGGGGTCACATGGCCACATCCTAGGGCTGTTGGAAGGATCCAGTAAAGTAACAATGGCCATAAAAACCAGGCCCCCAACACTTCCTTCCTTGTTCCTTCCTCTTCCAAGCCATCCAGAAGAGCAGAACTGCAGACAGGCTGCACCTCCAGCCTGCTACTTAGCTGATCTTGAATCTTACCAGGGCTTGAGGAAAGATTTTCCTAAGAAGGGACACTCTGCAGGCTGTTGGTGAACTATGTGGATCATCAGTCAGCAAGATGTCATTCCTGGGACTATAAATTGTATTTGTTTGCAGAAGGGAAAAATTATACTTAGCAAATCTTTAATGTCACATTGACTGAAACCAGCCAAGTATCTGGCTTAACACATTCTTCCCCTCCCACTGGCCTTCCTGGGGAAGGGGGTTTGGAAGCATTTACTAGGCCACAGAAAATCTGAACAGAGTCTGGAGAAGAGACAGGGGAGTCATGAAGGCCTTTGGTGAGGGGATGGGGGTTTTGTGGCTGCCAAGTATTGTTAGGTTATGAGTGTACCTTCCAGAACCAAGCTGGGATTTGTCTGGTATTTAAGGTGGGGTTCCTTTGAAGAGATAAATCAGGGCAGGTTGAAAGTTGGGGGAGGAAAGCCTAGCAGGAGGGAGGCCACATTGTCAGTCCAGTGAGAGAGACTTAGCCTCCTCCTATACAAGCAAAGGGGACAGGAGGGCTACTCCCAGGCCCCTTCCTCTCTGATAAGTCATGATTTTGTGCACTAGTTAGCAAGCCAGGGAAGATTAGTCTGTGCAGTACCCACCATCCTCCTCCTGACTCTGACAGCCCCTATTGCCTCTCTGCTGGTATGTCCTCTAGCCTCCCTGTCTCTGTTTCCTCATCTTCAAAGTAGTCTAAGTTAAGTTTGTTAAAATCAGCTTCTTTTTGGAAACTCCCTAGAGGTGGAAGAAAACAAGGAGGAACTCTGCTGAGCTATGAAGTTAACTTAGGAGGCAGGAGGTGGTACTGGTTGATAACCTAAACATGTTGAAATGAAGGGGAGGTTGGGCCAGGGCAGGCAACTGGCTTGTCCCGCCAAGGCATCAACCTTGAAGTTTCCTTGTCCTCCTACCTTGCCACATCAAGGCCCCTCTGCCCTTGGTGATTGCCTGCACACCCAGAATGCAGCATGCAGAGACCACTCCATTTGTCATGGGACCATAGCCAATTTAGGCAAATCTGTTAACCTTTCCTTGTAATTCCCAGGAGCACTGAGGAATTGTTCGGGGATGATATCCTTGGATGCACTTCAGACTTCATGGATTTTATGTTCTCTCTGATATTTCTTGTATCAGGGAGCTGAGAGGAATTGGTCTCTGAACTGATATTAATTTCTTTGTTTATTTCAAGTCCAGACAAAGAAGAGCACTGATTGGCCCTGTCCTCACAAAGCTGCAGAAGGTATTTGGCACAACCTCAAATCTGGGAGGGGCCTACCAGTTCCAAAATCCTATGTCCAGTTCAGGAATCCCCTTTCAAGAATTAATTTTGTGTTTAAATATCTCTAGGAACATGCTGCTCACTTCTTCCTAAGGCACCTGTGCCAGTTTCAGACAGTGCCAATCATTTGGAAAGTTTTCCTTCTTCTGAGCTGAAATTTATCTCCCCAAAATGTCTAACCCACATAGTCCTGGATCTGTCCTCTGTATGCACTTTCCAAATACGGCTACCATGGACCCCTCATCTTCTTGTCTCAGGGCTTATCATTAATTCGTCTTATGTCGTGATTCCAAGACCCTTCACCATCCTGTTCTCCCTCTGTTTTTTACCAGTTTCTTCCCATATATCTCATTCTGTAACCCATCTGGAATAAATTAGATTGTTCAGGGAGAGGTAAAGATTTAAGTGAATCTCCCTTCAGGTTAACATCCATACTCCCCCAGAGTACTTGCTAAATAAGCTTTCATTTCCCTGTGGTTTTCTTTTACCAGGTTTGGTTCTATTTCTAAAATAGATTTCACACGTAGCTTTACCTTTCCTTTTTAACCCCAGATTCTGTATCTTTTTTTTTTTTTGTGGATGCTGTAACAAAGTACCACAAACTTAGTGGCTTAAAGCAACACACATTTATCATCTTTCAATTCTGGAGGTCAGAAGTCTAAAATGGGTCTCACGAGGCTAAAGTCAAAGTGTTGGCAGGGATGCAGTCCTTCTGGAGTCTCTAAGAGAGAGCCCATTTCTTTGCTTTTTCTGGCTTCTAGAGGCTGCCCCCATTCCTTGGTTTGTGGCCCCTTCCTCCATCTTCAAGGCAAGTATCATAGCATCTTCAGATTTCAATTACCCCCACGCTTGCTGACTCTCTCTGACTCTGCTTCCATCATGACATCACCTACTCTTACTCTGACCCTCCCTTATGCCTCCTGCTTTTACTTATAAGAACCCTGAATCCAGGGTTACATTGGACCCACCTGGATAATCCAGAATGATCTCATTCCAACGTATAAATCCAAAATATAAATCTGCCAAGTCCCTTTTTCCTTGTAAGGTCACATATTCACAGGTTCCAAGGATTAGGACGTGGACATCTTTGGGAGGGACTGTTATTCTGCCTACCTCAGATTCCTTCTGCCTGCAAGGCCATTAGCCAAACAAACTTACCTGACTACTGATAGATTCAGCTGGGGGTTCCACTCCCATGTGCCCACCTAGGCCCTGGCTTCCCTGAAAGAGGGGTATTGCATTTTTTCGGAGAAAGTGGTGAAGCGAAAGCCACTTTGGGGCACAGATTCAGTCCTTTATGTGGAATTTGAAGCATCTCATTCCTGGAAACTCTTCATTCAGGTCTAACATGAGCCTGGCATGGGTAAGAGTTCAGTGAATGAATGACTGGCTGACTAGATAAATGAGTGACCTTCTTCCGTGTCTAGCCCCACCATCATATTTGTATAATCTTTCCACAGTTAGTTAGTGTGTCTTGGTTCTCTCTTCAGAAATGGTTGATGGTGCCCCTGCATGTGCAGATGTAATCCCAGACTCTTCAGCCCAGCCTAGTCAAGCACTCCCCCATCTGACCCTAGCTTGCTGGTCCAGCTTCACCTCTTACTGCACTCATCCACGTGCTCTGCCCTCTAGCCTCACTGGCCTGAGCCGGAATAGTAGCAACAAGCATGTGCAGAGTGCTTGCCCAGTTCCAGGCCATGTTCTGAGGGCTTTATGTACATTAACTCACTTAACCCTTGCCACAACCCTATAGGCAGGTACTCATGACTTTCATGGGAGTCTAGAAGAGGTTCCATGACCCACTGAAGTTTAAGAACCTCTGATCTAGAGAATTTCCTCTAGGTGGAAAGTGGGTGGAGCCTGGTTGAGTGTCAGCTCCCCTATCTCCTGTGGGGCCTGCACTGAGCCAGCACAGGGCATGGGGCTCTGAGACCTAAAGACCCAACAGTTATGGGGCTCCTTAGCGGGGTACCAGAGACACTGATCTGGGACGAGCCCACACTGCAGTGCAGGATGACCTATTGCTACCCTGACTATGGAGACTAGGGGAAAGGACAGCAGGGGTGGGGGAAGGGTGTGTGGTGAGGGCAGGAGATAGTCAAGGCATAGTTGATGAGGTCAGGGCAGTAAGACAAAGGCACAGAGGATATAGGACAGAGTAACAGAGAACATTTTGAGAGGTGGTCTATTACAATTGTTAAAATCATAGACTCCGAAGCCAAACTGCCAAAGTTGGAATCCTGGCTCTGCTCACTGCTTATTAGCCATGGACCCAAGTAGGTTACTGTACTGCTCCAATCCTGTTTTCTTATTTGATTTGTAAAATAGAGATAGTTATGCAGTCATGCTTCACTTAAATACAGGGATACATTCTGAGAAATGTGTCATTGGGCAATTTTGTCCTTGTGTGAACATCCTATAGTGATTTACACAATCCTCTATGATGTAGCCTACCACTCACCTAGGCTATGTGGTAGAGTCCATTGCTCCTAGGCTATAAACCTATAGAGCAGGCTATTGTCCTGAATACCATAGGCAACTGTAACACAGCAATAAGTATTTGTGTCTCTAAAAATATAAAAGGTACAGTAAAAATATGATATTATAATCTTATGGGACCACGGTTGTATATGCGGTCTGTCATTGCCCGACTCCCGTGAAAGCCATGAGATCCTCTTCCTGGATAAAATGCTCATGCACACATACCTACTGTAGATAATCGCTGGGAGTTCCTGGTGCCCTGAAGTCCTCCCCAGGGAAGGAAAGCTGATATTTACAGAACCCCTTCTGGGCACCAGTCATTGCAGAGAGCCTTTCAGATGCATTTTTTCATTGAACCCTCTCAGCCCCACAGGAAGCAGACCTTTGACAGCCTGCCCTAAGTCTCGCACACAGGCAGTGAGAGAGGTGGTAGGCACTTGCAGCCCGGACCTCCAGTCTATAAATTCTTGCTTGCCCCAGTCCTTACCTCAGAAGCTGGAAAACTGTAGGTATCTGCCCTGTAGATGAGGGACTGGCTACAACAGGGCAGCAGTGACCCTCTGGTTATCTCCACAGAACCCTGGGAAGGAATCTGGGAAGTAACCGTGGCTGTTAGCCAGGACACTGGGGACCCTAAGCCTGAACCAGCTGTGGCCCAAGTGTAGAGTGGCTGGGGGATGGGCTGGCAGCAAGCCTGTTGGAGCAGAGGGGCCCGGATGCTGGGAGGAAGCAGATAGTGGCCAGAATGGGATTTCCTGAGATGCTTGCAAGGTCAGGGAGGAGGGCCTGAAGCCAGGGCAGAATGAGGGGCCTTGTTGGGGGAGGGCATTGACTCTGTTTACCAGGGCCCTTGTTAGTTTTGGGGTTCCTGGATTACCTTTGCTGGATTGAGAAAGGTCGGAAAACTGGAAAGGATGCATGATCACCCAAGATCAAGAGGTGTGAGGTCTGGGTCTGTCCCTGCTCCTAGCGTGTTGGGTCACTTTAGGTGGTCCCTTCCTCTCATTGAGCTGCAGGTCTCTATCTGTCCTATAATTAGGCCATCTCCAAGGGCTTCTCCCTAGTTGTGACATCTTCAATTCTAGGATCTTTGTCTCAGCCTCAGTCACTGACCTGGGACAGTCTTAACTTACTTGAGTCTACCAAGGAATTTATCTGTGACAGAGCAAAAGTTTACATCATTAACAATTCAACAGACATTTACCAAGGGCATCTGTTTTCCAGGCACTGGGCTGGGTGCTATGGCTCCAGCAAGGAGGCCAACCCTGCTTCTGTCTATGGAAAGCTCCCAGCTAGGTGGGAACAACTGGCATATAAAACAAGCATCAAGACACTGCACATATACCTTGGGCTCTAATAGTCATCTCCATTGTGTGCCCAGGAGCACATCCCTAAACATCCCTGATTTGAGTACAGAGCTGGCCCACCCATCCATCGGGAGTGGGTACAGACAAACACCATGAGGAGAAAGTGAGGAGGGAGCTACGTGAATGCCATCTCTGCTGGAGACTCTCAGGCAAAGAGGCTGGAGTAAGAAGCAGCACTGAAGTGACATACCTTGCAAGGCTGTTATTGGACTGGAATGAGAGGATTTCTTTTCCTGATCAGAGCCTGGCCAAGGCAGACACTCCATGAAAGATGGCTATTATTATCTCCATTTCACTGACAACAGAGGCCCAGTAAGGTTTGTGGTTGCCTGTCTAAGATTCCAGAGGAGATTAACAGCAGAACTCAGATTTTCACCCAGACTGGACCAGTTTCCAAGCCCACACACATTTTTCCTCATACGACTTGGCTAGTTCTAAAATTATATATATCTCATTCGAGTGAAAGATTCTTCAGCATCATTAATTTTCAAAAGTATGTGTGGGTCCTGAGGGCAATTTGCCAAGAGAAGGTTGTCTTTGCCGGCCCTTGCCCCTGAAAGCCCTTGGTCCATGCCCACCTTAAAGCTGGTTCCAGGCCTCCGGATAACATGGATTTCCCCTTTGTACACATGCGCATGCGTGAGTACACACATACATGTACACATGCATACACACACCACCTTGCTTCCTACGTTTTTTCCTCGGCAGACAGTGGAATGCTCATTAGTTGCAGTGCTCTACCCATGATAAAGGTAGCTGGTTTCAGACAGGTGTGCCAATTCCCATCTGGCTTCTTCCTTTCTGTCCTCAGTGGTACCTGAGGTTCACCAGGCTCCCCTCATTCCTTAGGGAGATCATTAACCATCCTAAGCCTAGACACATCACTTGTCAGGCAGCCACAGATGAGAGTTGGGAGAAGCCTATGCGAGGCATAGTGGGGAGGGTTAGGGGCCCAGTCCCCAACTGTCACCAACTCATGGTCTGACCTTGGGCAGGGCCATTCTGTATCCTGGGCCTTGAAATGTGTATGTGTACATTAAGGTACTAAGACTGGAGCAGTGACAGCAAAACTCTTTTCTGGCATTCTAGGGTAGTACCTTGGGGGAGCAAGGGTAAGGCCAAGGATGTGGCTTCACTAAAGAAACAGATTGATCTTTAGACGATGAAAGCCACTGGGCTGGGTAACCTCCAATGGCCTTTCCATCCCTGACATCCCATGATTGTATATGTGTGTGTGTATGTGTGTGTGTTTAAGAGCAAAAGATTGATTTATTTTGGGGTGTTTGTACATTGCATGTGTGCTTAGGATGCGTGAGTGTATTCATGCTGTGTCTCCTTCCCTGAACCTCCTGACTAGGAGTGCCAATCTCCTGCCCCCCACAGTCACCATCACGTTACCCTATATTTTGTCCTCATGACACTTATTATCAAATTATTATTTATAACATTTATTGTAAAGTCATAATGTACTTGTTGATTTCTTTATTTTCTCTCTTCTCCAACTAGAATGCCTTTTCTCAGAGAGCAGGGGCTATGTTGGCTTTGCCCATCACTTTGTCCTTAGCAACCAGCAGAGTGGCTGGTTCATAGGAGATGTTGATGAGTAAATATTTGTGGGTTCAGAAGATTTATGGGTCAGGTATGCCTCTCTGTGTTTGGGAGGTATGGGTGTACTAGGTGGTCAGGGTGCTACTCTGAACCTGGCAAACCTAGACTTGGCCTTTGTCTGAATCTTGAACCAATCCCTAGTTCTGATTGCTGCTTGTTCCTTCAGCAGAAGGCTCCATTGGCCGGAGAGAGCAGCAGACAGGGATAGCAATCAGGAAAGTAGAGGAGGGAGGTAAAGGGGTTAAAGTTTTGCACCCTTACTCTCTTGCCTTTACTTAGCTGGGAGTCCTCCACTGGACTTTTCTTCTGTGCTCCATATTAGCCATTCTCAAAAACTCTTCTCGATTTGAGGCTTCTTGTAGCTACAGCTTGTGCGGAGTGGGGATGAGGTTTGTAAGAAAGAAAAGAGCCTTCTTATATGCTGCTGTGTTGGTTCCTTGGCCTCACACTCAGCACGTTTGGGCACCAACTCCCAGGACATTGTCCTAGGCAGGTGGCCTTCCTCGTTTCGGGACAGTTTTCATTGGACTGACTGACTGGTCAGCCTGAGGCGAGCACTCCTGAGCTGAAATCCTGTTAACAAATGCAATGTGGGCTTGTAACTTGAAACCTTTCTCCACTCAAACTAGAGTGTCCCCCACAAATAACTAGCAAACTGCTAGACGTGTCTAGACTGCTAGACATGCTAGGCCATAGGGAAGGAAGTCAAGACAGTCATCCTTTCCATGCATCCTTCTGGTGGCCCTAGTAAGGACAGGAGAACACTGTGCTTCCAGAGTTTACTGAAAGATGGGGTCACTGAGTAACATTTGGGCCCTTTGGGTCACAGACTGTGAGACCGAGTTCATCATGTTTGGCCTTCCCCAGAATGTATTCATATAGGCTGCACAGTGTAGGAGAAGAGGCATTGGTTCACACTCAGGAGAGAGACCATGATGGGCATGCAATTTCAAGTCCTGGCCCCAACACTGACCAGCTCTGTGACCTTGGGCAATTTCCTTCACCTCCCCAGGCCTCCATTTCCTCATTTAATGAGTGAAGAAAACAAGACCTGTCTCTCAGGGCTGTTTTTGAGGATTGATTCCTATGTATTAGATGCACTTAACCCAGCACAGTTCTGAGCGAGGCCAGACATGAAGTGTTGGATTAGTCCGATTATGGCAATATGTTCCACACTCAGAGATGGAACCAAGACAGCTGTGCCATCCATTGTTACTATCAGAGGTTAACGAGTGTCACAAACACAGTGGGCTCTTCCTGTAGTGTACTCCATCAACTCTGGTCAGAGAACAGAGTTCCACAATTTGGGGAGCTCATCCCTGAACTGGTGGGGTGATACAGCTTCCTTAAAATGGTCGTGAGCTTTGTGTGTATAAATTCATATGTATATGTGAACATTAAGCCATTCTAGGATCACCCGTCAATAGTACCATCTGAGGACTTTCAGCTTTTTTATCGTTCACTAGCTACAACATTTCATTCTGTGGATGCAACAGTGCATCATTACCTGGAGGTAGAAGGAGCAGGTAACAATTTTTTGTTGATAGTATAATTTTCATTGTTAAGAAAGCAGAGTAAGTGACTTTAGCTTTAATCATTACAAGGGCTTCTCTACATAGGTGACATTCCAGCTAAGCAGCCATTGGGAGATAAATCTGAGGATCTGCTCTGAGGGCAATGGTGCTAAGGAGGGTGTCAGAGTCCTGGGGTTGAGTCCCAGTATATCATTTGCTGCTCTTGTTACTGAGCATGACTTACATGTAGGTAGCACCCTCCAGGCCAGAAAGAGCCTTCAATGTGGTCTTCACAACAGTTTGGGGAGGCAGGCAGGTCAAAAAATGATTCTATTCCTCATTGTTTTCCAGATGAGGAGGGAAGAGGAGCTGCAGGGAGTTTGAGTGACTTATCCAAGGTCCCTGCAGCTGATTGGTAGTGAGGGCAGGGGGTGGTGTTTGAATCACTGCTGTGGAGACCTCAGCAGCATTTAAATTGTGCTGAGAATCTATATCTCTGTTTTGGTACCAGTACCATGCTGTTTTGGTTACTGTAGCCTTGTAGTATAGTTTGAAGTCAGGTAGCGTGATGCCTCCAGCTTTGTTATTTTGGCTTAGGATTGACTTGGCAATGCGGGCTCTTTTTTTGGTTCCATATGAACTTTAAAGTAGTTTTTTCCAATTCTGTGAAGAAAGTCATTGGTAGCTTGGTGGGGATGACATTGAATCTATGAATTACCTTGGGCAGTATGGCCATTTTCACGATACTGATTCTTCCTATCCATGAGCATGGAATGTTCTTCCATTTGTTTGTGTCCTCTTTTATTTCATTGAGCAGTGGTTTGTAGTTCTCCTTGAAGAGGTCCTTCACATCCCTTGTGAGTTGGATTCCTAGGTATTTTATTCTCTTTGAAGCAATTGTGAATGGGAGTTCACTCATGATTTGGCTCTCTGTTTGTCTGTTATTGGTGTATAAGAATGCTTGTGATTTTTGCACATTGATTTTGTATCCTGAGACTTTGCTGAAGTTGCTTATCAGCTTAAGGAGATTTTGGGCTGAGACGATGGAGTTTTCTAAATATACAATCATGTCATCTGCAAACAGGGACAATTTGACTTCCTCTTTTCCTAATTGAATACCCTTTATTTCCTTCTCCTGCCTGATTGCCCTGGCCAGAACTTCCAACACTATGTTGAATAGGAGTGGTGAGAGAGGGCAACCCTGTCTTTGTGCCAGTTTTCAAAGGGAATGCTTCTAGTTTTTGCCCATTCAGTATGATATTGGCTGTGGGTTTGTCATAAATAGCCCTTATTATTTTGAGATACGTCCCATCAATACCTAATTTATGGAGTTTTTAGCATGAAGGGCTGTTGAATTTTGTCAAAGGCCTTTTCTGCATCTATTGAGATAATCATGTGGTTTTTGTCTTTGGTTCTGTTTATGTGCTGGATTACGTTTATTGATTTGCGTATGTTGAACCAGCCTTGCATCCCAGGGATGAAGCCCACTTGATCATGGTGGATAAGCTTTTTGATGTGCTGGTGGATTCGGTTTGCCAGTATTTTATTGAGGATTTTTGCGTCGATACTCATCAGGAATATTGGTCTAAAATTCTCTTTTTTGGTTGTGTCTCTGCCAGGCTTTGGTATCAGGATGATGCTGGCCTCATAAAATGAGTTAGGGAGGATTCCCTCTTTTTCTATTGATTGGAATAGTTTCAGAAGGAATGGTACCAGCTCCTCCTTGTACCTCTGGTAGAATTCGGCTGTGAATCCGTCTGGTCCTGGACTTTTTTTTGGTTGGTAGGCTATTAATTATTGCCTCAATTTCAGAGCCTGTTATTGGTCTATTCTGGGATTCAACTTCTTCCTGGTTTAGTCTTGGGAGGGTGTATGTGTCCAGGAATGTATCCATTTCTTCTAGATTTTCTAGTCTATTGGTGTAGAGGTGTTTATAGTATTCTCTGATGGTAGTTTGTATTTCTGTGGGATCCGTGGTAATATCCCCTTTATCATTTTTTATTGCGGCTATTTGATTCTTCTCT
Organism: Homo sapiens; assembly: GCF_000001405.40. Taxonomy (NCBI): domain Eukaryota; kingdom Metazoa; phylum Chordata; class Mammalia; order Primates; family Hominidae; genus Homo; species Homo sapiens. Next base: position 150,105,334 of record NC_000023.11, read on the forward strand.
CTTTTCTTCTTTATTAGTCTTGCTAGTGGAACTTAAAGTATATTAAGAAAAAAGAAACACAATAATTATAGTTGATATTAAAACATAAATGGCAAAATAATTATAATTTCTGAAGTTTAAAAAAAATTGTGCTGAGAATCTCATACTGAACTTAAAAACAAGGTTGTCTGCCAGCAGCACCCAAGCAGCTGCAGGAATAACTCTTGAAGAAGTCTGCCCAGTACACAGCATCCACCAGAGCATCTTTTCACTGGTCATTTGAATATTCTCTTTTGTAATGTGTTTGCTAAGCCATTTTGCTACTTTTTCTGTTGGGTTGTTTGCCTTTTTCGTATTGACCTGTAAGACCCTTTATATATCCTGGAATATTAGTCTCTTAGTTTCTTTTATGTGTTACAAAATCTTCTGCCAAACTGTGGGATGAACACCATTAATGAATCAATACCAGTATGAATACCATTAATAGTTGTTTATAGTTCTTTTTTAATTCTGAGATGAAATTTGCATATAATGAAATGCAGAAATCATAAGTATTCAATGTGACAAGTTTGGAAAAATACATACTCCTGTATAACCAAGCCTTTACTGAGAATTAGAATCTTACCATCGTCCTGGAAAGTCCTCTCGTGTTCCTTCCCAGTCTATCTGGGCTCCCACTTCCATAGACAACCAATGTTCCATTTGTTTTCTGTTATAGACTAGACTGACCTGTTCTATAATTTTATATAAATGAAGTCATACAGTATATGCTATTTTATAAGTGTTTTTTCCATTCAAAGTGTTTTTGAAATTCACCCATGTTGCTACATATATCAGTAGTTTGTTTTTTATTTCAGAGATGTCATCCATTGTATGAATTTACCACAGTTAGTTTGTCCATTCTCTTATTGATGGACACCTGGGCTGTTAACAGATTTTGGCTTTTGTGAATAAAGATGCTATGAGTATCCTTTCATAAAACTTTTCGTGGACATTTGTTTTCATTTCTCCTTGGAAAATACCTAAAAATGGAATTGCCTGGTCATAGAGTAGGTATATGTTTAAGTTTATAAGAAAATGCAAGCTAGTCCAGTTTTGGAAGTGGTTGCACCATATAACATACCCACCAGTAATGTGTAAGGTTCCAATTACTTCATATCCTTGCCAACATTTAGTGTATTTATTCTTTTAAATTTTAGCCATTCAGGTGGGTGTAATGATATGGCTCATTGTGTTTTTTTTAAAATTATTTTTCCATAAGTTATTGGAGGTACAGGTGGTATTTGTACATAAGTTCTTTTTTTTTTTTTTTTTGAGATGGAGTTTCGCTTTTGTTGCCCAGGCTGGAGTGCAATGGCGTGATCTCAGCTCACTGCAACTTCTGCCTTCTGGGTTCAAGTGATTCTTCTGCCTCAGCTTCCCAAGTAGCTGGGATTACAGGTGCCCACCACCACGCCCAGCTAATTTTTTTTTTTTTTGTATTTTTAGTAGAGATGGAGTTTCACCATGTTGGCCAGGCTGGTTTGAACTCCTGACCTCAGGTGATCCGCCCACCTCAGCCTCCCAAAGTTTTGGGATTACAGGCGTGAACCACCACGCCCAGCCATGAGTAAGTTCTTTAGTGGAGATTTGTGAGAACCTGGTGTACCCATCACCCGAGCAGTATACACTGCACCATATTTGTTGTCTTTTATCTCTTGCCATTGTATCATTCTTATGCTTTTCATCCTCATAGCTTAGCTTCCACATATCAGTGAGAACATAGAGTGTTTGGTTTTCCATTCCTGAGTTACTTCAGGTTTTGATTTGTATTTTTCTAATGACTAATGATAGTGGTGAGCATCTTTTCACATGCTTATTAGCCATTTGTATATCTTATTTCATAAAGTGTCCATTAAATATTTTGTCTCTTTTTATTGAGTTGTTTTTATTGTTGAGTTTTAGAAATTTTTTTGTAATATCCTAGATACCAGTCCTTTGTCAGATATATATTTTGCAAATACTTTCTCCCAGTCAGTGACTCATCTCTACATTTTCTTAATGATGTCTTTTCAAAAATAGACTTTATTGCTTAGAACAGTTTTAGATTTATAGAAAAATGAAAAGATAGTACAGAGAGTTCCCATATACCTCCCACCCAGTGTCCCCTAAAATTAATATCTTACATTGTACAGTACATTTGTGACAATTAATAAACCCAGATCAATACATTATTATTAACTAAAATCCATACTTTATTCATATTTCCTTAGTCTTTACCCAGTATCTTTTTTTCTATTTCAAGATCCCATTCAGGATACTATATTAATATCATTTAGTTGCCATGTCTCCTTAGGATTCTCTTTGCTGTGACATTTTCTCTGGCTTTTCTCTTTTTTTTTTGATGACATTGATAGTTTTAAAGAGTACTGGTCGGCTATTTTGTGGGATGCCCCTCTTGGGATTTATCAGATGTTTTTCTTGTGATTAGTCTGAATTTATGGGTTTATGGAAGGAATAGCACAGAGATAGAGTGCCATCTTCATTACATCATATCAACATGACTTATCACTGTTGATGTTGACCTTGATCACTTGGCTAAAGTAGTTTGTCAGGTTTCCCCACAATAACCTTATTCTTTTTCCCCTCTTCCATACTCTACTCATAGAAAGGAAGTTACTATGAGCAGCCCACGCTTAAGGAATAGGAAATTATGCTCTCCCTGAAGTTGTTGTTGTTGTTGTTGTTGTTGTTGTTGTTGTTTTTGTTTTTTGAGACAGGGTCTCACTCTGTCTTCCAGGCGGGAATGCAGTGGCAGGATCATAGCTCACTGTAACCTCGAACTCCTGGGCTCAAGCGATCTTCCCATTTTAGCCTCTCAAGTAGCTAGGACTATGGGTATGCACCACCACACCCAGCTAATTTTTTTAATTTTTAGTAGAGACAGGATCTCACTGTGTTGCCTAGACTGGTCTCAGACTCCTGGCCTCAAGCAATTCTCCCACCTCAGCCTCCAAAAGCGCTGGGATTATAAGCGTGAGCTACCACACCTGGCATGACAAGGTCTTATTTATAAGTTTTTATTTTCTTTTATGGTTATTGTGTCCTTTCCGTTCCCAAGAAAGCTTTGCTTACCCAAGTCATGAAAATATTTTCAGCCTATACCTATGTCAAACACAAAAATTAAAGATGTTTCACAAAAATAAACATAAAAGTTAAAACCATGAAGCTTTTAGAAGAAAACATAAGAATTAGGATTATGCTGGACTCATCAAACAAATTGGAAGAGTCACCTCGTCTATTTTCTGAAACTGTTTGGGTAAAATTGGTGTTATTTCTTCCTTAAATGTCTGATGACAAACACCAGTGAATTCTTTAGCTCTGGAGCTTTTTTCCTGGGAAGGAATGTTTTTGATGATATATTCTATTTATTTAATTAGATATGAAATGCAGATTTTTCTGTTTCATCTTGTCTCCAATTCAGTAAGTTATTGTTAAGAAATGTGTTTACTTTATCCAAGTTGTCAAATTTGTTGGAATAAAGCTGTTTATAATATTTTATTATATTTTTAATGTTGTAGGATCTTTAATGATCTCAGGCTTTTCTTGTTTTTGATGATCATCTTTTATTCCTGTTAGTGCTAATTTGCATTCTCTTTTTTCTTGATTAGTCGAGGTAGAGGAGCATCAATTTTTGCTGGTTTTGTTAATTTTCTCAGTTTTTTTCTGTTTCATTGACCTTTGCTCTTTTTATTATTTCTTAACTTCTACTTACTTTGGATTTACTTTCCCATGATTTTCTAGTTTCTTAGAGTGGAATCCTAGGTCATTAATTTTAGGCCATTCTTCTTTTCTAATATAAACATTTAAAGTTACAACTTTTTTCTCTAAGTGCTGCATCACTTGCTTCCCACAAATTTTAATATGTCGTGTTCTTATTGTCATTTAGTTCAAAATATTTTCTAATTCTCTTTATGCTTTCTTCTTTGGCCCATATGTTATTTAAAAGTATATTGTTTAATTTTCAAAGGTTCCATTTTTCTGGCTATCTTGTTATTGACTTCTTGTTAATTCCATTGTGGTCTGAGAACACATTCTATATTTTATTTCTGTCAAATTTACTTACACATGGTTTATGGCGTAGCATAAACCTATCTTGGTGAAGGTACTATGTATATTTGGAAAAAAAATGTGTATTCTTCTCTCGATGGATATAGTGTTCTATAAATATTAGTTAAGTCAAGTTGGTCAGTAATGTTATTTAGATCATCTAAGTCTTTACTAATTTTTGTCTAGCTCCTTTATCTGTAGCTGAGAACAAGTTGTTAAAATCTCCAGCTATGTTTTCTCTCCTTAATTCTCCCAATTTTACTTTATTTTGAAGTTCTGTTATTATACCACATACACATTTATGAATACTGTCTCTTCCTGATGAAGTAATTCTTTATTCATTATGAAATGCTTCTCTTTACCTTTAATAACACTCTTACTTGAAGTCTGCTTTACCTGATTTAATATCAAATAGCCACGGAAGCCTTCTTGTACTTACTGTTTACATACTATAAGCCCTTCTCCATCCATTTGTTTTTAGCCAATCTCTATTTTTATATTAAAATACATATCTCCTAGAAAGCACATGATAGTGTCTTGCTCTTTTTCTCCATTCTGACATTCTGCCTTTTAATTCAAATTTAGTCCATGTTTATTAACATTTAACATAATTATTGATATTTCAGATTTAAATCTTTATTCACTAGTTGTTTTCTGCTTTCCCCCTCTGTTTTTCCCATATTCCTCTTTTTCTGCCTTCTCTTGGATTATTTGAATGTATTGTAGATTTTTATTATATTTATTTGATTTTAGCTGTGCCTCTTTGCATCATTTTTAGTGTTGTTCTAGGGATTACAATGTATATTAATAACTTGCCACAATTTACTTAGAGATAATATTGTACCACTTCATGTCAATTGTGGAAACCTTGCAACTATATTCCTCCCAATTTTATGCTATATTGTTTATGTATTACAACTTACTGACATTTTACATTCCACCATATGATGCTACAGTTTTCACTTTGAACAGTAATATGTATTTTACATAGATTAAGAAGAACAGTAGTGTTTTATATCTACCCATTTCCAATGCTCTTCATTTCTTCCTGTAGATCCAAACTTCCACCTGGTATCACTTCCCTTCAGCCTGAAGAACTTTGTTCAAAATTTCTTGTAATGCATATCTGATGGATATTAATTCTCTGGGTTATCTTTTATGTAAAATGCCTTCATTTAACCTTTATTCTTGGTTTTTGCTAGATATATAATTCTGGACAGTTTTCTTTCAGCACTTTAAAGATGTTGGTCCGTGGTCTTTGGACCCTCATTGTATGTCGTATGTCATAAGCAGTTACTTGAATTGTGGTTCCTCTGAATCTTACTTTCCTCTAGCTTCTTTAAGACATTATCTTTGTTTTTTAGTAGTTTGTCTGTGATGTGCCTAGCTGTGATTTGCTTTGTATTCATTTTACTTGGGACTCGCTGAACGTCTTTAAATCTGTGATTTTATGTCTTTCATCAAATTGGGGGAGTTTACTGCTGTCATTTTTTTCAAATACAATTTTTCTGGTTTATTTTCTCTCTTTTCCTTCTATGACACTAACTACATTTGTTTTAGATATTTTTATAATATTCTATAGGTTCCTGAGCCTCTGTTATTTTTTCTTCTTTGTTCTTCAGAATGGATAATTTCTATTGATCTTCATGTTTTCTGACTCTTCTGTCATTTCTAGTTTGTTGTTAAGCCTATCCAGTGAATTTTTAATTCAGATATTATATGTTTCAGCTCTAGAATTTCCACTTAGTTCTTTATTATAATTTTTACATTTCTTTTCTGATATTTTCTGACTTTTCATTCATTATAAGCATATTTTCCTTTATGCCCTTCAGCATATCTATAATAGCTGCTTTTAAAATCCTTGTCTGCTAATTCCAACATTTGAATCATCTTAGGGCTACTTTTAGTTGATTGCCTTTTCTCTTGAGTTTTCCTCATGCTTTTCTGGTTCTTCATATGTGTTGGGACCCTGGTTTTGCTCTTTTCCTTGGAAGAGTGTTGATTTTTGTTTTGTTATATTGATTTTACTTATGTTTTGTTTTGTTTTGTTTGTGTTAGCTGGCAACTAGACTGGCTGGACTCAAACTGCAAGTTATTTCTCCTCTACAATGGATAACAGCTCAAATAACATTTCAGTTTTTTTAGTCTTAGCTGTTCTCCTTAGAGTCTGTCACACACATGCATGGTTTGGGGTCAGCAGAGAGTTGGATGTAGTTTATACATAGGATTTGATGCTCTTTCTTTCTGGCTTTCTCATTTTGGAGGATTTCCTCCTTACTTCGCAGTAGTTGTGTTTGCTATGAACTCTGTACTCTAGTTCTTCAATACAGAAAGACTACAGCTTTTCCACTACAGTTTAAGTTGCTCTGCATGGTACAGTCTGGGTCCTGTCCTCAAGCTAAACACCAGAAAAGTAATGGGAAACTGACCCAGTGCCATTTTCTTCTTCCAAGTGTTGACCCCCCTCCACTATCTGCCTGCTTTTGATCCCTCCACACTGCCTTCAAGTAGTGTATTTATATTTTGTTTTGTTTTTCTCCAGAGTTCATAGTTTTAATCTGTAGTGAGATAGGGTCAATAGGAGCTTACTTGTCTATTGCTGGAAGTAGAATCTGTAGCTTGTTTTTTTCCCCTTCTTAGTCATATTATTTTATTAATAAAAATTCTTAATTTAAATGTGGTCAAGTCTATTTTTCATTTGTGATTCTTTTCTTAAAATCTTATGCAGGGAAGTGTTTCCTACCCCCAAATTATTCATACATTCTCTTATATAATCTTTCTTACAATTTGCCTTATACATTTAGTTTTCTTTAGTCCTGTTGGAATTGATTTTTTACTTGTTTTAAAATAATTTTTTTAAAAGTATTTTAGAATAGGTTTAGATTTAGGGAAAAGTTGTAAAGATAGTACAAGGAGTTATAATAAACGCTGAATCCAGTTTTACCTATTATTATCATCTTACATAAGTATGGTATATTTCTCACAATCAATAAACTAATATATTAATACATTGTTATTAACTAAAATCCATACTTAAATATTTCCTTTGTCATACATCAAGTCTCAATGTATGTATACATCTGTTTCTGGACTTTACATTCTGTTTCCTTGTTCTATTTGTCTGTCCCTGAGACAATACCACACTGTCTTAATTACTATAGCTTTATAATAAATCTTGATATCTAGTAGAGCAAGTTTCCCCCCTTTTTCTTCCTTCAAGAATACTTTAGCTATACTTGACTTTTCACATATATATTTTAGAAGCAGCTTGTTAAGTTGCACACATACACACACAACTCTCAGGATATGTCATTGAATTAATAAATCAGTGTGGAAACTACTGACATCTTTATAATAGTGACTCTTCCTATTCGTGAACATTGTAAATCTTTCCATTTGAATAGATCTCTTCGGTAGATTTATTCCTAAGTATTTAATTTTTATGTCAATGTACATACTATCTTTCCCCAGTAATGTTTTAATTAATAATTGGCTGGATCAATGAATGAAAACTGTATGCTAGGCCCTGTGAAGAATATTGAAGGCAAAGGAGAGGAAGGAATTATTTTTGAGTGCCAAAAACCTGCCAGGTATTATTACTGATGCTTTGCTTTTTTCTCAGCTAATAATTGCAGCAACTGTGCCAGCATCCTATTATATTCTGCCATGTACAGATGAGAAAACTGAGTCTCTGAGACAGTTAAGGAACTTGTCTAAGGTAATGAAGCCAGGAAGTGGTAGAGCTGGTGTTGATATCTAGGTTTGCCTGATTGTAGTGTGCATGGTCTGTCCACTCGAACATCCTGTCTCCAGATAATTCAATCATACCCCTTACTATGGACCTTAACTATTTTTGTGTGGGAAAAGGGCAGGATATAAAATGTGTATCCAGGCAATAAGGTTGAGGACTGCAGCTGCAGTAATACAGACATTCTGAGGAAACAGTCACTTTGAGCTGAAGGGCTCTGCAAGACAGGCTTCCTGTAAGAGGAAACATTGTCACTAAATTTTTCAGACTGGAGAGAATTTGGACATGCAGTAGTGGAAGGTCACAGATGCCTGGGATATTAAAAAGACCATCTCCAGGGCAATGAATGCTGAGAATATCTGACTTGAACCCCAGCATTCAGAAGCCACAGGAGGAAGTGAAGTGAAAAACTTACACCTTTGTATATGAACTAATGAGGCAGGGCTGTGGACTCCCTTCTCATAGCTTTCCTGAGGGTCCATGGTATCTCAGGCTTTAGACCTACCTCTTTTCCTCTTGGATACAGAAGCAATGAAATGGAATGGGCGGTTGGCTCCCGCAAATGACAGTGACTTTGCTTATGGTGACTTTTTTGGACACTGCAGGCAGCATCCAGCAAGAGAAAGCAGGGAGGAGCTGACAGAGCCCTCATCACTGCTTCCCTGACAGGAGGTAGGGGAAGCAAAAAAGAGCCTCTGAGGGGAAGCTCACCTCTGCTCGGACCCACCACAGTTACAGCACCTGTCCAGCTTTCTGTAGCACTTGAAGGTAATCAGATCCTACAGTTTGGTGTTCAAGGCCACAACACCTGGTCCCAGTCCATCTTGCCAGTCTTCTATGTTTCCTCTTTCTCCATCACTCATGTAGTCTATGCATGGGCCACACTCAATCATTCTGCATTTCCTGTAGTTCCCTACTTGTGGGACATTGCTCATACTATTTCTTTGGCCAGAGACCCTTCCCCATCTTCACCCTCATTCATGTGTTCAGCAAATCTGTATTGAGTACTACACGCCAGGTACTCTGCGGGTTCCATGGGGACTTCTGAGAATTTAGGACTCCTTTCTCTTCAGGAGCAAGTGCGCTGCCTACTGAGGGGATAAGACATGTACACATAACTAGACTCCAAGGTGAAAGGGACAAACACACACATCCATCTGAGGAAAACTGCATCTTCCTACAAGCTTTCTCAGCACCTCTTCAGAATCCAGTGTGCTAAGTTTGCTCAAAATGGCAGTGCTGGAGGAAGAATTCACGTTGTCTTCAGTAGTCCTGAGCGCGGGGCCTGAAGGACTCCTAGGCATGAAGCAGAGTGACAAAACAGACCAGTTTCTAGTGACAGACAGTGGCAGAACCGTGATCCTCTATAAGGTTTCTGATCAGAAACCCTTGGGGAGCTGGTCAGTGAAACAGGGTCAAATTGTAACATGTCCAGCTGTGTGCAACTTTCAAACTGGAGAGTATATTGTTGTACACAATAATAAGATTTTAAGAATCTGGAATAATGAAGATGTAAACCTGGATAAAGTATTTAAAGCTACATTGTCAGTTGAAGTATATAGGAAACTTTCAGTGCAAGGGTCAGAACCCTTGGTGCTCTTCAAGGAAGGTGTTCGTGGTTTAGAGGCCTCGCTTGCAGGCCCCCAGCAGAAAATTGAAGCTGTTATCTCTGATGAAGTGATTAAATGGACAAAGTTTTTCATAGTATTCAGACATCCTGTTTTAATTTTTATTACTGAAAAACATGGAAATCACTTTGCTTATGTGCAAATGTTTAACTCACGTATCTTAACCAAATATACACTCTTAGTTGGACAAGACAAAAACTATTTTATAGAGAGTTTTACTGCATTGGTAGATCAGAAATTCATCTCTTTGACGTCATTAAGCTCTGATGGTTGTATATATGAAACCTTGATGCCAATACGTCCAACTGACCCAGAAAAAAATCAGAGCTTAGTTAGATCACTGTTGCTCAAGGCTGTTGTGTCTGGTAACACTTGAAATGGAGTTGCACTCACTGCGCTGGATCAGGATCACGTCACAGTCCTAGGAAGTCCACTAGCAGCTTCTAAGGAATGCCTCTCTGTATGGAACATAAAATTTCAAACACTACAGACTTCAAAAGAGTTACCACAAGGGACCAGTGGTCAACTCTGGTATTATGGGGAAAATGTGTTTATGCTACGTGGAAAATCTCTGTGATTCCATACAACTGTGAAGTGTCATCATTAGCAGGTGCTCATGGAAAACTCAAGCATAGTCAAGATCCAGGAACTCATGTCGTGCCCCATTTTGTAAACTGGGAAACACCTCAAGGATGTGGACTTGGGTCCCAGAACTCAGAGCAGTCAAGAAGAATTTTAAGGAGACGAAAAATTGAAGTGAGTTTACAGCCAGAGGTATCACCATCCAAACAACTTTTGTCAACCATAATGAAAGATTCAGAGAAACATACTGAAGTAGAAGTATGGAAATTTTTGGCTCTGAAGCAGACCCCTGACTTTCATACTGTCACTGGGGACACAGTAACAGGACTTCTGGAAAGGTGTAAAGCAGAACCATCATTTTATCCCCGGAACTGTCTGATGCACCTTATCCAAATGCATGTGCTTTCTTACAGTTTGTGCCCTGACTTAATGGAGATTGCCTTAAAAAAGAAAGATGTACAGTTGTTACAACTCTGTCTACAGCAGTTCCCTGACATTCCTGAATCGGTCACCTGTGCTTGCTTACAAATTTTCTTGAGAATTGGTGATGACAGTATTCAAGAAACAGATGTCAGTATGGAGTCAGTTTTTGACTATAGTAATTCTGTACATGATGAGAAAATGGAAGAGCAAACTGGAATTCTTCAAAATGGCTTCAATCCTGAAGAAGATAAATACAGTAACTGTGATCAAGAGTTAAATAAAAAGCCCCAGGACAAGACAAAGGAGACCATTTCATGCTCTGTGATACCAAAAAGAGCAGCTCTACTTAATGCAATTCTTCATTCAGCATATAGCGAAACATTTCTTCTGCCTCATTTGAAAAACATCCCAGCACAGCATATCACACTGTTTCTCAAGTGTTTGTGTTTCCTTTATCTGAAGTGTAGCGAAAATGCTACTATGACTCTTCCTGGAATACACCCACCTACCTTGAACCAGATTATGGATTGGATATGTCTACTTCTGGATGCAAATTTTACTGTTGTAGCAATGATGCCAGAAGCAAAGAGGCCACTGATAAATCTTTACAAGCTTGTAAAATCTCAGATATCTGTTTATTCCAAGCTCAACAAGATTGAAGTAAGTTTTTGGGAGCTACAGAAATTAAATCAAGAAAAGAATAACAGAGGATTATATTCAATTGAAGTGCTGGAGCTCTTCTGATATTACCAATTCTCCTTCATAGTCATTTTATAAAGCTCTTTTATGTAACTCTTGCTTCATCCAGGCAAGAGTGGTGTTTTGTTTGCGACCCTCTCGGTGTCAAGAGAAACATGTCAGTGAGTACCTGGACCATCACTTATTGATGCTCCGGGGTAGAACTGCAGGTTTCACATGAACCTATTCTAGGTTGTGGACATTGGTGTGCAGAGGTTCTGCAATTTTTTAAAAATATGTAACTGGGTTGATTTTAAGTAAAATTATTTGTGTATTGATAAAAGTCTAATTTCTTATCATGTATTTTGAATTTTAATAAAAAACGACCATTGAAGCAGTGAAAAAAAAAGAATCTGGTGTGCTAACAGAAGACATTTAATTATGCCATCACATATGAATTCTCTGTCCTCCAAATTGACCCAACACCTCATATATCTCTTAGGGCAGCATTCCTTTCCTGGAGGAGGTGCTTTGAAGGGAACTCTGGAGGAAGATTAAGGTTTTAGATGGCGAGCTCTTTGGAGGCCAGAACTGAGTTCTCCAAGTTTCTGAGCCTTGGTCTATTGCTTCTACTTCCTCTACAGGTTCTCCCTGGACTATTTCTCTCATTCTTGTGCTTTAACTTTCATCAATATGCAGTTATCTCCCTGATCTTGGTCTCTTACCAAAACCTTCCCCCCATAAAGCCAAATGCTACTTGGATATCTACACTGATCATTCCACAGCCACTGAAATGGAAGTCTTCAACCTACTTAAAAACTCCATCCAAACAGCTTCTCCACTGCATGGCACTGGCATCTACCCAGTCACCCAGGCCAGATTTCTCAGCATCACCCTTAACTCCTTCCACTCACCCACCTAATCTGCCATCAGGTTCTGCCAGTTTACCTCCTAATTATTTCTGGAATGTATCTTTACCTCACCTACCCTCCTGCTACTGCACAAATTTAGGTCTTTATTATCTGTCACCTGGATTACTCTTCATTGTCCCCTCACTGTCATCCCTCTAGAGTCTCCTCTACACATCAGCTGAAGCGATTTACCTAAAATGCTAATTCAATTGCATCATCCCCACTGCTGAAAACCCTCTAATGGCTTCCCAATGTGAAAAACAGATTAGAGACATCCCTTCTGAATGTGCTACAGCTGAATTAGTGTGACCCTGCCTCAGACCTCTTGGGTGAGCTCAGGCAAATCCCTTTCCTTCTCTGGGCTTCAATCTCCTTATCTAAAAAATAAGGGGATTGGAAGAGTTCTGTATTTCCCAAAATGTGTTGTCTGGACTGCTGGCCATATGAAATGCTTTTTCCACATGGGTCTGGAGTAAAATGTGTTTGGAGAATGCATTCTCTAGCTCCTATTGGAGAGTGACAGAGCACCTTGACATGTCACAGGCTCTGGCAAGCCTGGCAATCAAGAAGGCTTGCTAACTTTCCTCCACTCAAGTTTCCTTAAACTTTTGTCACCACAGAATCCTTTTGGAGCTGAGCATCTATTAGAATCTTGAGGAACCAATGTTTGTGGAACATACTTTGGGAAATGCTGGAGTGGATCATTACCCAGGACTGCATTGCTGTGACCAGTGGTGATTCTGCTTAAGTTATTATTTGAGGCAAGAGGATGGTGTCTGACTCAGGTTTACATCTACCACAGTAGATACTCAGACAATGGTTATTGAACAGGGGGTGTAATAAGAAATGGATAAATTGAATGGAAAGTGCGCCTATTTTAGATGTGGACAGTAGATTCCTAGCCATGGTAAGAGAGCAGATTGTTCCCAGAAAGAAATGAGTACAAATCTTGATGGGCAGAGTGTGCTAACTACAGTAGTGATGGGTACTTCTGTGACCCATGTGGCTGTCTGTACTGCTGGACATGTCCATTCATGGCCATTATCATTTGACAGTTCCTCTGGGAAAGTTTACCCAGGGACTCTGGGGTGTGACAAGAAGAGAGCTGCCCCACTCTTGTGCCTTTCGTTGCATGAAAGCCATCGCTGGCACTTGTAAATGTTGACTCTTAGTAGCTCTGCTAGAAAATCAGCATTTTCTATCTCTGGACCATGTCCTGGACAAGGCAGAAGCTTCGTGGCACTGGGCATGGAGCCTGGTCCGCTGTATTCCTCAGCTGGGTCTTGCATTAGCACTGATTGCTGGCAAGGCCATCGGCCTAAGGCTGTGTTTTTCTAATCAAGGAAGCCAGTTTAGCACTTGGGAAAGAATAGTCAGCTGAGCCACGTTACTTTCCCCTCCTGGTAGAAATAATGTAGGCAGAGACAGTGGAACTTTTGCGAATGGTTTTGCAGGCAGCCCCAAGTCACTGAGGTCCTGTACTCTCCAGCCACTTCAGGGCTGCTCACTGCGGTTCACCAATAGGCCTTCCTGTCCTGGGACTGGTGAGAGAGACCCAATCCTCATGCCATTTGGAGCTTTCCAGCACATTCTCCCTGGGGTGGGGGTGGGGGACAGAAAATCATTTCCTGATCCCCCAGGCAAGAATACTAGGGTTCTGTTTACTGTATCATAACAACTGGAGGGAAGCTGGTATTAATATTATTCCATTATTCCTAATTTGTAGAGAATGAAACCAAGACCAAATATATATATATATATAAATATATATAAACTTGCTGAAGTCCATACAGCAAGAAGATGGCAAGGCTGAAGTCCCAATCCAGGTCAGACTAGTTACAATGCACTTGCTCGTGACACCACATTGCATCTCTTAGTTCTTTATTTGTTTGTCTTTACCAGAGTTTGTGGGCTCTTTGAGGGCAAGAGCCATATCTGATTTGTAGTAGGGCCTGCCACATAGTGGGTGTTGAGGGGAGCTGGTAGTCAGTATAAGGCTGACTGTGTCAGAGCATTGTGGTTCACTTGTCAAGAGTGTAGGGGAAAGTTCTCTGCAGTGTGGGCTTGGAGAAACAAACGCATCTGCTCCTTACTTCCCAAGCCTGGCATCCCCCAAAGATAATTACTGTGGACTCTCAGCTGTTGGAGCTGAGAGGCTATTCCACTTCAGCTGAGTGTGTTTCCCAAAACAGGTTTACATTGTTTTGAAACCATGGTGCAGAGCACGCAGAGAGCAAATAGAAGTTGATCCCCACACAACAGGCAGTAACTAAGACATCAAGAGTGAGTGGGACAGGTTTGGGGGGCTAAAGGGGAAAGCTGGCTAGTGCTGAGGGTATGCACATTTTAGAAAGGGACCCACACCTGTGGAAGGCAGCCCAGTCAACTGAAGCAAGAGCCCTAGAACTGTTCCTGACCTTTAACTCAATAATTCTTCTTCCTGAGATTTTATTCCTCAGGAAGCAGTTCAACAGAATTGAGAAGATACATGCATGAAGATGTTCATTATGAAATTGGCTGTAGTAATATAACACTGGGAACAAATGAATTGCCCAACAATAATGGGTGGCTAATTAAATTATGGCATATCCATTCCATGGCATATTATCAGAACATTTAATATGCTCATTCTGAAACCTGCAGCAGTCTGAGGAATACATGGAACAGGTTTTGAAAAGGAAGAGGCTCCATTGTATTTACACTGTGATCTTGCAACTTACAAAAACTCATAGTAAATGCGTAAATGAAAAAAGCTGTGTTAGGGTGATGGGATTTGGGTGATTTCCTTTATAAAATATCTTGATCATTAGTATCATTGCTATATTGTTTTTGCATTTCTAGAAGGAACTGTTTGTGTGGGTACATGCACCTTTGTGTGGGCAGAATCAACACAGAATTTCTCCCCAAAGCTAAATCTATTTTAAATGGATTCTTACATCTACTTAATAATAAAAGTGTATATATGAGGAACACAGACAGGAAAACAGGTGCTGGTGCCATTTGATGCATGATCAGCACCATGACATATTATTGAAAAGAAGCCAGTTGGGGAGGGATTATCATGGTGGACGGGAGGCAGGACTAGATTGCAGCTCCAGACAGAGCAGCGTGCAGTGGCTTGTAAATTTAAGATTCAGATTGACTGCAAGAACAAACCAGCAATCTCAAGAGGACCCACAGACCCTCTGAAGGAAGCAGATGCTCCTGCAGGACCCAGGAAACACCCCAAATACTGTGAGTGTCCCAACTGCAAAAGTGGGAAAGGGAGACCCTCCTCTCCCGAACACACACCCCCACTGGAGAAACTGAAGGTCTGTTTGTGGGAGAAGTTTCCTACCTTACCTGGAGCTGAGTCCAAGTTTGGAGAGCCAAGCCAAATACAGGGGTAGAGGAAGCAGCAGAAAGGCCCTGGGAGCTCGCTGGGTCCCCAGACAGCCCATTCCTACCTGGCACCACAGGGATTCATTGGGAGGGTGGCCAGAGGAGCATGGGGTAAAACTCCACAGACAGAAGGAAATCTCCAGCTGAACTTCATAACAATTTGAATGGGGCAAGAAGCCTCCTGGCCAGAACTCAGGGGAGGGTGCAAATCCAGTGTGCAGACTCCACAGGCAGGGGAAGAATCAATCCCTTTTATTTTGCAGCTGGGAGGTGGGTAGCCTGGGGCATGTTTTCAAGCCCATCTCACTCACCGCCTGGAAACAGACTCAGGGCTGTTGGGGGGTGCACGGTAGGAGTGAGACTGGCCCTTCGGTTTGTGTGGGAGCTTGGTGGGGCCTGTAACTGCCGGCTTTCCTCCACTTCCCTGACAACCTGCATGACTCGGCAGAGGCAGCCATAATCCTCCTAGGTACACAACTCCAGTGACCTGGGAATCTCACCCCCATCCCCCACAGCAGCCACAGCAAGACCCACCCAAGGAGAGTCTGGGCTCAGATACGCCTAGCCCTGCCCCCACCTGATGGTCCTTCCCTACCCACACTGGTAGCTGAAGACAAAGGGGCATGTAATCTTGGGAGTTCTAGGGCCCTGCCCAGCACCATTTCCTCTCCATACTAGCACAGCTGATGCTCTCTGGAAAGTGCCACCTCCCAGCAGGAGGCCAACCAGCACAAAAATAGAACATTAAACCACCAAAGCTAAGAACCTTCATGGAGCTATTGCACCCCCACACCACCACCACCTCCACTTGAACAGGTGCTGGTATCCATGGCTGAGAGACCCATAGGCAGTTCACATCACAGGACTCTGTGCAGATGACCCCCAGTACCAGCCTGGAGTTGGGTAGATTCACTGGGTGGCTAGACCCAGAAGAGAGACAACAATCACAGCAGTTTGGCTCACAGGAAGCCACACCCATAGGAAACGGGGGAGAGTACTACAACAAGGGAATACCCCATGGGACAAAAAGAATCTGAACAACAGCCTTCAGCCCTAGACCTTCCCTTCTGACAGAGCCTACCCAAATGAGAAGGAACCAGAAAACCAACCCTGGTAATATGACAAAACAAGGCTCTTTAACACCCCCCAAAAATCATGCTAGTTCACCAGCAATGGATTCAAATCAAGAAGAAATCCCTGATTTACCTGAAAAAGAATTCAGGAGGTTAGTTATTAAGGTAATCAGGGAGGCACCAGAGAAAGGCGAAGCAGGAAATCCAAAAAATGATACAAGAAGTGAAGGGAGAAATATTCAAGGAAATAGGTAGCTTAAAGAAAAAAACAATAAAAAATTCAGGAAACTTTGGGCACACTTTTAGAAATGTGAAATGCTCTGGAAAGTCTCAGCAATAGAATTGAACAAGTGGAAGAAAGAAATTCAGAGCTTGAAGACAAGGTCTTCAAATTAACCCAATCCAACAAAGACAAAGAAAACAGAATAAGAAAATATGAACAAAGCCTCCAAGAAGTCTGGGATTATGTTAAACGACCAAACCTAAGAATAATCGGTATTCCTGAGGAAGAAGACAATTCTAAAAGCTTGGAAAACATATTTGGGGGAATAATTGAGGAAAACTTCCCCAGCCTTGCTAGAGACATAGACATCCAAATACAAGAAGCACAAAGAACACCCGTGAAATTCATCACAAAAAGATCATCACCTAGGCACATTGTCATCAGGTTATCCAAAGTTAAGACAAAGGAAAGAATCTTAGGAGCTGTGAGACAGAAGCACCAGGTAACCTATGGAGGAAAACCTATCAGATTAGCAGCAGATTTCTCAGCAGAAACCCTGCAAGCTAGAAGGGATTGGGGCCCTATCTTCAGCCTCCTCAAGCAAAACAGTTATCAGCCCAGAATTTTGTATCCAGTGAAACTAAGCATCATATATGAAGGAAAGATACAGTCTTTTTCAGACAAACAAATGAGAGAATTCACTGTTACCAAGCCACCACTGCAAGAACTGCTAAAAGGAGCTCTAAATCTTGAAACAAATCCTGGAAACACATCAAAACGGAACCTCTTTAAAGCATGAATCACACAAGACCTATAAAACAAAAATACAAGTTAAAAAAGCAAAAAAAAAAAAATTCCACTGGCAACAAAGAGCACAATGTATGCAACGGTACCTCACATTTCAATACTAACATTGAATGTAAATACCCTAAATAACCTAAATGCTCCACTTAAAAGATACAGAACTGCAGAATGGATAAGAACTCACCAACCAACTATCTGCTGCCTTCAGGAGACTCACCTAACACATAAGGACACACATAAACTTAAAGTACAGAGGTGGAAAAAGGCACTTCATGCAAATGGACACCAAAAGTGAGCAGAGGTAGCTATTCTTATATCAGACAAAACAAACTTTAAAGCAACAGCAGTTAAAAAACACAAAGAGGGACATTATATAATGGTAAAAGGCCTTGTCCAAGAGGAAAATATCACAATCCTAAAAGTATATGCACCTAACACTGGAGCTCCCAAATTTACAAAACAATTACTAATAGACCTAAGAAATGAGATAGACAGCAACACAATAACAGTGGGGGACTTCAGTACTCCACTGACAGCACTAGACAGGTTATCAAGATAGAAGGTCAACAAAGAAACCATGGAATTAAACTATACCTTGGAACAAATGGACTTAACAGGTATATACAGAACATTTAATCCAACAACCACAGAATACACATTCTATTCAACAGTGCATGGAACTTTCTCTAAGATAGACCATGTGATAGGCCATAAAATGAGCCTCAATAAATTTAAGAAAATTGAAATTATATCAGGCACTCCCTCAGACCACAGTGGAATAAAACTAAAAATCAACTCAAAAAGGAACCTTCAAAACCATGCAAATACATGGAAATTAAATAACTTGCTCCTGAATGACCATTCAGTCAAAAACAAAATCCAGATGGAAATTAAAAAATTCTTCAAACTGAATGACAGTAATGACACAACCTACCAAAACCTCTGAGATACAGAAAAGACAGTACTAAGAGAAAAGTTCATAGCCCTAAACACCTACATCAAAAAGACTGAAAGAGCACAGACTGACATCCTAAGGTCACACCTCAAGGAACTAGAGAAACAAGAACAAACCAAACCTAAACCCAGCAGAAGAAAGGAAATAACCAAGATCAGAGCAGAACTAAAGGAAATTGAGACAAAAAAATACAAAAGATAAATTAAACAAAAACCTGGTTCTTTGAAAAGATAAAATTGATAGACCATTAGCAAGATTAAACAAGAAAAGAAGAGAGAAAATCCAAATAATCTCACTAAGAAATGAAACAGGAGATATTACAGCTGACAGCACTGAAATACAAAAGATCATTCAAGGCTACTATGAACGCCTTTACACACATAAACTAGAAAACCTAGAAGAGATGGATAAATTCCTGGAAAAATACAACCCTCCTGGCTTAAATCGGGAAGAATTAGATACCCTGAACAGACCAATAGCAAGCAGCGAGATTGAAATGGTAATTTAAAAATTACCGACAAAAAAAAAAAAAAAGTCCAGGACCAGACATATTCACAGCAGAATTCTATGAGACATTCAAAGAAGAATTGGTACCAATCCTTTTGACACTATTCCACAAGAAAGAGAAAGAAGGAACCCTTCCTAATTCATTCTATGAAGCCAGTGTCACCCTAATACCAAAGCCAGGGAAGGACATAACCAAAAATGAAAACTACAGACCAATATCCTTGATGAACATAGATGCTAAAATCCTTAACAAAATACTAGCTAATCAAATCCAACAACATATCAAAAAGATAACCCACCATGATTAAGTGAGT
Source organism: Homo sapiens (assembly GCF_000001405.40). Taxonomy (NCBI): domain Eukaryota; kingdom Metazoa; phylum Chordata; class Mammalia; order Primates; family Hominidae; genus Homo; species Homo sapiens. Next base: position 150,124,629 of record NC_000023.11, read on the forward strand.
TTCATACCAGGGATGCAGGGATTGTTTAACATATGCAAGTCAATAAATATGATACATCACATAAACAGAATTAAAAACAAAAATCACATGATTATCACAATAGATGCAGAAAAAGCATTTGACAAAATCCAGCATCGCTCTATGATTAAAACTTTCAGCAAAATTGGCATACAAGGGACATACCTGAATGTAATAAAAGCCATCTATGACAATCCACAGCCAACATAATACTGAATGGGGAAAAGTTGAAAGCATTTCTTCTGAGAACTGGAACAAGACAAGGATGCCCACTCTCACCACTCCTCTCCAACATAGTACTGGAAGTTTTAGCCAGAGCAATCAGACAAGAGAAAGAAATAAAGGGCATTCGAATCAGTAAAAGGAAGTCATACTTTCACTGTTTGCTGATGATATGATCGTTTACCTTGAAAACCCTAAAGACCCCTCCAGAAAGCTCCTAGAACTGATAAAAGAATTCAGCAAAGTTTCTGGATACAAGATTAATGTACACAAATCAGTAGCTCTTCTATACACCAACAGTGACCAAGCAGAGAATCAAATCAAGAACTCAACCTCTTTTACAATAGCTGCAAAAATAAATAAATAAATAAATAAATAAATAAATAAATAAATAAAATACTTAGGAATATACCTAACCAAGGAGTCAAAAGACCTCTACAAGGAAAACTACAAAACACTGCTGAAAGAAATCATAGATGACACAAACAAATGGAAACACATCCCATGCTCATGGATGGGTAGAATCAATATTGTGAAAATGACCATACCGCCAAAAGGAATCTACAAATTCAATGCAATTCCCATCAAAATACCACCATCATTCTTCACAGAATTATAAAAAAAATTCTAAAATTCATATGGAACCAAAAAATAGCCTGCATAGCCAAAGCAAGACTAAACAAACAAACAAACAAAACAAATCTGGAGGCATCACACTACCTGATTTCAAACTATAAGGCCATAGTCACCAAAACAGCGTGATACTGGTATAAAAATAGGCACATACACCCATGAAACAGAATAGAGAACCCAGAAATAAACCCAAATACTTAGAGCCAACTGATCTTTCACAAAGGAAACAAAAACATACAGTGGGGAAAGGACACCCTTTTCAACAAATGGTGCTGGGATAACTGGCTAGCCACAGGTAGGAGAATGAAACTGGATCCTCATCTCTCACCATATACAAAATCAACTCAAGATGGTTTAAGCACTTAAACCTAAGACCTGAAACTACAAAAATTTTTGAAGACAACATTGGAAAAACCCTTCTAGACATTGGCTTAGGCAAGAATTTCATGACCAAGAACCCAAAAGCAAATGCAATAAAAACAAAGATAAATAGCTGGTACCTAGTTAAAGAGCTTTTGCACGGCAAAAGGAACAGTTGGCAGAGTAAACAGACAACCCACAGAATGGGAGAAAAACTTCACAGTCTATACATCAAAGGACTAATATCCAGAATCTACAACGAACCCAAACAATTCAGTAAGAAAAACAAACAAACAAACAAATGCCATCAAAAAGTGGGCTAAAGACATGAGTAGACAATTCTCAAAAGAAGATATACAAATGGCCAAAAAAACGTATGAAAAAATGCTCAACATCACGAATGATTAGGGAAATTGAAGTCAAAACCACAATGCAATACCACCTTACTCCTACAAGAGTGGCCGTAATACAAAAATCAAAAAACAGTAGATGTTGGCGTGGATGCCAAGGAGATTCCATGGGCATGGTTATCAGGAAGCACTTCTACACTGCTGGTGGGAATGTAAACTAGTACAGCCACTATGGAAAACAGTGTGGAGATTCCTTAAAGAACTAAAAGTAGAACTACCATTTGATCCATCAATCCCGCTACTTGGTATCTACCCAGAGGAAAAGAAGTCACTATTCGAAAAAGATACTTCCACACGCATGTTTATAGCAGCACAATTCACAGTTGTAAAATTGTGGAACCAACCCAAATGCCCATCAATCAGCGAGTGGATAAAGAAACTGTGAGATAAAAAGGAATGGATTAACAGCATTTGCAGTGACATGGATGATATTGGAGACTATTCTAAGTGAAGTAACTCAGGAATGGAAAACCAAACATCGTATGTTCTCACTGATATGTGGGAGCTAAGCTATGAGGATCCAAAGGCATGAGAATGATACAATGGACTTTGGGGACTTGGGGGAAAGAGTGGAGGGGGTCGAGGGTTAAGACTACAAATACGGTGCAGTGTATACTGCTCAGGTGATGGCCACACCAAAATCTCACAAATCACCACTAAAGAACTTACTCATGTAAGGAAATACCACCTGTACCCAAATAACTTATGGAAAATAAATAAATAAGAAGCCAGGATCCTTCCATGGTACAACTGGCTATTCATGAAGCTCTTGAAATGGATAAGGTTGTAGCATCTGGTCCATTGTTGTCATTCCTAGATTGCCAGCCAGGCCTCATCTTAAATCTCTAATTTACAAATGGTTCTTGCCTATCAGTGACCAGGGGTGTATCCACAAACTTTTTCTCATATAAATAGAAAATAGGCAATCTTCCCCAAATGGGAGAAGGAAGCTTGTCCTAAATTCCAAGCTTGAATGTTCATTGGTCTTTTGAAGGCACTGTAGGCAGAGCTCCCCAGTCCCCACTACTGGACAAGGTTCCCTTTGTCCCAGAGATAGCAGGGTATGTGACAGAGCAGTTTGTAGAGACAGCAGTGATGACACTACCTCACTCATCCACCATTGGTGCTGATGCTCTGCTTGTCCTGTCGAATGTCAGCCTTGAGCACCCTGACCCCTGCCTGCAAGCCTGATGCACGAGAAAATACACCTTGGGACTGTGTGAAGTAACGTCAAAGTGTTTGGCCTTCATATATTGTCCCCTCCCCATTCCTGCTACCCCCTTCATAATTGTAACCTTTTTGGATATTCAGCTTGGAATAGTGGGCATGCAGCCCCTCACACCACCATGCTAATTCACACCATTCACACCCAGAGGCAATTAAACCTAAGGATGGCCAAGATATAGAGGGGACCAAGGTACTGTCTTAACTTGAGGCCTTTGGTGTTTCCCTTTTAACACTTTACTGCACTAGCTGGGCTAGCTTGTATACTTAAAAGCTGGGCTTGGATACAGAAGGATATATCTAAGTATGTATACCCATATATCTATAATTATCTATCTCCATTCTGTCTCTCATTGCTCTTCATAGCCAGGGCCAGTAATAAGGAAACTAATGCTGAGAGTTAACATGGTCTGTTCAAGGTCTTGTATCTTGAAGTGATATTGCTACTGCCTAAACTTTGGTCTCCTGTCTTCAAGTCCAGTGCTTTTTGGTAGGTAGCCACTAGGGAATATTCTCTAATTTGGGCGTGCCTTAATGGCATACCCTAATACCACTGGTGTATCCACAAGCCTAAGTTGGGTGTACCGTAGGCCCATCCCTGTGCTAGGTATGGAATGGGGCAGCAGTTAAGATGCACTGTCCAGCCTGGCATGCCCTCACTCCCACCAATTTAAAGGATTGCCCTGTAAATACTTCACAGTTCCAGTCCACCAAGACTTGCTGCTTGTCTGCATGGATCTTAACTTTCCCGGCCTCAGCTTGCCTTTCTGTTGCCGTTTTTGCTTTTTTAAAAAATGTTTTTAGTTGTGAAATATAACATAGAAACAAAAAGGTATGTAGCCAGATTAACAAACTGCATAAAGCAAATGCTCGTGTAACCATCATCCAGATCAAGAAACATAACATTGCTAGCACCCCAGATACCACCCACATGTCCCTTCCTAATCACTATACCCCTGCTCCCCACTCCGGGAAGCCACTAGCCTGACTTTCCAGTAATCACTTGCTTATCTTCAGAGTTTTACCACTTAACTAGGGATACCTAAACACACTATAGCTTTGCCTATATTTTTGAACTTAATATAAGTGAGATCATACAGTATATATTCTTTTGTGCATGACTTCCTTTCATTGTTTGTGAGATTGAGACATGTTATTGATATAGAACCTTTCCATTACCTGAAAAAGCTTTCTCCTTCCCTTTTGCAGTCAAACTTCTCCTACCCCTGTCCTAGGCAAGTACTGATCTGCTTTCTGTCACTATAGGTAAGTCTTGCCTTTCGTAGAATTTCATATGAATATAATAATACAGTATGTACTCCTTTGTCCCTGGCTTCTTTTGTTCATCACAATTTTTTGACCTCATTAATGTTGTTGTATGCATCAGTAGTTTGTTTCTTTCCCATGTTGTGCAATATTCCATGTTGTGAAGATACTACAACTTGTTTACCCATCCATTCACCTATTGATACGCATTTGGGTTGTTTCAAGATTTTTACTATTACAGATGAAGCTGCTATGAACATTTCTATACAAGTCTCTCTGTGAATGTAAATTTTCTTTTCTCTTGGCTAATATTTAGTAATGGAATTGCTAGGCTGTATAATTGGTATATGTTCAACTTTATTATAAATTGCCAGAGGATTTTTCAAAGTGATTATACCATTTTGCAGTTCCACAATGCAACGTCTGAGATCTATTTGCCCCACATCATTAACAACACTGGATATTGTACAGCTTTTTAGTTTTTACCATTCTTGTGGGTATGAAGTGGCATCTCTTCGTGTTCAGTTTGAAATTTTGATTCTTGATATGATGAGTGATTTGGCATGGAAACCTGGATATTTCAGGTATTATGTTATGAGACTCTGGGTCTCATTTATACTTTAACATAGTTTATTCTAACACCAATGCAGCAGGGAAAGAGGGGAATAAATTTGTATATCCCTGATAACAAGTGACAGTGAATATATTGTCATGTGCTTGTTGGCCATTCATATATTTTCTTTTGTGAAGTGTCTGTTTTAATCATTTGCCCATTTTTAAATTGGGTTCCTGGTCTTGTTATTAAATTATAATTGTGATTTCTATATTCTTGATGTAAGTCCTTTCTCAGATCTATGGTTTGCAAATTTACCATTTCATTTTTTTTAGTGATTCAAAGAGCAAAATTTAATGAAATCCATTGTATCATTTTTTCTTATATAGTTTATACTTTTTGTGTCCTATCAAGATTTTTGCCTCTTCCAAATTTGCAATTATTTTTCCTATTTTTTTCTTCTGAATTTTTATAGTTTTAACTTTTATGTTTAGATTTATGAACCATCTCAAGTTAATATATGTATATGGTATGTAATAAGGGTTGAGGTTCATCTTCCCCAAATGAATATTCAGTTGTAATTGCACCTTTTTTTTTTTAAGTCTATGTTATCACCCATTAAATCACTTTGACATCTTTGCTGAAAATCAATTGGTCATACATGTGTGAGGCTATTTCTGGACTTTCTAATTTTTTCCCATGATACATTTGTCTATCCTTATACCAATACTCTACTTCCCCAGTTGTTTAATCTTTATAACAATTATTTAAGCCAGTCAATGTAACTCCTACAACTTTGCTCTTCTTTTTTAAAAACTTTTATTTGTAAACTGCCGTTTTTATATAGTTCTATGAATTTTAGCATAAGGGTAGATTGGTGTAACTACCACCAAAATCAGGATACAGAACAATCCAATCTAGGGGTAGCCTATCAAGACAGAAGTATTTTAGGCAATGACTATACTGTTTTAGCCCAATGCCACAGGGGAAAACAAACAAACAAACAAACAAACAAACACTTTTGGCCTGACCACACTCACACCAGCAAAAGCTGAGTGGGAAAGCTAGAATTCTATCCTTGCCAGGCTGTAATGAGGCTCCAGTGTCAGAGAAGGCTGAGTAGGGAGCTAGGACTTTCATTCCCTCCATTCGGCAGCAAGGCATCTCCTCATCCCGTGATGCCAGTGGAGATCATTTGGGGAGCCTGGATTTATGTCCTCACAAGGCAGTAATGAGGCATTCCATAGACTCCTTGCTGAAATGGTGTCAGAGGAGGCCTACTGGAGATTCAGGGTCACCATCTTATGGTGGCAATGAGGCCACTGCACCCATATGTGGTGTCAGTGGAGGCAACATGAGGAACAGTAAAAAGGTAACAACTACCTCTTCCATCCAGGGAAGTATCATTGAAAGCCTACTAGGGATCTGGATCTCCCACCTCTATGCAGCAGTAACAAGGAGCATCATCCTGCCTCAGGTGCCAACAGAAGTAATCTGAACTTTTGTCCCCATATGGCTATAAAGAGGTGACACTTCATTCCCTCTTCCCTTGCTGCATTGGTGTCATAATAAATTATATTAAACAGAAGATATAAATGAGGCCTAAAGTCTCGTAACATAATACCCCAAATGTCAAGATATCCATACAAAATCACTCATCAAAGAATGAACATTTCAAATGGAATAAAAAAAAAACAATTAGTTGATGCCCAACACCAGGATGACAGGGATATGGGAAGGATTTGACAAAAATCTAATGTACCCATTGTAAAAATAATGAGAAATTTCAATGATATTCAAACGTATTTGGAACAAATGAAACACACTTGGAACAAATGAAAAAATATAACATTTTAGCAAATAAATGGAAATAGAAAATATCAAGAAAAGCCAAGTGGATATTTTAGAGGCAAAAAATACAATAACCAAAATAAAGAGCTCAATAGATGGATTGAACAGGAAAATGAAGGGACAGAGGAATCAGTAAACTTGAAGTTGCAATAGATATTATCCAATCTTGGCCAATCAAGATATATAATCATTACACTTATTGTAGAAATACACTTTAAGATGAAGTATACTTTTTTTTATTTTTTTATTTTTTTTATTATACTTTAAGTTTTAGGGTACATGTGCACAATGTGCAGGTTAGTTACATATGTATACATGTGCCATGCTGGTGTGCTGCACCCACTAACTCGTCATCTAGCATTAGGTATATCTCCCAGTGCTATCCCTCCCCCCTCCCCCCACCCCTCCACAGTCCCCAGAGTGTGATATTCCCCTTCCTGTGTCCATGTGATCTCATTGTTCAATTCCCACCTATGAGTGAGAATATGCGGTGTTTGGTTTTTTGTTCTTGTGATAGTTTACTGAGAATGATGATTTCCAATTTCATCCATGTCCCTACAAAGGACATGAACTCATCATTTTTTATGGCTGCATAGTATTCCATGGTGTATATGTGCCACATTTTCTTAATCCAGTCTATCATTGTTGGACATTTGGGTTAGTTCCAAGTCTTTGCTATTGTGAATAGTGCCGCAATAAACATACGTGTGCATGTGTCTTTATAGCAGCATGATTTACAGTCCTTTGGGTATATACCCAGCAATGGGATGGCTGGATCAAATGGTATTTCTAGTTCTAGATCCCTGAGGAATCGCCACACTGACTTCCACAATGGTTGAACTAGTTTACAGTCCCAGCAACAGTGTAAAAGTGTTCCTATTTCTCCACATCCTCTCCAGCACCTGTTGTTTCCTGACTTTTTAATGATCGCCATTCTAACTGGTGTGAGATGGTATCTCATTGTGGTTTTGATTTGCATTTCTCTGATGGCCAGTGATGGTGAGCATTTTTTCATGTGTTTTTTGGCTGCATAAATGTCTTCTTTTGAGAAGTGTCTGTTCATGTCCTTCACCCACTTTTTGATGGGGTTGTTTGTTTTTTTCTTGTAAATTTGTTTGAGTTCATTGTAGATTCTGGATATTAGCCCTTTGTCAGATGAGTAGGTTGTGAAAATTTTCTCCCATTTTGTAGGTTGCCTGTTCACTCTGATGGTAGTTTCTTTTGCTGTGCAGAAGCTCTTTAGTTTAATTAGATCCCATTTGTCAATTTTGTCTTTTGTTGCCATTGCTTTTGGTGTTTTGGACATGAAGTCCTTGCCCATGCCTATGTCCTGAATGGTAATGCCTAGGTTTTCTTCTAGGGTTTTTATGGTTTTAGGTCTAACGTTTAAGTCTTTAATCCATCTTGAATTGATTTTTGTATAAGGTGTAAGGAAGGGATCCAGTTTCAGCTTTCTACATATGGCTAGTCAGTTTTCCCAGCACCATTTATTAAATAGGGAATCCTTTCCCCATTGCTTGTTTTTGTCAGGTTTGTCAAAGATCAGATAGTTGTAGATATGCGGCATTATTTCTGAGGGCTCTGTTCTGTTCCATTGATCTATATCTCTGTTTTGGTACCAGTACCATGCTATTTTGGTTACTGTAGCCTTGTAGTATAGTTTGAAGTCAGGTAGTGTGATGCCTCCAGCTTTGTTCTTTTGACTTAGGATTGCCTTGGCGATGCAGGCTCTTTTTTGGTTCCATATGAACTTTAAAGTAGTTTTTTCCAATTCTGTGAAGAAAGTCATTGGTAGCTTGATGGGGATGGCATTGAATCTATAAATTACCTTGGGCAGTATGGCCATTTTCACAATATTGATTCTTCCTACCCATGAGCATGGAATGTTCTTCCATTTGTTTGTATCCTCTTTTATTTCCTTGAGCAGTGGTTTGTACTTGGAAGTAAAGCTCTCCTCAGCAAATGTAAAAGAACAGAGATTATAACAAACTATCTCTCAGACCACAGTGCAATCAAACTAGAACTCAGCATTAAGAATCTCACTCAAAACCGCTCAACTACATGGAAACTGAACAACCTGCTTCTGAATGACTACTGGATACATAACGAAATGAAGGCAGAAAGAAAGATGTTCTTTGAGACCAGCAAGAACAAAGACACAACATACCAGAATCTCTGGGACACATTCAAAGCAGTGTGTAGAGGGAAATTTATAGCACTAAATGCCCACAAGAGAAAGCAAGAAAGATCCAAAATTGACACCCTAACATCACAATTAAAAGAACTAGAAAAGCAAGAGCAAACACATTCAAAAGCTAGCAGAAGGCAAGAAATAACTAAAATCAGAGCAGAACTGAAGGAAATAGAGACACAAAAAACCCTTCAAAAAATTAATGAAACCAGGAGCTGGTTTTTTGAAAGGATCAACAAAATTGATAGACCGCTAGCAAGACTAATAAAGAAAAAAAGAGAGAAGAATCAAATAGACACAATAAAAAATGATAAAGGGGATATCACCACCGATCCCACAGAAATACAAACTACCGTCAGAGAATACTACAAACACCTCTACGCAAATAAACTAGAAAATCTAGAATAAATGGATAAATTCCTCGACACATACACTCTCCCAAGACTAAACCAGGAAGAAGTTGAATCTCTGAATAGACCAATAACAGGCTCTGAAATTGTGGCAATAATCAATAGTTTACCAACCAAAAAGAGTCCAGGACCAGATGGATTCACAGCCGAATTCTATCAGAGGTACAAGGAGGAACTGGTACCATTCCTTCTGAAACTATTCCAATCAATAGAAAAAGAGGGAATCCTCCCTAACTCATTTTATGAGGCCAGCATCATTCTGATACCAAAGCCGGGCAGAGACACAACCAAAAAAGAGAATTTTAGACCAATATCCTTGATGAACATTGATGCAAAAATCCTCAATAAAATACTGGCAAAACGAATCCAGCAGCACATCAAAAAGCTTATACACCATGATCAAGTGGGCTTCATCCCTGGGATGCAAGGCTGGTTTAATATATGCAAATCAATAAATGTAATCCAGCATATAAACAGAGCCAAAGACAAAAATCACATGATTATCTCAATAGATGCAGAAAAAGCCTTTGACAAAATTCAACAACCCTTCATGCTAAAAGCTCTCAATAAATTAGGTATTGATGGGACGTATTTCAAAATAATAAGAGCTATCTATGACAAACCCACAGCCAATATCATACTGAATGGGCAAAAACTGGAAGCATTCCCTTTGAAAACTGGCACAAGACAGGGATGCCCTCTCTCACCACTCCTATTCAACATAGTGTTGGAAGTTCTGGCCAGGGCAATGAGGCGGGAGAAGGAAATAAAGGGTATTCAATTAGGAAAAGAGGAAGTCAAATTGTCCCTGTTTGCAGACGACATGATTGTATATCTAGAAAACCCCATCGTCTCAGCCCAAAATCTCCTTAAGCTGATAAGCAACTTCAGCAAAGTCTCAGGATACAAAATCAATGTACAAAAATCACAAGCATTCTTATACACCAACAACAGACAAACAGAGAGCCAAATCATGAGTGAACTCCCATTCACAATTGCTTCAAAGAGAATAAAATACCTAGGAATCCAACTTACAAGGGATGTGAAGTATACTTTTTTTCTGAGAAAAGTGGGTTTTTTATACTGACATCTTTAAAAATTGTAAAATATTTCTCTTGTTCATCTGCTACCCATTCCCCCTACTAATTCTATAGAATTGATTATACACTAATTCTATAGAATTTATTATACCCTTAAGACTAAAAGTTTATAATAAAAATATAAAAGAAACCAATAATGTTTATTACTTCAAGTTTTAATAAATTAAGAAAATGCCAAATAAAAAGAAAAAAAAAAGAGAGAAAACAGACTGAAAACAAATGAGCAGAGTGTAAAAGACCTGTGGGACAATAATAAAAAATGTAGTATTTGTGTCATAGGAGTTCCAGTAGGAGAGAAGAAAGAGGGTAGGCTGAAAAGGTACCTGAAGAAATAATGACGGAAAACCCTCCAAATTTTGCAAAAGACGTAAACCTACAAGAAGATGCACAAATTCCAAGCAGTATAAACCTAAAGAAATCCATGCCAAGACATAAACTTCTGAAAACTGTAGACAAGGAAAGCATATTGAAAGCAGAAAGAGAGAAATGACAATTAGAATGACAACAGATTTCTCATAAGAAATCATGTAAGTCAGAAGGAAGTTGCATATTTTTCAAGTGCTGAAAGAACCAACAACCCAGAATACCCTAATGAGCAAAATTCTTCAAGAATGAAAAGAAAATCAAAACATTCACAGAAGAAAAATTTTTTAAAAATTATATATATATATATATATATAGCCCAGCAGGCCTACCCTAAAAGGGTGGCTAAAGGAAGTTCTCTAAACAGAGGGGAAATAATAAAGGAAGGAATCTTGGACATTAGCAAGGAAGAAGACACAATGGAAAGAGCAAAAATATAGATACATATAGTAGACATTCCTTCTCTTGAGTTTTCCAAATTGATGGTTGAAGCAACAGTTATAACACTGTTTGATGTGATTCTAAATATATGTGGAAGAAATACTTTAGACAATTACATTATAAATAGGGGAGGTTACGTGATGTAAAGGAAAGTAAGTTTTCTATACTTCACTCAAACTGGTGAACTGACACCAGTAAACTGTGATAAAATTATGTATATATAATATCATACTTAAGACAACCACTAAAATAGCTATACAAAAAGACATATTCAGTGACACTATTTATGAAGCAGAATGGACGTTCAACATTATTAGCCATCAGGAGAATGCAAATAAAAATCACATTGAGATATTGCTGCAAATCTGCCAGGATGGCTAAAAAAAAATTCATAAAACAGTGACAACAACAAGGCTGGGGAGGATGTGGTGAAACTGAATCACTCATACATTTTTAGTGAGAATGTTAAATGGCACAGCCATTCTGAAAAATAGTTTGGTAGTTTCCTAAGAAAGTAAACATACAACTATCATACAACTTACGTCCACATAAAACCTGCACATGAATGTAACTTTATTTGCAATAGCCTAAAATTGGAAATGGTCCAGGTGTCCTTCGATAGGTGAGTGGTTAAACAAACTGCAATACATCCATATCATGAAATACTACTCAGCAATAAAAGGGAAATTGTTGATTCACACAATAAACTGAATGAATCTCCAGATAATCTAATTGAAAAATGTCTATCCCATTTATGATTGGCTTTTGATATGTATGATTTCATTTATACAAAGTTCTTTAAATGACAAAATTATAGAAATGAACAGACTGGTAGTTACCAGGGTTAAAGAGGGGGTTGGGGAGAAGGTAAATAGATGTGGCTATAAAAGGGCAAAATGTGGTATGCTTGTGGTAATGGAAGTATTCTGTATCTTGACTGTATCAATGTCAATATCTTGGTTGTGATATTGTGCTATGGCTTTATAAGATGGTACCATTGAAGGAAACTGGGGAAGAGTGCACTGGATTTCTTTGTATAACTTCTTACAACTGCATGTGAATCTACAGTTACCTTTAAAAGTTTATCTTAAGATTTGAGTTATTTGTTGGATGAGAGTTCTTATATATTATAGATACAAATCTTTTATCAGATATGTGATTTGCAAATATTTTCTCCCAATCTGTAGCTTTCTTTTTATTCTCTTGATAGTGTCTTTTGCAAAGCAAATTTTCAAAATCTTAATGTTCAGTTTACCATTCTTTTCTTTTATGCTCATGCTTTTGGTGTCATGTCTAAGAACTATTTGCTTAACTTAGCGGTGAGGATTTTCTTTTTTGTTGTCCTTTAAACATTTTTATAGTTTTACATTTATGCCAATGTCTATACACTTTTTCAGATAATCTCTGAAACTTCAGTATGAGGTTTGAGGGTTAGGTTGAGGCACTTTTTAAATTGTGTTTTGTTTTTGCTTATGGATATCCAATTGCTCCAGCACCATTTGTTGAGACTATTCTTTCTTCATTGAATTGCCTTTGCAACTTTGTTAAAAGCCAATTGACAATATTTGTATGGGCCTATTGCATAACTCTACTCTGTTCCATTGATGTATGTATCTATCTGTCAGTATTTATTGTAACTTTGTGGTAAGTCTTGATTTAGGTTTACTTTGCTCTTGTTTTTCTAGATTTTAAGGTAGATGCTTAGATCATTGATTTACAACCCTTTTTTTTGAGACGGAGTCTCGCTCTGTCGCCAGGCTGGAGTGCAGTGGCGTCATCTTGGCTCACTGCAACCTCTGCCTCCCAGGTTCAAGCGATTCTCCTGCCTCAGCCTCCCGAGTAGCTGGGACTACAGGCGCGTGGCACCATGCCCAGCTAATTTTTGTATTTTTAGTAGAGACGGAGTTTCACCGTTTTGGCCAGGATGGTCTCAATCTCTTAACCTTGTGATTCTACCGCCTCGGCCTCCAAAAGTGCTGGGATTACAGGCATGAGACACCACGCCCGGCCCTTTTTTCTTTGTTTTTTTTTTCTTTTTATTTTTTATTACACTTTAAGTTTTAGGGTACATGTGCACAACGTGCAGGTTAGTTACATATGTATACATGTGCCATGTTGGTGTGCTGCACCCAGTAACTCATCATTTAACATTAGGTATATCTCCAAATGCTATCCCTCCCCCCTCACCCCACCCCACAACAGGCCCGGGTGTGTGATGTTCCCCTTCCTGTGTCCATGTGTTCTCATTGTTCAATTCCCACCTATGAGTGAGAACATACGGTGTTTGGTTTTTTGTCCTTGCGATAGTTTGCTGAGAATGATGGTTTCCAGCTTCATCCAAGTCCCTACAAAGGACATGAACTCATCCTTTTTTATGGCTGCATGGTATTCCATGATGTATATGTGCCACATTTTCTTAATCCAGTCTATCATTGTTGGACATTTGGGTTGGTTCCTAGTCTTTGCTATTGTGAATAGTGCCGCAATAAACATACATGTGCATGTGTCTTTATAGCAGCATGATTTATAATCCTTTGGGTATATACCCAGTAATGGGATAGCAGGGTCAAATGGTATTTCTAGTTCTAGATCCCTGAGGAATCACCACACTGACTTCCACAATGGTTGAATTAGTTTACAGTCCCACCAACAGTGTAAAAGTGTTCCTATTTCTCCACATCCTCTCCAGCACCTGTTGTTTCCTGACTTTTTAATGATCGCCATTCTAACTGGCATGAGATGGTATCTCATTGTGGTTTTGATTTGCATTTCTCTGATGGCCAGTGATGATGAGCATTTTTTCATGTGCCTGTTTTCTAATATAAGCATTTAACATCATAACTTTTTCTCTAAGCACTACCTTAGTTGCATTCCACAAATTTCAATTACATTGACTTTTGAATGTTAAAATAACCTTGAATTCCTGGAAATAGCCCACAGTCGTGATGTATTATCCTTTTCATGTATTACAGGATTCACTTTGCTCATGTATTGTTTAAGGATTTTTCCTGGTATGTTTATGAGGGATATTAGTCTAATTTTTTTCCTTTAGGTTGGCTTCTTCTGGTTTTGCTATCGGGATATTATTAGCTTTATAAAATAAAGTGAAAATATGTAGGAAAACATCTCTGCCACGTTCCACTGACAACTTTTCATGTGTTCACATAGGTCATGTAGGTAAGGCTTAACTATAGCCTGACCCGAGTCTTGTTAGCATAACCTATGATTCTTCCTGGAACAAAGAGATAAAAGAAGCCTAGTGAGAAGCTTCCATGAGACAGTTTCTCATTAACCTCCCTATTTTATGGGAAACTTCCAAAACATGATTTCTCACCCATCTTTCTAGTTTCACTTGAGCACAAGACTTTCCACCTCACCCCTACTTAGTTTACATCTATAGGCTTCTGTGTAAGTGCATAAGTTTAGAGTTGGTTCCCCAGTAGCAGAGCAATTCATTGCCCATGCTGTCTGTCATCTGGCCGCTCTGGTTCATTGTTGTCCTGTCAGGTGAGGGACAGGAGGATTTGACACCATGTTGATCTCACTTTTGTTGTCTGTATAAGTAATAAACCATTTGAATCTATTTGGGCTTGTTGTCTCCTTATCAGACAAATCTATGGAATTTTGGCAAGCCAACCTAGCAGCTGCCAATGTGCTGCTGCTTAGAGATTGCTTGACAGCTTGAGAAGGAAGTGTTCCCCTCTCTTCTTTTTTCCTGAAGGTATTTTCCTTAGTATCAGTGTTATTTCTTCCTTAAAATGTAATGGAATTCACCAATGAAGTCATCTGGCCCTGGAATTTCATTTGTGGGAAGGTTATTATTTACAAAGTCAATTTCCTTAGTAGCTGTAGCTATTCAGATTATCTGCTTTTTAAATCAGATTTGGTCATTTTTATCTTTCAAAGAATGTGTACATTTTACCTAAGCTATCAAATGTATTGCCATAAAACTGTTCATAGTATGCCCTTATTATCCTTTTAATGTGTATGTGTAGGATCTGTAGTGGTGTCCCCTCTTCCATTCCTAATGTCATAAATTTGTGGTCTTTGTTTCTTGATCACTCTAGCTAGAGAATTACCAGTTTTATGGATCTTTTCAATGTACTACTTTTGTTTTCATTTTTTTTCTAAATTATTTGTCTACCACTAATGCTTTCATTCATGTTTTGTTTGTCGATATCTGGCTTCCATTTCTGCTGTCTATTATTTCTTTCCTACAGTTTACTTTGAGTTTAACTTATTCTTCTTTTTCTGATTACTTAAGGTTGATGCTCAGACCACTGATTTTGACTTTCCTTATTTTCTAATATAAGTAGTTAAAGCTATAAATTTCCTTCTAAGGACTTCTTGCCACATCCCTCAAATTGTGATATGTTGTATTTTCATTATAATTCAGTGCAAAAATATTTTTAATTTCCTTTGTGATTTCTTCTTTCACCTCAGATTATTTAGAAACATATTGTTTAATTTCCAAATACTTGGGTTATTTCTAGATATTTTATTGTTATTGATTTCTGATTCATTTTCATCATGGATAGAGAATATATTCTGTAAGATTTCTTTTGAAATCCATAGTTTTTTCTTTGTCTCTGCATATGTTCCATTTTTGAGACTGTTCCATGTACACTTGAAAAATGTTTATTCTGCCATTGTTGGTTGTAGTATTCTACAAATGTCAACTGGGTTAAGTTGTTTGATAATATCATTTAGAAACTGTATATCATTACTAATTTTTTAGTTGCTCTATCAGTTATTGAGAAAAGAGATGTTAAAATTTTCAACTATGAGTCTGGATTTGTCTCTTTCCTCATTATTTCTGTAATCTTTTGCTTCATGTATTTCGAAAACCTGTAATTAGGTACATATACCTTTATAATTGTTGTGTATTCCTGATGTAGTAATCCTTTTGTCTTTATGAAATATTCTTATTTATCTTTCACCATACTCTTTTCTTGAAGTCTATTTTATCTGATGTAAATAGCCATGCCAGCTTTCTTATGATTACTGTTCATATGGTATTTCTTTTTCCTTTTATTTCCAGTTTGTGTCTTTATATTTAAAGTGTACATTATAGATAGCATACTGTTGAATCTTCTCTTTTAATCTGATCTGACACTTTCTGTCTTTTAATTGAAGTGTTTATTTATACTTAATATGGGCATTGATATTATATTTAGGTGTACCATCTCAATATTTGTTTTTGACTTATTTTATCTGTTCTTTGTTCCCATCTCTATTTGCTCTTTACCTGCTTCTTTTTGGTGAATAATTTTTTTAGTATTTTATTTCTTAGATATATCACTGTTTATGACTTTTAGTGGTTTGTTTAGGGCTAAGAATATGCATCTTCAGCTTATTAATGTCTATTTAGAGTCAGTATTTTACCACTTCACACCTGACACTTTGCACTTTCTACTTCACACTTTCTAATTCTCACTTTATATGTGACATTTCTCACTTTATTATTACACCACATAGCAATAATAAAGTGAGAAGTGCCACATATAAAGTGAGAATTATAAAAGATTTTTTATAAAATTATAAATCTTACAAAAGTACAATTCCATTTACCAGTCACACTGTATGCTTTATGTGATTTTTGTCATATTCTTTAAGTCTATATATGTTACAAATCTTATTTTATAAACCATATATTATTTTTCTGTAATCAGTTATTTTATACCATAAGTTCTAGGGTACATGTGCAGAACATGCAGGTTTGTTACATAGGTATACACCTGCCATGGTGGTTTGCTGCACCTATCAACCCATCATCTACGTTAGGTATTTCTCCTAATGCTATCCCTCCCCTAGCCCCCAACCCCCCGACAGGCCCCAATGTGTGATGTCCCCCTCACTGTGTCCATGTGTTCTCATTGTTTAACTCCCACTTACGAGTGAGAACATGTGGTGTTTGGTTTTCTGTTCCTGTGTTAGTTTGCTGAGAATGATGGTTTCCAGCTTCATCTATGTCCCTGCAAAGGATATGAACTCATCCTTTTTTATGGCTGCATGGTATTCCATGGTGTATATGTGCCACATTTTCTTTATCCAGTCTATCATTGTTGGACATTTGGGTTGGTTCCAAGTCTTTGCCATTGTGAATAGTGCTGCAATAAACATATGTGTGCATGTGTCTTTATAGTAGCATGATTTATAATCCTTTGGGTATATACCCAGTAATGGGATTGCTGGGTCAAAAGGTATTTCTAGTTCTAGATCCTTGAGGAATTGCCACACTGTCTTCCACAATGGTTGAACTAATTTACACTCCCACCAACAGTGTAAAAGTGTTCCTATTTCTCTACATCCTCTCCAGCATCTGTTGTTTCCTGACTTTTTAATGATCACCATTCTCATTAGCCTGAGATGGTATCTCATTGTGGTTTTGATTTGCATTTCTCTAATGACCAGTGGTGATTAACTTTTTTTCATATGTTTCTTGGCTGCATAAATGTCTTCTTTTGAGAAGTGTCTGTTCATATCCTTTGCATTTTAATCAGTTTTAAGGGAATTATGAAAAGTAATATTTAGAAAACCAAGTTCCTTCATTATTACCTACTTATTTACCATTTACATTCTTTTAACTTCCTCCTGTTCTAAGTTTCTAAATGTGGTACCATTTCCCTTTTAGTAGTGTAAGGCTACTGGCAATGAATTCTCTTATCATTTGTTTATCTAAAAATGTCTTTATTTCATCCTTGTTCTTGCAGGCTATTTTTATGGATATAGAATTCTGGGTTGACAGGATGATTATTTGTTTTTGTTTTGGCAGCACTTTAAAAATGTCTAATTCCACTGTCTGCCTGCTTGCTTTCTGATGAGAAGCCAGCCACCTTTTGTATCATTATTCCTGTGTATGTAATGTGTATCTTCTGGCTTTTTTCAAGATTTTCTGTTATTTTTGGTTTTCAGTTATTTGACTATTATGTGGCTAGGTATTGTTTTCATTGCATTTATTCTGCTTGGATTCATTGGGCTTCTTGGTTTTATAAGTCAAAGTTTTCATCAAACTTGGAAAAAAAATCAGAGCCATTATTTCACACAATATTCTTCTGCCTCATCTTCACTCTTTTCTCCTTCTGAGACTATATAATTGCATACATAATGCACTATTTGATGTCCCACAGGGCCCTGGGGTTTTGTTCAGTTTTTGAAGGTTTTTTTTTTTTTTCTGTTCTTCACATTTGATAAATTCTATTAACTTATCTTCAAGGTTACTGAGTCTATCTTCTGCCTTCTCAAGTTGCTATTAATTCCATCCAGTGAATTACTCATTTCAGTTATTGTTCTTTTCAGTTCTAGAGTTTCACTTGGTTTTGAGGGGATACTTTTTATTTATCTGCTTAGATTCCCAATCTGTTCACTCATCAATAACATATTTGCCCTAATTCCTAGAATGTATTTTTCATAGTTGCTTTGAAGTCTTTGCTAAAATCAACATCTGGACCATCTCAGTGTTGATTTCAATCGACTATGTCTCAATTTTGTGTTTTTTTTATTTTTAGCAATATTTTATTGTATACTTGACATTACAGATGATATCTTGCTTTGTCTGATTAAAGCCAAGACTCAGATATAGACTTGCAGGAGACTCCACATGGATGCTTATATGTTGAATTGTATTTTCCCAAAATTTATGTGTTGAATTTTTAACCCTCAGTACTTCAAAATGTTTTCTTATTTGAAGATAGGATCTTTACAGAATTAATCAAATTAAACTAAGGTCATTAGGAGGGGCCCTGGTCCAGTGTAACTGGAAGAGTTTGGGGCACAAAGATACACATCAAGGGAAGGCAATGTGAAAAGATACAAGGAGGAGATGGCCAACTATAAGCCAAGAAGAGAGGCCTGGAACAGATCCTTTCATCACAGCTCTCAGAAAGAACCAACCCTGTCAGCATCCTGATTTTGAATTTTTAGTCTCCAGATCTGTGAGAGAATAAATTTCGGTTGTTGAAGCCACCCATGTTTTGGTAGTTTGTTATGGAAGCCCTAGCAAACTAAGACATGGACTTTTGGTGCTTCCTCCCATTTGTAGTTCTCCCATCTCGAGGACCACATCCCAAAGATCTAACCATTTTTTGCTTTTCCAAACTCTGATCTCTGCCTCTTAACCTCAGTAGTACCACTATGCACTGCTTGGATTCCAGCTCATTTCTGCACTTGGGAAATTTTCCCCATGCAGAGAACTGGAGCAATTGTGGTTTTCATCCCTCGCTCTCAGGGATTCCAGACTTGTGTTATCTGTTGCCTAAAGCCTAGTGTCTAATTTCTAATGCCTGAAAGCAGTTGTCTTGTTGTTTACTGTGGGGGTGGGGGGGGGATTCTCTGGCACCTGTTAATCTATTATTTCTGGAAGTGGAAGTTCACCATATTTTTCATCTGTAACCCCATAAATTTCTTCCACTACTGTTGCATCATTTCAAAGTAAATCTCAAACATTATGTAATTTCATTCTAACTGCTTTTGATATTTTCTCTTTTATTTCGGCAGTTTTACTGTGATGTGCCTCTCAGTGTGGTTTTCTCTGAATTCGTCCTTCTTGAGGTTTGCAGGCCTCTTGACTCTGTGGTTTGATACCTTTTACCACTATAAAAAGTCCTTAACCACTGGCTCTCAAAGTATTTCTTCTGCTCCTGTTTTCTCTCTCACTTAACTCTTCTCCTCCTATGCCAATTACACATTGATTAGATATTATATTCTTTATGCCCCTTACTCTCTCTTCCATGTTTCTTGTTAGTTTATCTTTGCATATTCTGGCTGTTTTATTCAGACCTATTTTCCAGTTTACTAATTCTTTATTTTACTATATATTTTATGTTATTATACCTATCTAGTGAGTTTATTATTTTGGTTATTGTATTTTTCTGTTGTGAAATTTCCATTTGATTCTAATTTTTATTTTCTATTACCTTTGACCAAGGAGGTCCCAGATGTTGCACTCACTTTTCTGATTATGTGTTCTTTTCTATCTTGCCCCCATAATCCTTATCTTTTCAGATCTTTGACATTCTAGAGAGAATATATTTTAATGTTTTGACTGGAATTTGTGTCTATTTTTAGTGGGAAAGCTAATCCCCCATTATCAAAAGTGAAAGCCTCAACTTTTCATCTTGATTTTCCCATCATGGTCAGGCAGCCATGAGCCAGGGATTCATCTAGCCTCCAGTATAGCCCTCATCACATTTCTTTTTCATTCTTCATTTATCACTATAATGGGAAATATTTAAGTAAAGAAACAGAGTCCAATTTATTTCTACATCCTCAGCATGCAGCACAGTACCTGGCTCACAACAGATACTCAGGAAATGCTTTTAGAATAAATGGAATACTTAGTCTGTGCTTCTTAGGAGAGAGAAGACTTATGTTGAACTCAAAGTATGGCTGGGCTGTGGAGAGAATCGGGAAAGATATATTCCAGAATCTCAACAAGGATTTATGGTCCTCTCAGAGTCCTAGTTGTAAGCAACAGAAACTAACTCTGAATTATTAAAGCAGAAAAAAAGGGTTTCTAGGAAGGGTACTGGGTAGGTCATAGAATTGCTGGGAGGCTTGAGAATCAGGTTTGGTTGCCATATGACCAGATTTACAGATAAAATCATATCACTGAGTTAGTCTGATAAGAGCAGCTCTGTTACACTACTGAGCAGTAGACCCTGTAGCTTGTTCGCCAACATTGCTATCACTGGCCTCTGATTCCCCTGGTATAGATGCTGCAGGACATGAGATTCTGTGCCATATTCTCTACTGACCCTGCTTCTCTTCATCATTAGCACTGACCCAAAACTGAATGGCCTGAGACTCAGCCATGTACTGTGCCGTAGCTTAAAAAAGAAGCTGGGAAAGTGAGTAACTGGTGTTTTTTTCAGCTTTCTCAAACCTGGGAAGAGTGAAGATGGTGGGCAGTCAAAAAAAGGATAGATATCCACCATAAGCCCAAAGCAGGATTGTGTGGCATTGGTGCAACTGGCCCATATATGCCTATATGGCTGGCAGGAAAGAGCTGGCAGAGGATTAGAGGGGTGCAAACACTCACACCCATGTCCTCCAAGGCCATGCACTAAGATCCCTCATCTTGTGGTGTGGGAATCTTGGGAAGAAGTTGTCCATTTTAAGTTTTTTCTCCAGTTGCCTCTCTCACCGCATCTCCTACCCATCTGAAGGTTTATATACCTCTTGGGACCAATAAACCAATTTGCCACAGACTTCATACAGAGCTCCTTGCCTACCACACAAATCCCAGCCCATATCCTTGCTGTTGTGCCTTTGAGCACATGCAGTGGCTTCCTAGGGCTTTTCTCCAGTATCAATGGCTAAACTCAGGAGCTTCTCTTGTTTATGAGAGTGTCAAGTCCCAGCCCTACAAGTGGAGCAGTTGTCTTTTGTGAAGCTTTGGAAGGCTTCAGAGCAGGACACACAGTTAGAAGTCCTGTGCCCCTTCTATAGTAAGTGATTTCAGCCAACGCTGGGGCTTTGGTGTTTACTGTGATGTTTATGTTCTTATTTGATTTCTTGGCATTCAGAATCCTCATTAATATACATTTGTGCCTCCCTGTGGAAACAAAGGATCGTATTCTGTCTGTATGTGCTCACATTTCTTTATTTAGCCTGGCACCTGCCTTCTTCCCCAGCATCTGTGTTGTTCCCTTGCAAATCTCCAGAGCTTACAATTCTTAGAAAAAATGATTTCTCTCTAGGAAGATTTCTATCTTTCTCTGGAACTATCCTTAAGGGCTAAGCTCTTGTGTCACAGGCAGGTGAGCTGCATCACCCACTCCAGCAGGTGGGGCCGCTGCACATCCCCCAGTCACTGGTTCTATAGGCCCCTCTGAGCAGAGGTAGGCATCCCAGGCCAGTGACTGCTGCTTCTGTGGACCCTCTTATGTCAAGCCCCAAAAGTTTCCAAGGATGACTCACATGCAAAAATTTGTCACCTGCATTGGGCAGTATGGTGGTTTATACCAGTTGGGCTCCAGGCCAGCTCTGAGCAAGAGGGAAGGTGTCACTGGAGTATTCATGAGTGGCTGCTGCTCACCAGGCTCCAAGAGAGCTGGCCCTTGGGTTTTAGGAGTTAGGGGGAATGAATGAGACTGTCTCTAAATAGCCCTCAGGAGCTGGGCCCTGAGCCAGGGGACTTCCTGGATGGATTACTGGACTACAATCTAGATGATGGGCATTTGGGGCCATCCCTCATAAGCATCCACTGGGGTCTGGGAGCATACTGTCAGCCTGGCCACTTGTTCACATCTTTATCTCTGGAGGTGACACAGAGGAGACAGCATTGGGTGATTATGTCAAGCCAAGCTAGAGTCAGCCAGACCTGTAATTATATCCTAGCTTCACCACTTACGTACTTTCTGACTTTGGGCAGGTTGCCTCTCTTATCTCAGTCTCTTATCTCCTCATATGGGAAATGGAAGGGTTCGATGAGAATGTACTTCACACACCTAGGGCAGTTCCTGGCTTATAGTAGGTGCATAATAATCAAGATCCATTGTTATAAAAATAACACTGAACTTGACTGAAATTTGAGTCCCAACACTGACCCCAACTACCTCAGTGCTGACAGGAAAGTCACTCCCCTTTCTTTGCCTCAGTGGTCAAATTGGATAACATTCCATGCCCTGCTTCCCTCCTTAGTACTTGGCGAGTTGCAAATGGGATAGAGAACATGAAAGAACTTTGATTCCTGTCAACTGCTGCCCGGGGGAGAGAGGATTGTCTCAGACTTAAGTTGGGAATACAATTGGAGTCAGTGGAAAGAAAGATGCAGTCATAATGAGCCAAGGTGGCAAAAATGGTCACAACTCAAGCAGGCAGAATGCCATCATGCTGTCTGGGAAGACACTAAGGGAGAATTGCTAAGAAATCCACTTGCTTTTTTCTTAAGCAATAGCCCTGTCCTCTCCAAGCAAGTGCACACGACCCCTGCACCCCCACCTGAGCACAGGAATATTCACACACTGGCCTGGCAGAAAGGAAATGACACTTCCCCTTGCCTTCTAGTGGTGTAGCCTCAGACAAAGCATTTCACCTTACAGCATCATGCAAACTCAGGATGGTACCACTCACCACTCTATGTTGATGGGGGCTTATGCAATATTGTGAATGTGGAGGTGATTTTTAGTCTATAGTACACTGTACAGAGGTAGGGGGCTGTTTTTATTATGCATCTCTGTATCAGCATTAAATATAAATGGGAATTTGATTTAGACTCAGCTAATGTTTTATACACACGCAACCCCTCCTGTGCCCTGTTTCTCCAGGAATGTATCTCCCCTGTGTTGCAGGCCTTGAAAAGGGATTTTGCACCTATAGGGGTGCGTGTGTGTGTGTGTGTGTGTGTGTGTGTGTGTGTGTGTGTGTATTAGTATGCTGGGGCTGCTGTAACAAATACAACGAACTGAGTGGTGACTTAAATAACAGAAATGTATGATCTCACACTTCTGGGGCTAGGAGTCCAAGATCAAGGTGTTGGTAAGGTTGATTTCTTCTGAAGGCTGTGAGGAATAACTTGGTCCATGTATCTCTTCTATCTTTTGGTTTCCCAACCATCCTTGGCATTCCTTGTCGTTTAGAAGCATCACCCTGATCTCTGCCCTCATCTTCACATGACATACTCTCCAGTGTGTCTCTATGTTTAAATTTCTCCTTCTTATAAGAACACTGGTCGTATTGGATTAGGGACCAAACCACTCCAATATGACCTCATCTTAACTTATTACATCGTCAATGAACCTATTTCCAAATAAAGCCATATTTTGAGGTATTGGAGTTTAGGATGTCAACATATCAATTTGGTAGAAGGGGGGATGCAATTCAACCCATAACAGCTTGTATTGATGGAGCACTATTTTTACAGGACACCCAAGTTTCTGCTTTCCAAGCCATCAGGCTTCTCCACTCTCCCAACTCTTGAGGATTTTTTTATCCCTTGTGTCCTAGCCCTGGCACAGATGAATGAAACTTTGGCTCCATCCAGGGTCTAGGTAGCTGATGACAGAGGCATGTGAGGGGCCAGAGAAATGCTAAGCCTTATAGCCTTGCACACTTATCTGCCTGCACGAGGATGGAGCTCCTGGCATTCTCTGGAACTGATTCCATTCTGTTCTCTGCTGATGCCAATAGCCACCCCCCCGCCCCCGCCACCACCACTGTGGTGCTGTGGCCCAACTGTCTCCTGAAGGAGCACTTTCCAGCTCCTTGGCTATAGCCCTGCTGGACCTGGCCTGTTACATGCTTGCCCCAAACAGTGTTCCTGCTGGGAAACTGGTGTGACTCAGCTGCCTGTGAAGTCTCCAGGGCAGGCCTGGGTCTACATGACTGTGGCATCTCTGCAGTGGACCATTTGGGTGTACATGGGCCTCCCTTTCCTTTGGCAATGATGCAGCACCGCCCCCATCCTCTGCTGCTGTCCCTGGTCAGTTCTTGATCCAGAAACTTCCCTATTAATGATGGTAGTCAGAATCTGGGCCCCATTGTTCCTGTGCTCTGGCTTCCAAGAAGCTCAGAGCCAAGTGTATTTTGGTCCCAGCGATCTCACCCCCAGGTCTTAGTGAAATGACCTCTTACCTTTCTCTGAGTGTTTCTGTCTCTGTCTTATTGGTTTAGTTCCACTGCTCCTTTTCATCTATGTTTTTACTATGAGCCACCTCAAATCTTTAGAGAAGTATTTATGATAATTATGTTTTTCTTACTGCAATTTTGGTTGACAGAAAGAGGTTTCCTTGAGCTTATTTATAAGTGAGGTGGGTGAGCAAGCAGGAAGGATCTTCACAAGATGTGGTCAGTGTGGCAGAAAGGGCCCCAGGCGTAGAGTGTAGAGGTCTGGGACTGATTCCTGGCTCTACCACTCTCTAGTTCTATAAAATTAAGACAATCTCCCCAAGCCTCAGTTTTCTGATCTGTCAAATGAGCTAATAATCTTGCTCTTCCCACTTTAGGAAGCACTTATGGGTCCTAATAAGATTTTTAAAAATTATATCCAATACTTTCATAGACCATGCTGTATGTCAGTCATGACATTAAACATGTTCTATGTATTATTTCACTGAACTTGCACAACAACCCATTTTGCAGAGGTGGAAACTGGTGCTCAGGGAAATTAAGAGACTTGGCCCAACTCACAGAAGTCAGTTTCCAGCTCCAGGTTCCTGATTACCTGTTCTTACCCACTGTACATCCTGCCTCCCACAGTGCATGTGAAAGTTCAAGTGCTGGTGAAATGTTTTGCAAATATAAGGTACAATACAAATGCATAAATGATGTTGCCTGTATTTTCATTTTTTCTGGGACTCAGCTTCCCCATTTCCATCCCCAGAATGTAGAGATTGGCCCCCAGATCCCTTAGCTCTGCTTCCTCTCTGACAAGCTCTCAGTCTGTGTGTATCTTATGA
The DNA here is from genome assembly GCF_000001405.40 of Homo sapiens. Classification (NCBI taxonomy): domain Eukaryota; kingdom Metazoa; phylum Chordata; class Mammalia; order Primates; family Hominidae; genus Homo; species Homo sapiens. The sequence continues at coordinate 150,150,070 of NC_000023.11, forward strand.
AATATGCAAAACCAGATACAAAAATGTGTTATTTATTATACTTTTTAAATGATCATATTTGTTACCAGGGTAAAGTGATACTCATGTTAAAAGTTGGCATGCTGTTTGTAATTTTGGCTGCATGATTTGGTCACGAGACAAAGTCACAAAATAGCTTGGCACCAACTAGAACATTCTAGATTTGTGTGAGGCCCATTCCCCAGCAACCTATCAAAAGTCTTGGCTCTCCCAGCCCATAAAAGCATGTGTTGCTACCAAAGAATAGGAGCTTATGCCATCTGGGCATTCATGTCAAGCCTCCTGAGGATACCAGCTCCTGCAGGCTTGTTTTATGAGGCCAGTGCTGGCCTCCACAGTCCCTACACCCAGACAGAAGTGTGCAGGGGAAGAAAATTCCCCAGAAGGGCCTGTCTTTAGCTATCCAATGGGAGTCCCTGGGAGGAGTGCTCATTGCTAAAAAAGTTGGCCTTTTTTTTTGGAAGGAAATGAGGTTAAAGGCCTTTGAGTTCATCCTCAGTATCCTCTAGAGCCACAAGCACTGCCAGGCTTCCTGGCTCCCAGCCCTCTCCACCACATAAGCTGAGACCTTTTCAGCTCCACCTACGGGCTGCTTCATGCACACTTGCCAAGGCTCTCAAACCCATCCTAAGTCACTTGCTTATGGGACTTAGACCGTTGTCAGACGGGGTCCTAGTCATGAGGCACTAGGGCAGGCCATCAGCCTGCCAGTCAGGAAGTGGAAACCTAGCAGCCAGAGGTTTGGGTGCTCAGCAATAACAGGGAGCCTCAGATGGGACATGGGGCAGGAAGGGAGGCAGAGTCCAGGCCTGGGACCCAATTCTTGAACTTTTTCCTTGCTCCCCTGAGTACCTGCCTACCTCTGGGTTCTTCCTCTAGTGCCAGTCCCGGTTGTCTGGAACCACCTCTGCCTCTTCCTATGCCTGTGCTTCTGAGGAATGGGTCCCTACAGTTGTCTCCCCAAAAGGTAGAGTCTCTGAAAAGACACCACAGGTAATAGGGCTACAGAAAGCATTCAGTTCGCCCCCAGGGTAGCAGCCCAACATCTGTACAGGAGCCAGATGTCTGTGGTCCCCTTTGACACTGGGTGCTTGCAAAGACTACTCAGTCATCAATTTCAAACAAGAAACCCTGCAGTAGAAGTGAGAACTACAGGCCAGTTTCCTTCGGTGCTTAGTAGGTGTGAGCAGTGAGTGGACAAGCAGCTCACTGGTGCTTCTTTTCCACCAATGGGTTGCTTGGCTGTGCCAGCGCCCTTCTCAGCTGACCACACTGCCACAAAAGCAAGCTCCACTTGGCTTCTCTTCCTTGGGAGTTTTGTAGGGCTGTGAATTCCCAGGGCTTCTTCCCAAGCAGCCTGGCAGAATAAGCCATTCAAACCTCTTTCTGATTTTCCACTGTCTGTATTGTTCCAGCACAACTCAGACCCTGTTACTCCCTTGCTCAAATCATTCCATGGCTCCCCACGGAATAGAGGCTATAGTCCAAAGTCAGATGCACCTTTCCAGGCCCTCTGTGATCTGTGTGCAGCCTATGTGCCCAGCCTCCGCTCTCAGGATGTACTCTGCTCCCCCTTGCCTACTTGAGACTCCTTGGTGACATTCTCTACTTCTCTCTGCCGTGCCCTGGCCCAGACTATCCTTTTCTTCCCAGCCCCATGGCTACCTGGGGCAGCGTACCTTTCTTTTACAGTGAAACTCTAGTTTGTATTAAGGCCCTATAATATATCAAAATATGGACTAGATGCTTTTTACATAACTTTTCATTTAGCCATTTCCTGATGTCAGTCCTATAATATAGGGACAGTATTATTCCATTTCACAGGTGAGGAAACTGAGACACAGAAATGTTAACTGCACACCTACAGCCAATACGTGGCAGATCTGGGTATCTGTACTTAGATCTGTCTGACTCTCGATCCCTTCTTTCTTCTACTTGGTCTCATTTCTGTTTCTTAGGGCTCACCTCCAAACCTCCTTTTGGAACAACTGTCCCTTTTCCTTCTCCCCCTACCACACTGGGCTCAAATTCCCTGGACACCAGCATTCCTGGCCTCTCTCTTGTTCCCATACTCACGCTCTAGCACCCAGCCCAGGCTTTGCGTGATTCAGGCCAAAGTTAGGCAGGTGGGAGTCGGGTCTACCTCAGCTGGCCTGGGCTCTGGGAAGGGGTGGAAACAGGCAGGCCCTATCTTGGTCACCTGCCTCCTCTTCCTGAGTGGGAGCAGAGGTATTTGCTAGACCATGCCAGTGGTCTAGGCTGCAGACACTGGGCTCCGTGGGTAGCCACTTCACACCTCCTGTGTGTCACAAGCAGGCACTCAGTACATCCTGCAGGAGTTGCTTGAATTTTAGAGATCTGGGGGCCTTCCCTGTGACCCTATCATCTGATCTCTCCATTCAGCTCTTCCCAAGGGAATTAGAGTTCTTTGCCTCCTCCTTGGGACCCAGGGCTGGGTTACAAGAGGCCTAAAGCCTGTCACCCCTCTTCTCTTTCCTGCCCTTGATTCCACGCACATATCCTCCTCCCAGGCAATGAGCAAGGCTTCCCCAGCCATACTGGGAGAAGCCATAGGGATTGCAGCTGAAGGTCACCAAAGACTGAATCTGAGAGCAATGCCATGCCTTCAGGTCCTGGGGCTGGGCCCCAAGTGCCTGCTGCAGGCTGCCGGTCAGTCACAAGTATGCACCCCACTCATTGGGCTCCCAAGCACCCAAAAAGAGATGCCTGGCAAGGCTAGGCTGTGCCTTTTGCTCAGCCTATGAAAATGGAACTGTGCTTAGGGTTTGACCAAGTTTTTAGCAAGAAAAAGCAACCCAGCAACATTTCAAAAAGGAAGTTTCCATTGCAGGATCTGAGATGTCATGGGGTGCATGGTAGAGGTTGGCAAATTCCAAGAGGTTTGTTCTGGGATTGTATAGACCTGCAAACTCCCACTATGGTAGCTAGTGGCTACTAGCTACCTCTGGCTATTTTTACATAAATTAAAATTAAGTACAATTAAAAATCCAATTCTTCGGTTGCACTAACCATCACATTTCAAGCGCTCCATAGGTACACACGGCTAATGCCTACTATATTGGCCAACACAGATCTGAAACATTTTCATCATCAGAAAAAGTTTCATCAGAGAGCACTTAGACTGTTCAGGCCAGGAGGAATGGATGTGGCTTGAACTCCTGCTATAAATATGCTTCTGCATCCTTCCCACACCTCCTGATCCTGCGCAGGTCATTCTTCTCTCTCAAGTGCCATATGTGTGTGAATGTGGCAATACCCACCCCCGTCCCCACCCATGCATGGTCTTCTCGAGTGGTCCAATTTTCTTGCCTATCTTGTCTTACTGTGGAGTTTATCTTCAACTTTCACTGCAGCTGAAAAGTAAAAAGCTTTACTAGAGGAGCATTTACACAAACTAAGAGAGTAATTGGAGCCTCTTTTTGGATACCGCTTCTGACAGTGGTTATACAAAAGTTAGGTGGAGTGAACTGCCCATGGCTGAGAACCAAATCGAAATACAATTGATACTTGAGAGGCTATAAAAGGATTCCCCATGTCCAGCCCAAGGAAAAGAGGACTGAAGCTAATTTTTTAAGCCAGAAATGCTTCTTAAGTGATGTTGTCTGTCAGGATGAATTCTAGCCATTTGCTGGTATTTAAGAATTTGTGAAGAAATAAAGATCCAGCTTGACCATCGAGGCCTGCCAATTGAGAGCTGGTCTTTTTGCCTTTTTTATAAATCATGGGCAGTGGAAGGGCTGTCATCTGGTCTATGGAGCTTTGAGAGAGGAAAGGAGCATAGAAGGAAAGTGGTGGTTCCTCGGAAAGCCAGCCTGCCTGCTCAGGGACTGCTGAGAGGTTTCCAATGCAGAGCAGATACCAAGCCTTCCAACACCTTCCATTTATGGGGCCTCCTATTCTTCAAATGAAAGGAAGTGGGGGCAGGGAGTAGGGTAAGTATAGGAAAAGTCCTAGGAGAAACCAAATGGATAAATGGGCAAAATGCGCCACTCAGAATCCACTTTCTTAATAGCCTTGAATACAGCAAAAAGGTACAGAGAGTCTTTCTGCAGTTTCAGCTTGTGATAAAGCATATCAGACCTGGCTTTGAATGAGCAATAGCCATTTCTATTACCCTAGTTCTCTCCTCACCTATCCTATCACACATACATACTCCATCCCCATCTTGGCCTCATTTTCAAAAATAGGGTGTGTCCCATTGGAGGTAAAGGGTATAAGGCATCTCACTGTATTATTTCTTACAACTGCATGTGAATCCATTATCTCAATGTAAAAGTTTAAACATAAAGAGAGGTGAAAGAAAGTAGTTTCCAGGCTGGTGGCACCTCAGATCAGCCCCTTCCTTCTCTAGGCCTCAGTTTCCTCCTTTATAAAATGGGACTATTGGAGAAGATGATCTCTGAAGGCCCTTCCAGGTCTGCCGTGCTAGAACACTGGCCAGTGAAAACCTAGGAGAACTCTGAACAACAGCTTTTCTGGGGGCAACCATGGGGTGGGCTGAGCAGAGGCTGCATCTCTGCTTGACAGAGACAAAGAGGTGGCCCAGAAAAAGCAGCATGGCTGTCCAGGGTACCCAGCCTGTCAGCACTAGGCTGAGTCTGGAAATCAGGCCACATGGCTCTGAGTCTGTGCTCTTTACCCCCTTGTGAGTCCCATACAGTCTACAGATGGGCAGGAGTCTTGCTATAGGCATTTTCTCCTGAAGCTTTGTCCCTGCTTTATCCTTGGTGACACAAGGCTGCAGCTCAGGAGGGCAGGAATTGAGCATGGAAACCATGCTGGAAAGAAAGTATGGGATGGTATTGTTCAGCACGATATTGTCTAGCATCTGGGACAAAGCTGTCCCTTTGTCACCAGAAAGCTGCCACAGTAGGGGCAGGTCTTCACCTCAGGGACAAGCTCCCTGGTCCTTCTGTGCATCCTGCCATCAGCTCCAGTGAAGCAAGCTCACTTCCTGTCCTCCCCATAAAGATTGTTTAGTCTGGTACCTCCCTTTCGCCCTGGGAGATGGCTGCCTTCGATTGATTTATCTGGGAAAGTATGTTCAACCTTGCCAGGTCTATTGGAAGTTGCAGAGCATGTGCATTTTAAGCCCTTTGGTAAGAGGGGAAAACAGCAGCCTTACATCCTTTATCACAATCAAGTGTCTTTTAAAGCAGAGATCCCACCATGTGACTATTGATTTTGCACTGGAGCTAGCATTTGGTGAGGCTGTCTGAGATAGTCCTCACTTGCCCATCTTCCCCCTTCTCCACCTGCCTCTTCTTTGCAGCAGCATGCAGGGTAGCTAGGAGATACATTATGGAAAGGCACCTGAGCACCAGGCTGCTCAGAGGAACCCCAAGGAGTGCCTCTTCCCTTCTGCCCTAAGAGTAGATGGATGGGGCTCCCTGTCTTCACCGGGATAGCCATGGCATGGCTCCTATGAATCAGAGGCCATCCTACTGCCCTCAGAGGCCCCACCCAGGACTGGGGAAAACTGGCAGGGTGCCCAGTGCTCTGTCTGCTAGTGGAGCCTGCAGCCTCTGGGATGAGGGCAGGCAGGAAGAGGCAGGCAGACAGGGCTCAAGCTGATGAGCTGAGACCTTTGGAGACATAGGTTGCTGCATTCACCAAGGACCCTTTCCTCTGCACGGTCAAAACAGCTGATAACAGTGTGACTTCCCCCCAAAAAGCAACAGAGGCCAGCATGATGTCATCCATGTCTGGGGTTGGCGGTGGGGGGCGGGGGCTCCACATGTTTGGGCTATTTTTGTGATCAACAGTAAAAAGCCCTGCATTAGTCATGTCATGCACAGAAATCTGTCTCATTTCACTCCCGAATCCTCTCTTATTAATGCAATAAATGAAAGGGGGCTCTGGAAAGAACTCCTGAATTTGGCTTCTCTGGTGGTCAGGGCCCAACATTCCCTCAGCCCCCAGCCCCTGGCTCACTTACTTGCTCCACCATCCACCATTGGATTGCTCCACCATTTCACCAACATTTCCTGTGTCCAAATCTGAGCCCAAAACTGGGAGAAGGGGCTAAGGATTGGGCCTTGTCCTTGAGGAGCCCACCATCTATGAGGAGGCACCCTGGAGAGGGGCTGGTGGGGGCAGGGGAGGTGAGAGTGGTCTCTCCCCTCTTCTCAGAGTGTGCTCACTCAGCTAGCAGCTGCTGAATGAAAGAGGGCAAGGAATGCCTTAACACTGAGCTTTTCAAACACTGCAAGACCTGGTACCCTTTTCTATCCAGTGTCTGTGCTGACAGACCCCGGATTTAAAAAAAAAAAAAAAAAAAAAAAAAAAAAAAAAAAAAAAAAAAAAAAAACTACTGCTTGGGAGGCTTTTACTGCTTTTTGGTCTATGGAGTTATTTCTAGATTGGGAGGCACAAGTCTAGACTGAGCTGGTCTGTTGCTAGTTTAAGAGCCCTGAATCCGCAATTGAGTTTTTAAAAGTAAAGCATCTTGGTTACAGAGCGCATATTCCTTCAGTTCCTAAGAGCTGCATGACAGACTGCTTATATTAAGAAAGAAAAGGCAAACAAGAGTCTGTTGACTATAAATGTTCAAAGCAACTGGCAGGATCATCTCTTGCCAAGATGCAGCCTGAGAGGGACCAGTGGCTGGGAGTGAGGGCTGTGCTGTCCCAACTGGTGCAATGGCTAATCCTACCCATGACCTGGCACACCACCTAACTGCCCGAACAGGGAAACAGACCAGACAGCTCGCACCTCAGGAGATGCCCCGTGAGCACCTATCTTTCCCTTCACCTAATCTGATACCATTGTATCCTTTCCTCCCTGCTCTGTTCATTTGGGATTTTGTTGGGGTCCTCGGTGAAGAAGGTACCTCTTTGAGGATTTTTCTAGAATGCTTCTGAAGGCAGCATCAGCAGCATGTACTAGCCACAATGGTTACTATTCATTCATTGAGCACCTGCAGTGTCCCAAGAACTCAACTATTGTCCTGGTAATATCTCTTAAGGGTTGTGAGTCTAAAAATCTTAAATCATTTAAAATTAATTGCAATAAGTAAATAGATACAAATTTGACATAATTTTAGACTTAGAGAAGTTGCAAAAATAGGACAAATCGTTCACATATACTTTTGTCCAGCTCCCTTAATGTTACAGAAACTTACATAACTTTGGTACAATTATCAAAAACAGATAATCAACATTGATACAATACTATAAACTACAGGCCTTAGGATTGTGATTCTATTATTGCCCTTTTACACATGAGAAAACTGAGGCTTAGAGAAGTGAAGTGACTTGACCAAAGGTTCCACTCCCAGGAAGTGGGGGAGCTGAGATTGAAACTCAGGGTTGCCTGCCCATTCTGTCCTCTATAGCACATTGCTTCAGCCAGTGACAGCTGGCGATTGTGTCTCTGGTTCTTGTTTAAACACCATTAGCAGCTGTATCAGTTTCCTACTGCTGGAGGTAAAAAATTACCATGCACTTTAGTGGCTTAAAACAACACAGCATTTATTATTTTATACTTCTGGAGGTCAGAAGTCCAAAATGAATTTCACCGGGCTAAAATCAAGGTGTCAGCAAGATTGTGTTCCTTCTGGAAGCTCTCAAGGAGAAGCTGTTCCCTTTCCTTTTCCAGCTTCTAGAAGCCACTGCATTTGTTAGTTTGTGCCGCATCACTCTGACCCCTGCTTCCATCATCGCATCTCCTTCTCTGACTCCCTCTTAAACCTTTGAAGGATTCTTGTGATTACACTGAGCCCACCCAGAAAAGCCAGGATAATCTCCCTATTTTAAGATCTTTAACCAAATCACACCTGCAGATTCACCTTTGCTATATAAGGTAACATTCACAGGTTTGGAGACTTAGGATGGGGACATCTTTGAAGGCCAATTATTCAGCCTGCTAGAGTCATACATAAACTCAAGGATAAGAAGGTGGATGTCAGAGAAACAAGGCATCTCATGCCTGGTTCAGGCTGGGTACCAAGGCATGTCCAATCCCTTGGTAGCATAGGATGACAAGAGAAGAAAAAAGAAGGTAAGTTCTGGTGAACAGAGTACTAAAACCAAAATGTACTACTTGAAAAGAAAGTAAGACATAAAGTAAGAAAGTAGGTTTCCACCATGACAGTCAACATCCTGGGGTGGGTGATGGGGGGAGCAAGGGCAGTCACAGCTGGAGAGGTGGGAGCACAACTGAGGTTCAGCAGAGGAGATTGTCCAGAAAGTTCAGAGGACAGAGAAGAGTGCAGTACGAAGGATGGCATCCCTATAGTTTAACAAACCTGCCCACAAGACCATCAGCTTGCCTATATTGTCACCAGCATGTCCCCAGTGTGGCACAGGCTCCAGATCAATCTGATATTCTCAAGGCCATGGTGTCCAAAGTTCCCACTGTGACTGCAAACCCCAAAGCTGCCTTAAGCTTATGGAGTCCTTTAGAGCCTGTTCTGGTTCTTATTACATGTCACAAAGTAGGCCCAGACTACCTCCCCTGAGGGCCTGGAATAGAAACCTCCATCCCCATCCTTGTATGGATCCAGGTAGAGCCGCCATCCCACAGGGAGCCATGGCAGGCCAGTGGACAGACTTGGGGAAAGATGGCTTACAGAGGCGCATGGAAACCCCACCTCATACTGGGGGGTACAGTGCCAAGAAATGGCAGCGGGTCACAAGGCTGGCTCTGGCCTGGGGAGCTGAGAAATCCTAGCGTCCCAGAGTGGACAGGCCCCATAGCACCCTGCCCTTGGCCTCCCACCCTTGGCAGGCAATCCCTGACAGATGGTTGTCCAGCCTTTCCTTGACCTCACCCCCATGATGAGAAATTCTCTTCTCTCTGAGATATGTGATTAGAAACAGGCCTCTCTGGCTTCAGCTTCCATCAGCCAGTGAGGGGGCCCTAAATATCATTCAGATAAAATCTCCTCCCTCTTTCTGCACATGAAAGGCCTTTGGCTGTTTGAAGCCGGTTTCTGTGCTCCTCCTGTCTCCTGACCCTCACCTCTCCAACCCCCCACCAAACACAGACGTCTTCTGAGCTGAAGCAGTGGGACAAGCAGGGTGGGCCAAGCTGGCAGCTGATGCTGCCACAGGGGCTCCGGGCAAGTGAAGGACAGCAGGTGTATGTGGGCTTCTGCAGCGGGACCTTGCCATCAGAGCATAAGTGCTGTCCTGGCTTGCACCTGGGGAAGGATGAGCTGTTTCCTCTCTCCCTTACGTCCCCTTCCTTTTCCACATGTATGCCTATGATTAGAATCCACTAATTGCAATAGAACTGACAAGAGAAGAAATTGCGAACTCCAGCTCAAGAGTCATCTTCTCTTGGAGACAAACTGATCATCAGACCCCTCATGGCTTGAGGTGCATCTAGGGTAAGGGCAGGCAGAGTCACCAGTACTTTTCTATCCCTGCAGGATGCTGGCCTGAGGGATACAGTCAGGCTTCTCCCTGTCAGGTACAGTCTGCCTAATTTGCTCAGCATTTGGATGTGATACTACCAACCTTAATTTTACCAAGTGCCTGCTTTGCCCAAGTGCAAGCCAAGGCCCTGGGTAGTGTTTGAAATGAGCACATGGTCTTTGAAATGAGCACTCTGACGCATTAGGTTTATAAATGCGGTTACCAGGAAGTACAGACCAAAGAGAGCATCTTGACCCTGGGAATGAGTCCCATGTGTTTGGAGTGCTTATCCCAGGTATGCTTGCAATCAGAGAGAACACAAAGCTCCAAGTTGGGAGTGTTGCTTGACTCATCAGGAAAGCATACAGGGACTGGTATAGTGATAGCCTTAATGTTTCTGTAGGAGAAAGAACACTCGGTTGTGGCTGTCAGTGTCAAGATGGTCAGAAAATATATGTTGCCCTTACATGAATCTCTCAACCTCAATTGGTCTATTTATAAAATGGGGGTGGGTGGATGGTTGAAATTTATGGTTTCTAAAATCTTTAATGCTCTATTACTAGAGTCGTGTTTCCACAGGGCATGCCCCTACCTGGGAGTATCTTTTGATTGGTCACGTAATTAACAGCCCAGTTGCCAGGCCATCAACTCAAGCCCAGGCCTTGGAATCACAGTTGGAGAAGGAGCCAGGCCTCCTGCCCCCTGCTCTTCCTCCTCCCTCGCATCCTTTTTCCATGACCATGTATCTAACACTCTGTTAGAGTGACTTCCCCAATTTAGAAGGAGAGTGAGAACTCTGCATTCAAATGTCTGAGCAGTCTATTTTTATGTCAGCAAAGATTTCTGTGGAAAGTCACAGGGAACTCTGCCCTGTGGGCTACATTACCCCCACAGAAGGCACAATAATATTTGGAAAGATCCAGAGTTCTATGCAGGGCTATGCATTCTGCTTCAAAACATGTATTTATGTCTCCTTGCCCCATCAGGGCCCAGGATCACTGCACCTTCAGGATGAAGACATTAAAGATATGCAGTTTGGGTACAGAATTGTGTTGAGATTGGGTTTTTATGTAGGAATTAGACACTGGCTTAGAGAAGAGCCCTCTTTCAAACCCTCAAGGAAGGGTCCATGCCCTTATTCAATATGGGAGAGGCAGTGAGTGTTGTAGTGTGCCATGATGCTGGACAAGGTGTCTCTGTTTTCACAGCCTCAGTTTCCCTTGCTGTAAAATGATGACAAGTCATGTCTAAGGGCCCCACAGCCAGGCCAACCTGGGAGCCTGTATTTAGGGCTTGTTCATTAGTTGTGTCTCCCTGCTGCCTGGCTGCATGACCCCTGGGGAAGTGGCCAAATGAGGCCACATACAACTCCATTTGCAGAAATACCTTGCCAGGCCCCAGGTGTTTTCTGGGAGAGTCTCAGTTCAGGTCTCAGCTTTGAGGTATGGCTTTTGACTACTGCTCACTTCAGCCCAGGACAGAGTATTCAAAACAGGAGCCCTTGTAGCCTGGCCAGGGAGAGGCTCTGCATCCCATCTCAGTGAAGGCCACATGTCCTGCCCCCACCCTTCTCCAGGAAAGAATGCCTATTGTGTGTCCTGTCCAATGACCCCCAAAGGGAAGGGCAGTCCCCCTGAAGAGCTGGCCTTGGGAATAGCTGAATTTTCACTAAACAAGGCAGAAGTGATGCTCTCTATGCTCACTGCCTACATCATTAACCGACAGAAAAAAAAAAAAAAAAACTATCTCTGCTATCAGAAGATTCAGCTAGACCTTTAGTGCTGATGACTCACTTTCTCAAAAGCAGAGTTTCTCTATTTCTTTCCAAGTAAAATTTTTACCCCTTCTTAATGACTGAATGACCGCCAGGCACTGGGAGAAAGCAGTCCTTCAGCAGCCACCATGTGGGCACACCCAGGGCCCAGCAGGCAGCACACTGTCAGCAGGCACCCACTTCCCCTTTCAACTCCCCAGGATCAAGAGTAACAAAGGCCAAGCCTCCCTACTGGGAGGGCTTGCCCATCAGCCAAGCTGGCATTGCCCAGGGAACACTGGGGTCTTGGCAAGGCAACTCTGGAAATGAAGTTGTAAGTGACCTCACTTGGCCACTTTTCCAGGAGGGCATTTGCTCCTTCTCTGAACTCCGGCGGACAAGTCTATAGTGTCTTGGAATGACCTCCAAGATCCTGCCATAACATTCCCCATCCACTTGCCTCCTCTGTGAGCTGGGACCAGTAACTTCTGCCCCTAAGGAAGCTGACCTGGTAGTTTTCGCCCCTCTCCCTCCATTGCTTCTTTTAATCCTCCCAGCACAGTAAAGGGTGGAAAATAATTATCCCCATCCTACAGATGAGGAAACTGAGGCATCTTTTTAGCTGCAGACTTAGGATTTGAATCCCAATCTGTGGGGTCCCTCATGTAGGGAGACTGCTCCCACTGCTTCCTGGCTGGCCTTGGGCTCTCTCCTAGAAGCCATGATAACCTCCTCATCTTTTTTTGTTCTGGTTTTCCCTAGCTTGATAAGGTCTTGGTCTTCCCAGAGAGCTGGGCTCTTGCACTGGGGGTAGGGTGGAGGTTGGGCAGCACCTGAATAACAAAACCTTGCTGCTCTGCCAATCCTCCAGTGTTGAGGGACAGAGGCATGGTGGTAAAGGGATGGGAGGAGGCAGAGTCAAGTTCACATAGTGTGGAGTAGGAATCCACGCCTGAGGAATGGCAATAGGGAAGGAGAAGATGGGGCCAAGTCGAGATAAGTCAAGGAGGCAGAATCTGCAGAGCTTGAAAATAATTGGCTGTGGAAGCAAAGTAAATGGGAAGCACCTGAGATGACTCACAGGTTTCTGACTCACCGGCCATTGGGTGGCCGGTGGTGTCATTTTGTAAGACAGGGAATCCAGAAGGAGCAGTATAGGAATGTAGGGGTGGAGACAATGAGTTTGATTTTGGAAAGATAGAGTTTTAGGTGCTAATAGGGCACTCAGGTGGAAGGGTGCCCACTAGACAGTTGGGTATCCAGGACTGGGGCTCAGGGCAGAGGGAGGGTCTAGGGTGGAGATGCTAATTTGAAGGTTATTGACTACTAAACTTGTGTTGTTCAATATGGTGACTTCTAGCCACGTTGCTATTTAAATGTAAATTAATTTTAATTTTAAAAAGCACAGTATAAAATTTCTGCTTGGGGTGATGAAAAGTTTTGGAAATAGTGGTGGTCGTTGCACAACACCCTGAGTGTAATTAATGCCACTGAATTGTACACTTAGAAATAGTTAAAATGGCAAATTTTATGTTCTATATATTTTGTAATTAAACACAGAAAAGACAGAAGTTTAAATTAATTACAATTACCTGGGGGCAGTGGCACGTGCCTTTAGTCCCAGCTACTTGGGAGACTGAGGTGGGAGGACTGATTGCCTGAGCCCAAGAGTTCAAGGCCAGCCTGGGCAACAGAGAGAGACCCTGTTTCTAAATAAATAAATACTTAAATGTTTAAAAAGGAAAGAGATTTTAAAACATAAATTAATTACAATTTAAAATTCAGCTCCTCAGTCACACTAATTATATATGCAGTAGCTCAATGGATATCACATGGCTCCTGGCTGCTGTACTGGGCATGGAGATATGAAGTATTTCCATCATTGCAGATGATTCACTGTAGATGGTACCTACCTGAAACCCTGGGTCTTGCTGGGATTGCTGGGGGGTATGTAATGAGAGGGCTGGGGCAACCCTGTGCAGAGATCTGACCTTTGAGAGCAGAGCAACAGAAGAGGAGCTAGCAACGGAAACCAGGGAGACAAATGCTGATGAAGCGACATACAACATGCTGAGGGAGCCCAGGAGACAGCAACCAACCACATTTCAGAAAATATGCATGCCTTGCTGTTTCCCTCAAATAGTCCATGTTGTCCTGTCCCTGGGCCTTGCTTCATGGAGTGCCTTATCCTGGGAACCCTGCCATCATCATCCTTCCCATCCCTGTTCAGACGCTGCCCAGGATTTGAGGCCCCACACAGTCAGCTCCTCCCCATATGGCTATGAATCCAGAATCTCCCAACCAGACGGAAACAGAACCAGGCACTGGCGGTTTTTCAGATTTATTAGGAAGACTTTTTACAGATTAAGACCTGCAGATGGGTTTGCACAGGGGAATCAGCTCTATACCCTGGTGTATATGTGGGACTCTGTCCAAATCTAGAAATGCCAGGCTTCTGAAACCCAGCAGACAGGACCTGCATGGTGCCTTGGGGACAGTCAGGTGCCTTGGAGACAGCCCTATGGGCAATGGTGGAGAGAAGGAGGGCACGGCAAACTCGCACTTACCGGGCAAGGCTGCACACACTGGCAGTGCTCTTCTAGCTACCTGTGGCTGGGGGTGCAAGGGAGCAGGGCTCAAGAGTGGCCCAGCTGCATTGCATGTAGGTGCATTCTGTGCCTGTGCTTGGAGCTCTGCTCTAGTGAGGCACTGACAGCAGCCCCACAGGGAAGTTTGTTGGGTTGTTTCTTAGCAGCACTATGGTGGGCATGGAGGCAGATTGGTCCTGCACATAGACCTCTGCTCCATTAAGACACAGCCTGTGCCCTGGTAGAGGCCCACTGAGCCCAGATTCAGCTCCTTGCTGAGATGGGCTCAAAGTAGACATGGGCTGAGCCTCCAGCTAGTGCTGTGCCTCAGGTGAAATCAGCCAGCAAACTCTTGCGTCATCTACTTCTGCTCCGCCAACCCAGGCTGTTTCCTTGAGTTGCTGTACTCAGTCAATGTGTAGGTTCAGCCTGCATCTGGTCCTTGGATCAGGTGGAAGCAGCCAGCAACCCCTTGCAGCAACTCTTTCTGTTTCACTCACCAGACTGCAGTTCCATGAGGAGCTTCACTTGGTGTGGACACATGATGACTCTCTGCAAAGATCCCCAGTTAGGTGCAACCAGTTTTCTCCTGCAGTGGCTAGTTCTCCACTTCTCTGGGTGCTGGCTGTAGAGGCAGGCAACACTGGCAGGTAGAGCCCCAGTTCTTCAATAAACAGTTTGAATCTACTTGCAAAGCATTACTCCATGCTGGTCCAGTGAGGCGCTCCACTCCATGTAGACACAGGCTGCGTATCCACTAGCAGTCCTGGCTCATCCCTGTACTGGCTGTAATTAGGCACAGAGGGCATTTCTGAGCTGATCCAGGTGGTGGTGCCTGCTGGAGCCATGCACACTGTAGATGTGGGCTGCATCTCCACAGGATAGCCTGATGCATTTCCACAGACAGGGGCTTGTCCTGTGTGGATACAGGTGGAAGTTCCTTGAGAAGCCTCATTTTGTGTGCAAGCTATGTGGTTCTGTGTAGACGCTGCCTGGTTATCTGCAGATGCAAACTCAATCTCAGTAAACATAGCCTCCTTCTGTGCTTACACAGCCTTCTTGGTGACAGATAAAACCTCATCTTGGGTAGACACAGCGTCATTTTGGGCAGGTGCAGCTTCATCTTGGGAATGTCCCACCTTGTCCTGGGCAGCCATAGTTTGGTTCTGTGCAGACACAGCCTGTGATGACACACAGAGTTTTTGCTCATGTAGACACAGTTTATGGCCTGTTGCAGGGCAGCTGTTGACACAGCCAACATCCTCTTGTGGAGTCTGTGCTGTGTAGATGAGGCTTGAGCTTGCTTACTGAACTGTGTTCTTTGTAGAGACAGTTTGTATCTGGGTATAAAGTCACCTCCTGTGTGGCCATGGCCTGCAGAAGCCTGCCGAGGCTCATCTTGTTTAGATGTTGTCTGCACCTTTCCACTGAGCCTCCTTGCACAGATATGCCTGCATTGCCTTATGAAATTTCACTTGGTCCTGACCTAGCCAGCACCACCATGCAGAGCTGTGCACCACATGGATCCATGGGGGGTCTTGAAGAGCCACATTCATGACTAATGCAACCTCTGCCTCCAGGGAACTGCCATCATTTTTCTGCAGAGCTGTGATCCACACAGTGGCAGTGTGCATCACTGGGAAGACCCACAGTCCTCATGTTGGTGCTGCCCGCATCTCCTGGCTGGGTGCTATCCTCCACTTTTACCGTCTGCCTCTTGTGGCAGATCGGGGCTCTGTATGTGCAGTTGGCTTCTGCCTGCAGGGCTGGACTTGACAGACACAGCAAGCATCTCTTTGCAGTTTTGTCCTATGGAAACACAGCCCTGTTTTCCTTGGGAAGTTTTGTCTTGCATGGATGTTGTCTGTATCTCTTTAGGGAGCCAGATTCCACGTAGATGCAGCCCACATCCACTAGAAGAGCCTCATATCATGTAGATGCAGCCTTCATCCCCACATAGAGGCATCCCCACACATTCTTGTGGAGTGGAGCTACCTGTGGATCCAGATTGCCTCTGACCACCTGCCTTGTGTGCTGCCCCAGGTTACTCGGGTGGCCCAGTCCCTACAGCTATGGCTCCCCCACACCGTGCTGCTTTCTTTGCTGTGATATCTGCTCAGGCAGCAGTGATTTCAGCTCCGCCCTAGGACCCAAGTTCCTGCTTGGGGCCCCGGCCCCCTTGGAACCCCAGCTGGTGCCAGCACAGCCTGCCTCCATCTCCTGATGGAGCAGGAGGAACCCAGGTAGGTGGCGGGGTGGGGGTGGGATGGAACAACCAAGAGGAGACAGACTGGAGGAGAGCAAGCAAGCTGACAGGAGGGGCCAGCCAACCTCAGAAGCCAAACATGCAGGCTTTGGCTGAAGTGGGTGTATTTATACAAAGAGAAAGGAGGTGGAAAAAATCCACTGCCACTCCCTGCTTGGCTCAAGCCCTGGTCTGGGTAAAGCCTGGAGAGTTTAATATGACTGACTCTGAGTCCCAGCCAGTCTACTTCCAGGACACAGTGAAGACAGCCCTGGAGAGTTGCTCCTGAGGAGATGACTCCCCCTATGCAGTGGCCCTGTCCAGGTCAGCTGGAGGCCATTGCTCCAAAGGAAGGCCTCCCCATGGGGCAGAGCAGGCACACATGAGTCCTCAGGGTTTCCAATGGGAAGAGACCTTAGAGGCAGTGCAGACTGCTGTGGTTGGCCTGGAGGCCGGGACAGAACCCAGAGCCCAGGTCCCACTCAGCCACTAATTCCCTGAATAACCTTGGGTAGGTCTCTCACCTCTCTGAGCCTAAGTTTCATCATCTTTTAATGACAAGTACCATGACTGCTAAGATTTTTTGCTGCTCTCACTTTCCAGGATTGTTGGGGCTCTTTTGTTCCCCCAACCCCCTTTGCTTTACAGATGGGTGGCTGAGGCCCTGGGAAGTGGCAGGCTCTGGCTCACCCAATGTCCACAGTGGCACCTGAGCTAGAACCCAAACGCTCTTGCTCTAACACTAGGCCCTTTTCTCCTGGTCCTTTTCTAGAGAAGTCAGCAGTGTGGTGCTAGAAGATGGAGCCCAGCTTGCAGGAGGCCCAGAGAGCTGGCACTGGGGAGACCACACCTTCATGGATCTGTGATCCCTTCACTGCCAAATCCTCAGCCTGTCACACCAAGAAGATACTGGCCTTCTGGCAGATAAAGTGGAAGGTGAACTCAGAGCAGCCCTATCACAGTGGCCAGCTTCATCCCAGGCTCAGAATCCAAGAGCATCCTTCACTGGCTCCCTGGTCCTAGCCGCCAGCTCTGGGAGGAGTCAGGGCCCAAGTCACTGGGCCCAGGTCAAGGCAGAGGAGCTGAAGCCCAGAGAGGGAAAGAAAGTGAAGGGTGCAGGTTGGCAGCAACCTTGTGTGTTGAAACAGAATTCCTGGGGAGGGAAGCAAAACAACATTTTCCTACCTCCGTGGCTCCCTGAGGAACAGTGGCAGCCCAAAGATGGGACTCCTCCCTCTGTTCACATTAGCCAGCCCTCAGCATACCATGATGCATCTGTGCAATTGCCATACTTATAAAGCATCTTTCTCATCAATGAACATGTGCCAGAAGGGATTTATTGCCCCCCTTTTTCTCTATCAGTCAGATATTTACTATCTCTGTCCTTGTGTGAAAATATTCTCAGAAGTGCCATGAGAACATTTCCTATTGTGAGATTGCCAAAGAACCAAGGCAAACATCATACATCTTTCTTGGGAAAATGTCTCACGACCTTCACCAAATCCTGGGGGAAACTCACTGCAGTCTGACAGTCCTCAGATCCCTCCCAGTCCTAGACCTGGCTCCTGGCTCTCAAATAGGCTTAGGCTAATGGAGACCTGGATTCCAGTCTGAGCTTTGTCATACATTTGATATGTCACGTAATGCAGGTTCTTTGGACTCTCTGGGCCCCAGATTCTACAGAGGTGGCATGAAGAGGGTTTTACCTAGATGGGGGTGACTAGCCTATGCTCTGAGGATGAAGCAATTTTTGGTGACCTAGAAAGTTATAAAATATGCCAACATCCCAAACAAATCCCAATATAGAGCAACTGCTAAATAGTGAGCAGAGAAGTATCATCTGGTAGATAATGTCAGTTTCAGCAACCTAACATTTTAGATTGATGATTCACTAACAATTACATTATTTTATAGTGAATTATTAATCAAAGCTAACATTCTGTGCCAGTGCCAGACAATATTCTCTATGTCTTGTGAATATTGACTCATTTCATCCTTATAGCACCCACCGAGGTGGGTACTGTTGTTATCCCTTTTCAGATATGAGACAACTGACACACAGAGAGAGGCATATTGCCCCAGGTCACACAGATAGTGTGCTGGAGCTTGGATTCAGTTAGGCCAGGCGCTTAACCACTGCTGTCTTCTGCCTCCTGTTGAAACACTTGGCAATTTCTGTCCTTCCATTAAGTTACATCATCTAAGCTCTTTGAGTCTCAATTTCTTTATTCGTATAAAGGGAAACTAACAGGACCTACCTCATAGGGTTGTTGCAAGGATGAAACTAGAGAATGTGCCAGAAGAGCCTGCTCTACAGTGCATGTGCAATACATTCTTACTGTTGTAAATGGTGCCCATGTCAGTATTCACATCCTACTCTGGCATGTGCCATCTGTGTAGGGACATTAATGGTTTATACCGATTTAAACTTGCTATTTAGGGATGTTACAATAATGATTCTACCAGAAGTTTCAGATACAAATGCAACCAACAAGCATTGTCAAGCACTTTCACATACATCTCCTGGGGCAATCTGTAGACAACTTTGCAAATGTGCTATTCCTATTTTGCAGATGAGAAAACTGAGGCTTGTAAATTTCCCAAGGTTACCCAACTCACAGGTGGCAGAGCTGGGACTCTAACCCAAGTCCACCACTCACTCTCTGCTACACAGTTTGGCCACCCCTGTCCTGAAATGAAAAACCTCTTAGGTTTTTCAAGAGACTTGTGTGCTTTGATTCAGAGATGGATAAGCTGAGTAAATGCAACAGAGAAACATGGCTCTAAGGTCCCTCCCACTCCACCAGCCAAGAGCCAAAGCTGCTTTCACCTGGACACACTTCTTTTTTTTTTTTTTTTTATACTTTAAGTTTTAGGGTACATGTGCACAATGTGCAGGTTAGTTACATATGTATACATGTGCCATGCTGGTGTGCTGCACCCATTAACTCGTCATTTAGCATTAGGTATATCTCCTAAAGCTATCCCTCCCCCCTCCCCCCACCCCACAACAGTCCCCAGAGTGTGATGTTCCCCTTCCTGTGTCCATGTGTTCTCATTGTTCAATTCCCACCTATGAGTGAGAATATGCAGTGTTTGGTTTTTTGTTCTTGCGATAGTTTACTGAGAATGATGATTTCCAATTTCATCCACGTCCCTACAAAGGACATGAACTCATCATTTTTTATGGCTGCATAGTATTCCATGGTGTATATATGCCACATTTTCTTAATCCAGTCTATCGTTGTTGGACATTTGGGTTAGTTCCAAGTCTTTGCTATTGTGAATAGTGCCGCAATAAACATACGTGTGCATGTGTCTTTATAGCAGCATGATTTATAATCCTTTGGGTATATACCCAGTAATGGGATGGCTGGGTCAGATGGTATTTCTAGTTCTAGATCCCTGAGGAATCGCCACACTGACTTCCACAATGGTTGAACTAGTTTACAGTCCCAGCAACAGTGTAAAAGTGTTCCTATTTCTCCACATCCTCTCCAGCACCTGTTGTTTCCTGACTTTTTAATGATCGCCATTCTAACTGGTGTGAGATGGTATCTCATTGTGGTTTTGATTTGCATTTCTCTGATGGCCAGTGATGGTGAGCATTTTTTCATGTGTTTTTTGGCTGCATAAATGTCTTCTTTTGAGAAGTGTCTGTTCATGTCCTTCACCCACTTTTTGATGGGGTTGTTTGTTTTCTTCTTGTAAATTTGTTTGAGTTCATTGTAGATTCTGGATATTAGCCCTTTGTCAGATGAGTAGGTTGTGAAAATTTTCTCCCATTTTGTAGGTTGCCTGTTCACTCTGATGGTAGTTTCTTTTGCTGTGTGGAAGCTCTTTAGTTTAATTAGATCCCATTTGTCAATTTTGTCTTTTGTTGCCATTGCTTTTGGTGTTTTAGACATGAAGTCTTTGCCATGCCTATGTCCTGAATGGTAATGCCTAGGTTTTCTTCTAGGGTTTTTATGGTTTTAGGTCTAACGTTTAAGTCTTTAATCCATCTTGAATTAATTTTTGTATAAGGTGTAAGGAAGGGATCCAGTTTCAGCTTTCTACATATGGCTAGTCAGTTTTCCCAGCACCATTTATTAAATAGGGAATCCTTTCCCCATTGCTTGTTTTTGTCAGGTTTGTCAAAGATCAGATAGTTGTAGATATGCGGCGTTATTTCTGAGGGCTCTGTTCTGTTCCATTGATCTATATCTCTGTTTTGGTACCAGTACCATGCTGTTTTGGTTACTGTAGCCTTGTAGTATAGTTTGAAGTCAGGTAGCGTGATGCCTCCAGCTTTGTTCTTTTGGCTTAGGATTGCCTTGGCGATGCAGGCTCTTTTTTGGTTCCATATGAACTTTAAAGTAGTTTTTTCCAATTCTGTGAAGAAAGTCATTGGTAGCTTGATGGGGATGGCATTGAATCTATAAATTACCTTGGGCAGTATGGCCATTTTCACGATATTGATTCTTCCTACCCATGAGCATGGAATGTTCTTCCATTTGTTTGTATCCTCTTTTATTTCATTGAGCAGTGGTTTGTAGTTCTCCTTGAAGAGGTCCTTTACATCCCTTGTGAGTTGGATTCCTAGGTATTTTATTCTCTTTGAAGCCATTGTGAATGGGAGTTCACTCATGATTTGGCTCTCTGTTTGTCTGTTATTGGTGTATAAGAATGCTTGTGATTTTTGCACATTGATTTTGTATCCTGAGATTTTGCTGAAGTTGCTTATCAGCTTAAGGAGATTTTGGGCTGAGACAATGGGGTTTTCTAGATATACAATCATGTCATCTGCAAACAGGGACAATTTGACTTCCTCTTTTCCTAATTGAATACCCTTTATTTCCTTCTACTGCCTCATTGCCCTGGCCAGAACTTCCAACGCTATGTTGAATAGGAGTGGTGAGAGAGGACATCCCTGTCTTGTGCCAGTTTTCAAAGGGAATGCTTCCAGTTTTTGCCCATTCAGTATGATATTGGCTGTGGGTTTGTCATAGATAGCTCTTATTATTTTGAGATACATCCCATCAATACCTAATTTATTGAGAGTTTTTAGCATGAAGGGTTGTTGAATTTTGTCAAAGGCCTTTTCTGCATCTATTGAGATAATCATGTGGTTTTTGTCTTTGGTTCTGTTTATATGCTGGATTACATTTATTGATTTGCATATATTGAACCAGCCTTGCATCCCAGGGATGAAGCCCATTTGATCATGGTGGATAAGCTTTTTGATGTGCTGCTGGATTCGTTTTGCCAGTATTTTATTGAGGATTTTTGCATCAATGTTCATCAAGGATATTGGTCTAAAATTCTCTTTTTTGGTTGTGTCTCTGCCCGGCTTTGGTATCAGGATGATGCTGGCCTCATAAAATGAGTTAGGGAGGATTCCCTCTTTTTCTGTTGATTGGAATAGTTTCAGAAGGAATGGTACCAGTTCCTCCTTGTACCTCTGGTAGAATCCGGCTGTGAATCCATCTGGTCCTGGACTCTTTTTGGTTGGTAAGCTATTGATTATTGCCTCAATTTCAGAGCCCGTTATTGGTCTATTCAAAGATTCAACTTCTTCCTGGTTTAGTCTTGGGAGGATGTATGTGTCGAGGAATTTATCCATTTATTCTAGATTTTCTAGTTTATTTGCATAGAGGTGTTTGTAGTATTCTCTGTTGGTAGTTTGTATTTCTGTGGGATTGGTGGTGATATCCCCTTTATCATTTTTTATTGTGTCTATTTGATTCTTCTCTCTTTTCTTCTTTATTAGTCTTGCTAGCGGTCTATCAATTTTGTTGATCCTTTCAAAAAACCAGCTCCTGGTTTCAATAATTTTTTGAAGGGTTTTTTGTGTCTCTATTTCCTTCAGTTCTGCTCTGATTTTAGTTATTTCTTGCCTTCTGCTAGCTTTTGAATGTGTTTGCTCTTGCTTTTCTAGTTCTTTTAATTGTGATGTTAAGGTGTCAATTTTGGATCTTTCCTGCTTTCTCTTGTGGGCATTTAGTGCTATAAATTTCCCTCTACACACTGCTTTGAAAGTGCTGGACGTACATCTTACACTGTCCAGCCAGTTTGAGTTTAGCAGAAGCTGAAGCCTTGAGTTGTCAATGCATTTGCATTTCCGACAGCTGAATCCACTCTGATGAGCTGTACCTCAGGCTCCTTGTTTTAATAAAAGGTCTCTTTTACAGATAAAAATAAATAAATAAAACACCACATGTCCACTCCACAGGGTCACTCCTTACAATGAAACTGAGATTTTACTCTCCCTCCCTCTTACTTCCCATTTCCATTGTCTAAAGATTCTATGAAAAACCAAGAAAGGTCCAAAGAGCTAATCAAAAATAGAACAGTCATTTTTTCTATTTTAAATAACAGCTTTAGTGAGGTATACTTCGCATACCATAAAATTCACCCTTTAAAAATTCTCTATTCTTTAAAAGTGTACATACAACTCAGTGATTTTAGTGTATTCACAGAATTGTGCAACCATCACCACTATCTAATTCCACAACATTTTCATCACTTCAAATGGAAACCCTGTATCCATTAAATAGTCACTCTCCATCTCATCTCCCCTAGCCCCTGACAACCACTAATCTACTTTCTGTCTCTATTGATTTGCCTATTCTGGACATTTCACATTCATGGAATCATACCATATGTGGCCTATTACAAATGGCTTCTTTCACTTAGCATAAAGTTTTCAGAGTTCATCCATGTTGTAGTATGGATCAGTACTTCATTCTTTTTATGAATGAATAATATTCCATCGTATGGATATATCCCATTTTGTTTACCCCTTCATCATTCAATGGACATTGGACTTGTTTCCACCTTTTGACTATTATTAATAATGCAGCTATTTCTGTGCAAGTTTTTGTGTAGACATATGTTTTCATTTCTCTTTAGTATGTACCTAGGAGTGGAATTGGTATTTCATATAGTAATATTTAACCTTTTGAGGAGCTACTAGACTGCTTTTCAAAGTGTCTGTACCATTTTACATTTCAACCAGCAACATATGAGGATTCTGATTTTTCCACATCCTTGCTAACATTTGCTATTGCCCATCATTTTGATTGTGGCCATTGTAGTGGGTGTAAACTGGTATCTCAGTGGGGTTTTGATTTCCATTTCCTGAATAGACAGTTTTTGTCTATTCGAATAGACATTTTTTGATGATCATGTCCATCATGATTTTGCCCATCATCTTAAATTTGTGTTGTCTTTTTACTGCCAAACTACAACTTCTTCTTCATAAATTCTAGTTACAAGTCTCTTATAGGATATATTATTTGCACAAATTTTCTCTTGGTCTATGTGGGTTGTCTTTTCATGCTCTTAACTGTATCTTTGGAAAAGTAGATATTTTATATTTTGATGAAGTCCAATTTACCAACTTTTTCTTTTATGGATTGCACTTTGGTGTCTAAAGAATCTTTACCAAACACAAGGTTGCAAAAGATTTTCTCCAATGTTTTATTCTAGAAGTTTTATAGTTTTAAGCTTTACATTTAGGTCTATGATACGTTTTGAGTCAATTTTTGTATACGTTGTATGGTAGGGATTAAAATTTATTTTTTGCACAAGGGTGTCCAATTGTTCCAGTGCCACTGATTGAAAAGACTGTCACTTCTCCATGTAACTGCCTTTGCACCTTTGTCAAAAATCAGGTTTTGTTTTTGTTTTTGTTTTAGAGACAGGATCTCACTCTGTCACCCAGGCTAGAGTGTAGTGGCATGGTAATCTTGAACCCTTGGGCTCAAGCAATTCTCCTGACTCAGCCTCCCGAGTAGCTAGGACTACAGGTATGCACCACCATGCCTGGCTAATTTTCTAAAATTTTTGTAGAGATGGCGTTTCTTTATGTTTCCCAGGCTGGTCTTGAACCCCTGTCCTCAAGTGATCCTCCTGCCTTGGCCTCCCAAAGCACTGAAATTACAGACATGAGCCATTGTGCCCAGCAAAAATAAATAAATAAAAAATCAGTTTTCTATATATGTACAGGTCTATTTCTAGACTCTCTGTTCTGTTCCATTGATCTATTTATCTTGATACCAACATCACTGTGTCTTGATTACTATGTTGTATAATAAATCTTGAAATCAGGTAGTGTAAGTCTTCCAAATTTATTCTTCTTTTGTCAAAGTTAGTTTAGCAATACTAGATCTTTTGCATTTTCATATGAATTTTAGAATCAACTCGTTAATTTCTACTCAAAAGCGTCCTGGAATCTTGACTGGTATTGTACTGAATCTACAAAACAATTTGGGGAAAATTCACACCTTAACAATGTTAAATCCTTGCCCTGTGAACATAGTATATCTCTGTTTATTTAGATCTTTTTATTTTCTCTCAGCAGTGTTTTATAGTTTTTACGGTAGAGGTCCTTTACATCTTTTCTCAAGTTTATCCCTAAGTATTTTGTATCATTGATGCTATTTTAAGTGGTAATTTTTATTTCAATTTCTGATTATTCATAGGTAGTATATAAGAATGAAACTGATTTTTGTATATTGATCTTATATCCCATAATCTTACTAAACTCACTTACTGCCCCTTTTTGTAGATTCCATCAGATTTTTCTACATAGATATTCATATTGGTTGTGAATAGACAAATCATACTGGCTGTAGATAAAGTCAGTTTTACTTCTTCTATTTCAATCTTAATTGCCTTTTTTTCTTTTTTTTTTCTTTTTTCTTTTTTTTTTTTCTTTTTTCTTTTTTTTGAGATGGAGTCTCGCTCTGTCGCCCAGGCTGGAGTGCAGTGGTGCGATCTCGGCTCACTGCAAGCTCCGCCTCCCGGGTTCACGCCATTCTCCTGCCTCAGCCTCCCGAGTAGCTGGGACTACAGGCGCCCGCCACCACGCCCGGCTAAATTTTTTGTATTTTCAGTAGAGACGGGGTTTCACCATGTTAGCCAGGATGGTCTCAATCTCCTGACCTCATGATCCGCCCGCTTCGGCCTCCCAAAGTGCTGGGATTGCAGGCGTGAGCCACTGCGCCCGGCCTTTTTCTTTCTTTTCTAATTGCTCTAGCTAAATCAGTGTTGGATAGAAGAGGTGAGAGTGGACATCCTTGCAGTGTTCCATATCTTAAGGGGAAAGCTTTCCATTTTTTCACCATTAAGTTTTCGTTAGTTATAGACTTTTTGTAGCTGCTCTTTGTTAGGTTGAGGAAGTTCTACTCAAAGTTTGTTGAGAATTATTATAAATAGGTGTTCGATTTTGTCAGATGCTTTTTTGATATCCATTAAGATGATAATATGGTTTTCCTTTTTTAGTTTGTTAGTATGGTAAATTAAATTGATTTATTTTCAAATGTTAGACCAACCTTCCTTACTGAGATAAATTTCACTTGGTTATGTTGTATTATCCATTTTATGTATTGTTGGATTTGATTTGCTAAAATTTTGTTCAGAATCTTTTCATTTACTTCTATGAGGGAGGAATATTAGTCTATAGTTTTCTTTTCTTATAATATTTTTTTTCTGGCATTGTTATCAGTATAATGCTAGTCTCATAGAATTAGCTCTTTCATTTTCTGGGAGAGTTTTCTGTAGAGTTAGTTTTATTTTATCCTTAAATATTTCATGAAGCCATCTGGTCCTGGAGTTTTCTGTATGGATAAGTTTTTAACTACAAATTCAATTTTTAAAATAGATGTAGAACTATTCAAGTTATTTATTTCTTCAGGAGTCAGCTTTGGTAATATATGTCATTCAAGGAATGGGTCCATTTTGTCGAATTCACTAAATGTATTGTCATAAAGTCATAAAGGTTTTTATGATAGTATCTTATTCTTTTTATATGTGTAGAATCTATGGTGAATTCACCTCCCAATTCCTGGCATTAGTAATTTGTATCTTATCTCTTTGGGAGCTAAATGATGAGAACAACACTCATGGATGGAGCTTCATCAATTTTGTTGATCTCAGAGCACCAGTTTTTGTTGCAATAATTTTTCTTTGTTTTCCTGTTTTTAACTTCATTGATTTCTGCTCTGATCTTTATTATTTTCTCTTTACCATTTACTTTGGGTTTAATTTGCTTTCTTTCTTTCTTTTTTTTTTTTGAGATGGAGTCTTGCTCTGTTGCCCAGGCTGGAGTGCAGTGGCCGATCTCAGCTCACTGCAAGCTCCGCCTCCCGAGTTCACGCCATTCTCCCGCCTCAGCCTCCCGAGTAGCTGGGACTACAGGCGCCCACCACCATGCCCGGCTAATTTTGTTTTTGTGTTTTTAGTAGAGACAGGGTTTCACCGTGTTAGCCAGGATGGTCTCGATCTCTTGACCTCATGATCTGCCTGCCTCGGCCTCCCAAAGTGCTGGGATTACAGGCGTGAGCCACCACACCCGGCCGCTTTCCTTTTCTTTTTTTTTTTTTCTTTTTTATTATACTTTATGTTTTAGGGTACATGTTTGTTACATATGTATACATGTGCCATGTTGGTGTGCTGCACCCATTAACTCATCATTTAGCATTAGGTATATCTCCTAAAGCTATCCCTCCCCCCTCCCCCCACCCCACAACAGGTTCCAGTGTGTGATGTTCCCCTTCCTGTGTCCATGTGTTCTCATTGTTCAATTCGCACGTATGAGTGAGAACATGCGATGTTTGTTTTTTTGTCCTTGCGATAGTTTGCTGAGAATGATGGTTTCCAGCTCCATCCATATCCCTACAAAGGACATGAACTCATCATTTTTTATGGCTGCACAGTATTCCATGGTGTATATGTGCCACATTTTCTTAGTCCAGTCTATCATTGTTGGACATTTGGGTTGGTTCCAAGTCTTTGCTATTGTGAATAATGCTGCAATAAACATACGTGTGCATGTGTCTTTATAGCAGCATGATTTATAGTCCTTTGGGTATATACCCAGTAATGGGATGGCTGGGTCAGATGGTATTTCTAGTTCTAGATCCCTGAGGAATCGCCACACTGACTTCCACAATGATTGATAGCGTGGACACTTAGGTCATTAATTTAAAACTTTTTTTTTCTGGTATAGGAATTTAATGCCATAAAGTGTCCCCTAAATACTGCTTTAATATAATAGCATACACCAAATTTAGATATGTTATGTGTCCATTTTCATTCGGTTCAAAATACTTTCTAATTTTCCTTGTTTTCTTCTTCCGAATATTTGGTAACTAAATAACAGTTATTAGAACCTGTTTTCTTGTTTTCTTCTTCCAAATATTTGGAAGTTTTCCAGAGTTATTTGTCTTTGATTTCCATTTTAATTCTATTGTGGTCAGAAAACATATTGTGTATGGCTTGAATCCTATTAATGTTATTGAAACTTGTTTTATGGCACCAAATATTGTCTATATTGGTAAATGTTCCATGTACATTTAAAATGAATGTATTCTACTGTCATTGGATGAACTATTCTATAAATGTCAAATAGATCAAGTTTGTCAGTAGTGTTTTTCACATCTTCTATATCCTTAATGATTTTCTGTCTACTTATTCTATTAATTATTGAGAGAATAATATTGAAATCTCCAACTTTAATTATGTATGTGTCTATTTATCCTTGCATTATATTAGCTTTTGCTTCGTGTAATGTGAAACTCTCTTATTAGGTTCATAAACTCTTATGTTCCTCTTAGTAAATTGATCCCTTTATCATTATGGAATGACCTTTATCCCTTGTGGGATGACCTTATCCCTTATAATATTCTTTATTCTGAAATCTGCTTTATCTGATATTAAGATAGCCACTTCAGATTTCTTTTGATTAGTATTAGCATCATAGTTTTCATCATTTTACTTTTAAAGTATTTGTATCTTTATTTATGAAATGCATTTATTGTAGGAAGCATACAGTCAGGTTTTGCTTTTTAAACTCAGTGTGACAGTCTCTGCCTTTTTATTGTGCTGTTCAGACCATTTTATATTTAGTGTGAGTGTTGATATTATCAGATTTAAATCTATCATTTTGCTGTTTGCTTTTTATTTGTCCCGTATATTCTGTGCTCCCCCTTTTTTCTCTTTATTTTTTAAACTCCTTTTGGATTAATTGAATATTTCTTCAATTTCATTTTGTCTTTTAGCTATTACTCTTTGTTTTGTTATTTTAGTAGTTCATTACAGATTTACAGAATATACTATTAATTTATCACAATCTGCCTTAAGTAATATTATGTCACTTCATATATAGTATAAAAATGTCATAACAGTATCTTCCATTTCTCTCCTTCTGTCTTTTGTGCTATTATAGTAATTTCACTTATGTTATAACCTCCACTCTCAATTGTTATTATTTTTGTTTAAATAGTCAATTATCTTTTAAAGAAATTTAAATAATAAGGAAACTCCCAGGAACAGAAAACCAAATACCACATGTTCTCACTTACAAGTGGGAGGTAAATGATGAGAACACATGGACACATAGAGGGGAAGAACCCACACTGGGGCCTTTTAGAGAGGGGAGGGTGGGACAAGGGAGAGGATCAAGAAAAACAACTAATGGGTACTAGGCTTAACACCTGGGTGATGAAATAATCTGCACAACAAACCCCTATGACACAAGTTTACCTATGTAACAAACCAGCACTTGTACCCCTGAACTTAAAATAAAAGTTAAAAAAAATTCTATATATATATCCATGTCATTACCATTTCAGTGTTCTCCATTTCGTTGTGTAGCTACATATTTTCATCTGGTGTCATTTTTCCTCTGCCTGAAGGACTTTCTTTAGCATCTCTTGCAGTGCAGGTCTGTTGCTAAAAGTCTTTATTTCACTCTGTCACCCAGGCTGGAGTGCAGTGGCACAACACAAACAACAAACACAGCTTACTGCAGCCTCAGTTTCCCAGGTTTAAGTAATCCTTCCACCCCAGCACCCGAGTAGCTGAGACTACAGGCAGGCACACACCACTATACCCAGCTCATTTTTTTTTTTTTTGGCAGAGATGAGGTCTCCCTATGTTGCCCAGGCTGGTCTCAAACTCCTGGGTATTTCACCTTCATTTTTGAAAGACAGTTTCACTGGGTATAAAATACGAGGTTGACAAGTTTTTTTTCATTCAGTACCTTACAGATGTTGATTATCTTCTTCTTTGCATTGTTTCTGACCCCCCAAAATTACTATTATCCTTATATTTGTTCCTCTGTTCATAACATGTCTTTTTCCTTTGGTTGCTTTTATGATGTTTATCACTAGTTTTGAGCAATTTTTTTATAATACGTATTCGTATGGTTTGTTCATATTTCTCATACCTGGGGTTTATTGAAATTATTAGAACTATGGGTTTATAGTTTTCACGAAATCTGGAAAATTTGTGGTCATTATTTCTTCTAATATTTTTCTGCCTCTTCCCTTCCTTCACATGACTCCAGTTACACATGTATTAAGTCTTTGAAGTTCTCTCACAGTTCAATTATGTTCTTTTTTTATATCTTTTCTCTCTGTGTTTCATTTGGATAATTTTTATTAGTGGTTGTTCAAGTTCACTAATCTTTTATCTACAATGTCTAATCTTCCATTATTCCCATCCAGTGTATTTTTGTGTCATACATTATAGTTTTCATTTTTAGAAGTTCAATTTGGGTCTGTTTTGTATCTCACATGTCTCTACTTAACTTTTTGAACATTTGGAATACAGTTATAATTACCATTTTAATGTCCTCATCTACTAATTCTAACATCTGTTTCAATTCTGTGTTGGTTTCAATCTCCTCATTGTGGGTCATATTTTCCTGCTTTTGTGTTTGTTTGCCTGGTAACTTTCTATTGGATGACAAACACTGTGAATTTTGCCCTATTTGGTGCTGGATATTTTTGTATTCCTATGAATATTCTTGAGCCTTGTTCTGGAGCATAGTTAAGTTACTTGGAAATAGCTTGAACCTCTCAGGTTTTCCTTTTATGATTTGTTAGGAGGATTGAAGCAGTTATCAGTCTAGAGCTAATTATTCCCTAATACTGAGATAAGATTCATTTGTGTGCTGTACTCAATACGTTGTGAATCTGAGATTTTTCCAGACTGGCTGGGAGAAGCAGGCATTATCCTGAGTTGTGTAAGTTACAGGTACTGTTACTCATAATTCTTTCAAGTAGTTCTTTTCTAGGCCTTAGGTAGTTCCTTCACATGGATTCACTGATCATTACTACACTGAATACTCAAGGGAGACCCTCAGTGGGTCGCCAAAATGTCCCCTCTGTGCAGTTTTACAATACCTATCTTGTAAAGTTAGCCTCCTTGGCCTTCCTGGATTCCCAGCCATATCTTCAACTCAGGGAGAGCATCAAACTCTGCCTGGATTTTCCCTCCCTGTTCCACAGCCTTAAATCTCTCTCTAGGCAATAAGCTGGGGCAATTGTAGCACTTGCCTCATTTGTTTCCCATGTATTAAGGATCACTGTCTTGCATTACCTAATGCCCAGAATCTTGCAAAGTATTGTTTCTTTTTTGTTTGTTTGTTTGTTTGTTGATTGTTTCAAGCTGTAGGATAAATTCAGCCCCTGTGACTCTGTCTTGGACAGAAAGGAAGGCTACAAATATCTTTAAACATCATGAACTTCATGTTTAGGTGGACTCAAATGCTAAACATGCAAAAATAACCTTTATTTTTTAAAATATCCCCTTTATCCTTGATAAAATATTTTTTAAATTCCCCAAAGGAGCCCAGATGAATGGGGAAAAGTAGGGTCGTAGGAACATTCAGGAAGAAAAGAGAAGGGACAGGATATAAGCTTAGGTGAAGGTTTTTCTTCAGGACACAATATCAAGTTTGTATATGTTCATGGTGGCCCTCAAGGTGAGAACAGCAGTGGTGACTTGTTTTGGTGGGAAGATAATTTCTCTACTAGTATATGGACTGCTAACTCCCTTGCTTCAAAATGAATATACAAACAAAAAGCCTGCCTACCTGCTGCCCCTGCAATGCCAACTCCATGTACACATAGGATTGCTAGATAAATTACAAGATGCCCAGTTAAATTTGAATTTTAGATAAACTGAATAATTTTTGTATGTCACAAATATTGCACAGTACATACTTATACTAAAATATTGTTAATCATTCACCTGAAATTCAAATGTCAGTGGAGTCCTTTATTTTTGTTTGCAAAATATGACAGTCTTATGCACATAGCAGTATGACTTCCAGCTCATTTTTTAGGCCTCTGGAATTGGTCAGAAAAGGCTCTCATATCAGTTCTGTCACTGGGCTATTTGGGGATGATTCATGCACAATACTTAGCTCACCATCTGTCCCCTAGTAGCCACCCTATGAATTAGAATGAGTAGCCAAGTCAGATACTGATTCTCCTTTATAGATCACTCACTCATCCCTAATGGCCTCTGAGCCTTCTAACAGCCACCATAAGGCAGTTGACAATGATGTTATACCCACTTTACAGATGGGGAAGATGACGATCTTAAAGGCCACCACAGCAGGTCAGAATGTATAAGTGCCCTGTGAATGACCCAGAGAGGAAGGGTTCTCATCCTACCTCTGCCCTTGACACCCCCCTGACTTCCTCTCCAGGCCCACTCTCCACACATAGCCAATGAGCTGAGCCCAGGAAATATACTATCAATTGTTCTAGAGTTTGAGTGACAAAACTAGAATGAGGACATTGCCCCCCACCCCAGCATCCTGGCCTGTCCTTTGGAGTGAAGTCCTGGCTTGTCCTTGGAGTGAAGTCTTGTGTTCTTGGGGTCTCCAAGGAAGCTCAGGCTGGCTACTTAAGGGATAGTGGACAGGCTTGTTGTCTTCTTCTGGTTCTTTGATTCCTAACTGATAGGGCCCACATGGTATAGAAAGGGCTCAGTGAAGCAAGAAACCAGGGCTTTGACCCCACCTCAGCTGCTAATTTATTCAGGGGTCCTCCTCCCTCTCTGCCTCAGTCACTGCCTTCATTTCTCCATCGCTAAAATGGGGGTCATATTTAAAAAAATAGGAAAGGACTTTGAAAACATTAAAAGTGCTGCTCAAATGGCTGCAGATTCTGAATAGCAGTGTGGCCCCAAAATTAGAATCCTCATGTTAGCCCTTCTGCAGCAGTAACTGCTTATCCATCTATTTGCTGAGACCCTGACTGAGATGTGGGGAATGTAGGGGAAGGAACCTCCCTTCTTCTGAAGGTCATTAGGAAGTTCTTCAAAGGGTAGAGAATACAGAGCTGTGCCCAGTTCTTCCCAGTAATTGCAAGATGTTGAGCTTGGAGGTTTTTTTCCCCCTGGGCCCACTGGAGAGGGGTGAGCTTCCAATCTGGGCCTGTTGCCTACAGCCTCCAGAGACTTAGAGTTTGGAGAAAGAGAGCCAGAGGCAGAGTGAGGAAGGACAGGCCACATCTGCCTACTGTCCTAAAGCCTCCAGTTATATTACTGACTCATTCCACATCCTAGGAAGCTGAGGACTAGTGCTTATTAGCAATCTCTCAGCAGGACATAAAGTGCATGTGTGTTTCTGGTACTGCTGTGTATTTTCTGATGCTGAATAAATGGATGAGCAGAAGACTAACATCCAACAATGAAAATGCTGGGCTACCATTGGGTGCCTACAATACATTGAACATTTTTACCACTTTGTTTTAATTGATACACAAAAAGCATCCCCACAAGGTAGATGTTATTATTATCCTCATTTTATAGGTATTTAAGTCAAGACCAGAGTTAAATAATTTCACCTAAGTCATACAGCTACTAAGTGAAGAGTGGCTATTGAAACTTAGGTCTGGCTGACTCTAAGATCTTCTCTCTTCCACGCCATACTCTCTCTGGTGTCCCCCGGAACTTTCCTGCCCTGCTGTCTGGACCCCAGTGCCTGGAGCTCTGGCTCTGCCCTAGGAATCTTGGAGGAAACCACTGAATGAGGCAGGAGGAAGGAAGATGGAGCAGCAGAAAGAGCCTGAGTTGTGAGCTGGCCTCAGCCTCATCACTCTGACCCTTCCAGGTCTCCAGTGGCACAAATGGGTGCTCAGGCCAAATAAAGTCTGTGAAACCTACAGATTTCAAAAAGTAGTTTCTATACAGTTCAGTAATACCTCAATTATTCCAAAATCATGTAATTGGTGACCTAACTGAATCAGAAAGTCATCAACCTCAGAACAGCGTCTGAAGAGCTGAAATAGCCTGAAGTCTCCTGCCCTTCCTTCACCAGGGAGCTCGGCAGGTTCATATGCAGTTTGTGGCTTCACGCCCACATGTCTAGCAAGCTCTGCTGCCAGTTCTCTCAGCCTGTAGCACATAGAAGCAGCAAATTAGAAAGAGAGGGCCAGAGCTACTGGAAGTGAGGCTGGCAGACATCACAAATGGCCACTGACAGTGACAGAGGAAGCAGCAATATTATACAAAGTAGGTTCGAATGCAAGAGGTTCAGCCATGTGGGATCATTTATTATAACGACAAAGAGCCTGACAATGCTAGATAAATGAGATGTTACTGGACTTCCTCTGCCAACTTTGAATTCTCAAGTTACCTACTGAAAGAACTAAACATGTCCTTCTGGACCTGAGCACTTGCCTAAGACTCAGGAATATTATTTAGGGTACAAGAACAGACATCATTTGCCATCCCATGTACATAGAGATTATGCTACTGATTCACTATTAGGATACTCCAAAATTCTGACAAAAAGCAAGTCACATTCCATAATCCAGTAGCACTTTTGAAAATAGCATTTAATGGGGAGCTAAGTGGCCCCAGCTAGAGCTGGGAATCAGGAGATGAGGTGAATATCCCATTGCCTCAGTCAGGAGCAGGGCGTGCCTCTAGGGTCATAGCCTAGTGTACTCATGAATAGTGTCCCCCTAAAATTTGTGCCTGCCCTAAACCTATGAATATGATCTATTTGGGAATAGAGTCTTTACAAATGTCATTAGTTAAGATGAGGTCACACTGAATTAGGGTGAGCCCTAATCCAATGATTGGTATCTTTCTAAGAAGAGAAAATGGACACGGACACAGGGAGAAGGCCATGTGAAGATGGAGGCAGAGATTGGAATGGCATGTCTACAAGTCTAGGAATGACAAGGATTGCCAGCAACCACCAGGAGCAAAGAAGAAGCAAAGAAGCATCTTCCCCTAGAGCCTTCAGAGAAAATGTGGCTCTGCCAAGACCTTGATTTCAAATTTCTAGCCTCTAGAATTGTGAGAATAAGTTTCTGTTATTTTAAGCCACATGGTTTGTGACACTTTGTTGTGGCAGTCCTAGAAACTAATATAATCTAAATTTTTATAAATCAGTTCATGGTCCAAACAACACTAGTAAAGAACTGAGAACTAAGCCAATCTGGACTGCTGGCTAAGATGGCTTTTTCAAAGTTTACACTTTAAGACACCTCCACCAAATACATGGCAAGAATGTACTATAAAGAGAAAAATGCATACAGCCCTAAAAATAAATAAATAAGTATCTCAGTGGACCAAAATTGGAACATAAATATATCTGCTAAGCAGGGATGAAGGCACAGGGCAACTAAGCTCTGGATCTAGAAGGAGATGGAGATGACCAGGTGTTCTGCTCCTATGGGGTAATGAGAAGGCACTGGATTTACTGCTTGAAACCAAGTCCTAGTGTGGGGCTTTCCCATTCATGAAAAGGATGTATAAACATTGCAGTTACCCCCTGATTAGAACTGCGGTTTACACAGAGCTGCAAACTTAGGGATGTAAGATGAAGCAGACACATCCTGGC
Source organism: Homo sapiens (assembly GCF_000001405.40). Lineage (NCBI taxonomy): Eukaryota > Metazoa > Chordata > Mammalia > Primates > Hominidae > Homo > Homo sapiens. The sequence goes on from NC_000023.11 coordinate 150,184,700, forward strand.
AACCAGGACTTGGCTCAAGTTACCTGTAAATCTGGTGATATCCCCAGAATCGCAGCAGGATGGAAGCCTGAGTCACCAAGCAAATACATGATTTTTAACCGAGAGCTCTAGGGTGCTAGGTGGAGGCAATAACAAGAACACTAAACAGGAAAGGGTGAGGGCAGAGAAAATAAACAAACATACTACTACATGAGCTAAGCCAAAATCCCAAAACACATGAGAAAAATGAATATGAAGAGTGACAGCTAAAAAAAAAATCAACACTAAGGAGATGGATTCCCTCTTGACAAAGTGAAAGTATTATTGCAGCCTAAAAATGATTTGATAAAAGATACATTTAGTATCCTCAAAGAGGTGAAAAATAACATCTAGTTTTTAAAACTAAGAAATTACGTACCAAAACAGACATAAATGAAATAAGAACAAGTAAACATATAAATGAACCAATTAGAAATTATGGAAATGTCTGCTTATATTTGCTCCTCCCTGCATTAACAGACATCTAGGACACTAGATCTAGCTCACCTAATTCAGCAGCCTTGTATGCCACTTTCCTACTAGCATTGATATTTTTCTAGCATAGCCTGTCTTCTCCTCTGCAGACTCCTTGATCTGTGACTAAAGCTGGATTAAGAAGTAGGTAACCAAGCAGCTAATCTAGAAATGGTGGCCACATATCAGTGGATTCGTTGGCTATAAGATACCAGTTTATTCACATACAAACAGACACCCAGTGTCTTTATATTGTCCCTGAGCCTGCCCTTCCTTCTCTGTGTATCCTATGCCCCTATCACCCCCCATCCCATGTGCATTTCTCAGATCCCGTTTCTACTGCCTGAGCTCTCTGCTACCTTCAGCATCCACGTGCATTCCTTGCCAACTAGTAGGCATTCCACAGGCCTCGTGGTACAGTGCCTTTTCTTTCACAAGTTCTCTTTAATTTGCTTATTCACACTCATTCTGAAAACCAGCAGTTCTCAAAGTGTGTTCCCTGGACCAACAGCATCTCCATCACTCAGAAACTTGTTAGAAATGCAAATTCTTGGCCCCCACTGAAGACCTACTGATTTAGAACCTCTTGGAGTGGCACTCAGAAATTTGATTTTTAACAAGTCCTTGGATGATTCTGGTGCATGAAGAATTACTACCGTAGAAATTTGTGTTATAAGCACTTACAACATGCCGGGCGCTATGATAGGTATCTCTTGGCATGCCTGCTGTCACTTTGTGTCATAGCTGTTTTATCTGGAAGCCTCTCTGGGGCTATGTGGGAAAATCGGAGACTCCCAGAGTGGTGAATGAATGATCAGTATGGTATGGACTTAGAAAAGAGAAGGAAAGCAACATTTCTGTGGCTGACAGATCTGAAGCTGAGAATTCGAGAAAGAGAGGGACTATTAAAAGCCCTTGTGTGGAGCTGGGTAACAGATGTAATGATTGTAGCCCAACTAAAATCAATAAACAGTGTCATACAGGGGCTGGGCATCCACACAGATAAAGTTGCCAGCCCCTGAAGCCTGGTGCTGGAGAGGTGATGGGAGAGACAGGGAGGATGACAGTTTGCTGGTGCCAAGCAAAGTTGCATTGTGTCAGGATGCCATCCATGCTAAGTAATTCCACTTGACAAACACTAGTTCAGCAATTGGCCAATTCAAAGAGCACATGCAAGTACCTGCTCTGAGGATGCAGGAATGAATCAGCCAGAGTCCCTTCCTGCCGGTAGCTCATGGTCACATGAGGGTGACAGACACATAATCAGCCACCTGTGGTACAATCTGGACACATGCTCCAGGAGCAAGCCATGGAGTTCCCTAGTTTCTGCTAGGAGTTGGGGGAGGCCTTTTCGTGGGAGATGAAGTTTGAAGGATGGCTGAGAATGGCCAAGTGGAGGGAACAGACTGTGTGATGATATGGAATGGTGAAAGGGAAGAGGGAGAGGTTCAGGATAGCTGGTAATGTTAAAGCAGATAGCAGTGCATAGCAAGAGAGAAGGCTGAAGAAGTAAGTGGGGTTGGAATGGATTGTGGTGCTGGGTTTCATCCTGTAGGTGATAGGGAGCCACTGGATGTTTCTGAGCAGAGGAATGATATGGCAGACTTGGTATGTTAGAGAGCTCATGCTGGGGACTGCATAGATGATGGAGCTGAGATGGAGACAGCTTGTCTAGGAGGCCTATGAGGATTCTGTTTGAAGAGTCCTAGAGAAAGCTAATATGGATCTGAGATGGGTCAATGGCACCAGCATTGAATGAAAATAATGATTGGAGAGATCTTGTCAGGGACAGGTCCTGCAGAACTCTGGGGGATATAAAGATATACCACAAGGTAACCACCTTACCTCGCAAGCTTAGCATTCCTTAGAAGGAAGCCTAAGACAAGTATACAATGGAAGGAAAAACCCTTCTTTCACCTTATATGATGTATTAGTTTCCTAGGGCTGCCGTAACAAAGTTCCACAAACTGAGTGGTTTAAACCAACACAAATTTATTATTTTACAGTTCTTGAGATCAGAAGACTGGAGTGAGTTGGCAGGGCTGCATTCCTTCTAGAGGCTCTAGGGGGAAGATCTTTTTTCTTTTTTTTCCTTTTCTAGTTTCCGGAGGATACCTACATTCCTTGGCTCATGACCCCACATCACTCCAACCTCTGCTTCTGTCATTACATCTCCTTCTTTGACTCTAACCCTCCTCCATCCCACTTAGAAGAATCATTGTTGATTACGTTTAGGGCAAATCCTGAAAATCCAAAATGACCTCCCCATCCCAAGATCCTTAAGTCAATCACATTTGCAAAGTCCTTTTTGTCATGTCAGGTAACATATTCACAGCTTCTGGGGATTATGATGTGAGCATCATGGGGGCCAATTATTCAGCCCTACTACATATGAAAAGAGTTCTTATGTTTTCACGAATAAAGAAAGATGATAATGGCCATCTTCTTTTGAGTGCTTACCATCCATCATATATTTTCTCATTTAACTTTTGTGGACTCTAAGAGGGTATGTTCCATTCCTATCCTTCAAGTTGCCAAAAACAACCCAGCTAGGAAGTGGCAGGGCTAGGTAGCACTCCTATTCCCAGGGCTGTGCATTTGTGTCAAATCTCCTTCTGCCTCCCCCTTATAAAGACACATGATGTTGCATTTAGAGCCTACCCAAATGGATGAAGATGTGAGGATAACATCCTCATCTCAAAATTATTAATTTATTCACATCTGCAGAGATGCTATTTCCATATAAGGTAACATTTAGAAGTTCCAGATTTGGGGCCATTATCCAGCCTACAATAGTTTTCATCATCACCTAGGTCTTACAGCAGGGTATTCACATGGCTGTAACTCTTCTTTAAACACCTACTAAAGTTAATGCCATATCTGGATTCATCTTAAAAATCTTACCCCTTGACTCCTGAATTCACTAACCCAGAGGTCTCATCTTTTTGCCGTAATTTTGAGAGATAATTTTCGGTTTTATTTATTTTTTTTTTTAGACAAGGTCTCACTCTGTCACCCAGGTTGGAGGGCTGTGGTGCAGTGGCATGATCATGGCTCATTGCAGCCTCAAACTCCTGGGCTCAGGCAGTCCTTCCACCTCAGCCTCCCAAGTGGCTAGGACTACAGGCACGTGCCACTGCACCCCACTATTTTTTTTTTTATTTTTTGAAGAGATGTGATTTCAACATGTTGCCCAGGCTGATCTCAAACTCCCGGCTTCAAGTGATCCTCCCCCATTGGCTTCCCAAAGTGCTGAGATTATAGGCATGAGCCACTGCACCCAGGCAAGAGCCAATTTTCAATTATCTATGGAAGTGATATATTAACTGATATTTGCCAAACGTAAATTCATGTTTGCATTCACAGAGTGAATGGGGAAGAACTGTGGAGACAGATACCCCAACTTGTGTCCTCACTCTGAGATGACCTCTTCAAAGAGTGTTCATGGCCAGTTCAGGAGGCAGCATGCAGAATGGCAAGGTAACTGAGCTTGGAGTCAGAGAAGCTGAGTTTTGACACAGCTCTATTACTGCCAGCTGAGTATGACCAATCACTTAACCTTTCTGGGCCTCAATTTCTTTGTCTGTGAAACAGGACTATTGATATCTGTGTTGCTTACCTCACAGGGCAGAGGTCAAGTATGCATGTATGCTCTTTTTCCATCTGCAAGAGCATGGCTCAAGCTGGGTGAACAGTGAGGGCCATGTAGTCATGTACTCCCAGGCAGCAAGTGGTAGTGAGGCCTGAAGCCTGGGCAGGCCCTATAGGAGGACTCAGGCCACTGGGAGACATCAAGAAAGGCCTTGACAAGGTGTGTGTGCTCACATACCACCTGTTTCCCTCAACAGCCCAGGCCTGGGGCCTGCCAGCTAAGATTTGCTGCTCGCATTGAGCCTCATAAATGAATAAAGTAGGTAATTTAATATCATTGTGACAACTACAAGAGAGATTTTGCATGTCTGCTTTGCAGCATAAAGTTTCCTTAGAGCCAACTTTCAGACTTGGACAATTTCTATATTCTTTCCTACCTCTACCTCCCCAGAGAGGCAGGGATGTCAGACAGAAATTAAGAAAATTCTGAATTCCTCAGGAAGATTACTGTGTTTGGATTTTTTTGAAAGAATTGAATGAACATTTTGTCAACATGGTATCAGGGGAAAGAGGAGTGGCATATTCAGCACTATCTTGCATCCTTGAGAAGATAAAGGCAGACTTTGAGCACGGAGGATTCTTGTCTGTTGACCTCTACTCTAAGGCACCCCTGTGGACCTCTCCTCCACTCAATCTAAAGTGGATGTAAAAGTCTATCCTCATCTGGACAGGCCAAGTGGGCCCTCCATGCTGTCTTTCTCTAGCGTCATGCCCCGAGGCTCCAATGACTATATAAAGGGGCTGCTTCTCCAGCCCAAGCCCAGCAGCCCTAACCTCTCCCACTTTACACTGGCTCCTGTTTTCATCCTTCGTCCCTCCCAGCCACTTCCATGCCTTTGATAGCACATGGACTCAGCATCCTCAGAGTACATCAGTGCAGATCGTCAGATAGAGTGCCAGGGGGGTAAACATTTCAGTCATTCAGAACCCATTCCACTTGGAGCACATGGTATGTCAGGGACCCAGTCTATATTATCCCCAGGCGAAGTCTGGAACACAGAAATCCAGAGATTCCTAAACCCACCCAATAAACTTCCCCAGCCCTGACTGAGGTGTATTCCTATTTGCCCACCCTGTGCTCACCTACTGCCATCCCCCATCAACAGATATGCCAATCTTTTTTTTGGCCACTGTCTCCATAAGTGCCCCCTCTGTGCACATCATGGATTCCCTTCATGCTTGCTCTATTTCTCCCCACTGCTGCTAACCTCCTGACAGGGAAGTGGCACCCTTGGGCCACCAAAGTCCTTTAGATGAGCTGGATCCCCTCCTCCAAACGGCTGCTAGTGGGACACTAGGAGGACTCAAGTCCAGCTGTATGAGTTTGTAAAAGGGCAGAGGCAAGAAGGCTTTTAAGCCAGTGTTGCCAAGATGAGTTTTGGTAAGTGGGGGTGTTTGGATGGGAGAAGAAGCTTAAGACAGATCCTTTCCCATTGGGATGAAGCTTTGAGCCAGCCAGCTTTCTTTGTGATATGTGATGAGTTATATCACCCACCCAGGATAGAAGTTCCTGTTCATCCAGGTCCTCAGGACCAGAACAAGCTTCTCCAGGGCAAAATAAATCACAAAGAATCTCCTCAAGGGCCCAGGAAAGTGAATATTCAGTGGCAGTTGCTCCCTGACTAATGCTAACTAAAGTTAGCCCTGAGCTAGTACAACCTTCCATTCTTCAAGTGGGGAAATTGAGGCCCAGGCAGCTCATGTCTCCAGCTCTCCCCAGGGTTGAATGTAAGTCTCTTGATTCCCAGTCTTGTCTTTTCTCCACCCTACCACCTGACCTGCCCTTGGACACATGGCTGCGAGGGCCAGCCTTCCTCAGCTTACCACTCTCAATATCACTTTGACAAGAATTCAGATTTCACAGCCGTATCAGCAGGATGTTAAATGTTGCAGTGAAGCGTGGCTAAATGGTGACATCTCTAGCTTCATGGTGGTCAGCCTACAACTGAGAGGCTCAAGGTCAATAGCTGCAGGCCTGACAGGTCCTGGATCCACATGCCAATGGCAGTGGAGACAGATTTACCACAGGGAGCCCTGCACCATCAGAATGGATGCCAGCGGCAGACCTTGTTTCTTTCCTTTGATATGCCAAAAGATTAAGTTTGAGCCCCTAAGGACTCTCTAGGGTATCTTGGGAACTTCCACCAGCCAGTAGTCAAAGTGCCCTTTAATCCAGCTGAGTGCATAACTAGGGAACTAGAGTGTTGTCTTGGGCTACAGCTGAGATGGGGCTCTAGCAAAAAGCCTGGTGTAAACTTACTCACTCTTCTAAAGCCCAAGCAGCCTCTGCACAGAGAGCAGCTAAGTAAAGATGAAGCCTCTTAGGCCACTGAACTGACTGTGATGTGATGATCTTGCCATCTCCTGGAAAGAGGGGGTTGTGGGCCCATCACAAGAAACAGCCCAAAGGAAGGGCCAACCTGTGGTGGTAGCCCCTGAGCTGCCCACAGGGTGCCAAGAGACACAGTGTCAGCATTTTCATCTATGTCGTTATCATTGTTGCAACCCCTCCCAGACAACTACCTGACATTGAGTGCCTCCTGCATGCCAAGAATATTGTAAGCATTCACTCCTGTGTTGATTCTCACAAATACCCTGTGGGATTAGTATTATAATTAGGCCCATTTTATAGATAAAGAAAACAAAACTCAGAGAGGTAAAGTTACTCACCAAAGCCTTATGGCTGGTAAGCATGTGACAATGAGGTGAAGAAGCTGCCTCTTGTTCTTAAGGTGTTGCCAGTCATGTCTACAGAGTGTATGGAAATGGAATCAGTGTTTCTTTGTGGGGACTGGATTCAGTCTTGGTGATAAGAACTCCCATTTATTATCTACTATCTGCCAGGAGCTTTACATGATTATTCCATTTAATCCTCACAATAGCCCTCTGAATATGCTATTATTATTATCTTCATTTTAGGGAGGAAAATGAGACTCCTAGAAGTTAAGCAACTTGAGCAAGGAATCACAGCTAATAAAAACAGAGCTGGGATTTGAACCACTAAGCCAGTGGCTCTCAAACTTTTTTCCTCAGATCCTTTATACTCTTGAAACTTATTGAGAGTAAATCTACAGAAACAGAAATGAGATTAGTGGTTTCCAGGGACTGGGGAAAGAGCAGAAAGGGGAGTGACTCCTTAATGGTACGGGGCTTCCTTTTGGGGTGAAGGAAATGTGGAACTACAGAGGCGATGGTTGCACAATATTGAGAATATACTTACTGCCACTGATTATACACTTTAAAGTAGTTAATTTTATGTCATGTGAATTTTACTTCAGAAAAAAAAATGATATAATGAGGTAAATCAACAACAATGACAAAAACTTATTGAGGCCTCCAAAGACCTTTTGTTTATGTGGGTCATATCTATTTATGTTACCATATTAGAAAAAATATTAAAATATTTATTTATTTTGAAATTAAAATAATGAACTAATTACATGTAAATATAAATAGTATTTTTATGAAAATAGCTATATTTTTCTAAACAAAAACTTGTATTGAAAAGAGTGGCATTATGTTACATTTTTGCAAATTTCTTTTATGTCTGGCTCGCTAGAAGACAGCTGGATTCTCACATCTACTTCTTTATTCAGTTGTGAGATGTTGTTTGGTTGAAGTACATGAAGAAAATCTGGCCTCACACTAATATGAAGTTGAGAAAGGGAGGAATATTTTAATAGACTTTTCAGATCATTGTGGACATTTGTCTTTGATAGGACACAAAAACTCCACCAATGGTTGTTTTTTACAGGTTAAGTGTAATGTGGGATGCAAAACTTTATCAGTGAGCCTTCTCTACTTGGTTCCGTTGGACTCTCTTGTCTTTTGAATGGATTTTTTACCTATTTATTGTTTGGTAACATTGTGTATTGGTCGCTTTAAAAAATGGTGGTGCCCTGACTTATGGAGAGCCTCCATATGTTGACATATTTCATTCCACAACATCACAAGATCACATTTGTTAATATTATGACCCATCTCGTTGGAAAAAGCCTTTAACTGTTGAGAAGCTGTCAAGCTTACAGTGGTGGATACAAGCTTTTCAAAATTCAAATTTTTGCCTGAAGGCTCAAATTTTATCATTGGCAAAAACTATAGTCAGTTGTTTTCCTTGAAGTGACAGGCTCACTTCGTTCATCTACAAGAAAATGTCTGCCAAATACCCAAGTCTGAGTAACATTAGTTAGTCATTCTTTCAAGTAAATATGATGTTCTATGAAAAATCGGCCAGTTTAGCTCACAACTCAAAACACGCAGTAGTGCTTTGCCTTGAGTCAACGACTACACTTTGATTCCAGCAGAACTGCTTTGAGCATAGTTCTCATTGTGTCTCACCAAATTTTAAAAATAAGGGGACTCAAGGGCTAGTATTTAATAAAGTTAATTTTCACTGCTTCGCTAAGAACATTCGTAAGTGAAGCTGGCATTTTTTAAACTGCAGGTGTGTGGTGGTGAAGAATCCAATTGACAACTAGTACAGTTGGTGCCATGGTCCCAATTCATGCTCAGGAACCTGCTCTTTTCACCTACCTCTGCTTTTGCACCAGCAGTGCAAATGGAAAGCATGACAGTGGAATATCAAAGAACATTTCAGTATTATTGGGAAAATAGTTTTCACCTTGAGGATCCTCTAAAAGGGTCTTGGAGACCTCCACGGGTCCACAGATCCTACTCTGAGAACCATTGCACATGGCTATGCATGGTGCCACCTCCCTTACTTAAGAGCTTTGATGGCTTACTATCATCTGCAGAATCGGACCTGCCCTCACCCATGATGTCAGCCCAGGACACAGGGACCCAGCCAAATGGGCTCCTTGCCATTTTCCAAATGTGTCCTCTCATGCCCTTGTCACTGCTCTCCCCTCTACCAGGAATGCCTTCATCACCAACTCTGGCCATTGAAATATTACATATCCTCCAAGGCCCAGGTCAACCACTGCCTTTTCCAGAAAGCTTTCTCAGGGTTTTTTTGTTTTTTGGTTTTTTTTTGAGATGGAGTCTCGCTCTGTCGCCCAGGCTGGAGTGCAGTGGCACGATCTCGGCTCACTGCAAGCTCTGCCTTCTGGGTTCACGCCATTCTACTGCCTCAGCCTCCCAAGTAGCTGGGACTCCAGGTGCCCGCCACCGCACCCAGCTAATTTTTTGTATTTTTAGTAGAGACGGGGTTTCACTGTGGTCTCGATCTCCTGACCTCGTGATCCGCCCGCCTCGGCCTCCCAAAGTGCTGGGATTACAGGCGTGAGCCACTGCGCCCGGCCTGCTTTCTCAGGTTTTTAAGTGGAAAATGGTCATGCTTTACTCTGAGCTTCCTGAGCCCACTCTTGGAGCATCTTCTCTAGCACTTATCAGGCTGGGTGTCATTAGATGGAAGTATTTCCTCATCTGTGAGATCATCAAGAACAGGCACCAAGCCTATCCTCTCCATTTCCCCACAGGGCACCCTTGTTCATCATTACATTGGGGAACATATTTGTCTAATTGCACTGAATTGCCCAGAATGTAAAACTTAAAAATGCTATGTGGCTGTGGCTGGTAATGCTCAAAGCCCATGGAGCATATTCTGACTTTTTTGAGTCCCCAAGGAATGTCACCATTGGAACCATTGGTACTAATATTTGTGCATGCTTCTTAAAAATGGTCTTATTTCAGGTGTAGGGGAAGAGTGTTACACATCTGAATTACTCCAACCCCAGGAACCTCAGCTCCCAGGTCTAGAAGAACCCTTGAGAGGGAGAAGCCCCCTGCCACCAAGCTTTATTGAAAGTACAATGTCTCTTGCCACTCCCCTGCCTCCCATTTTGCGGATGACATGGTTCATAGCCCTGCAGGAAGGATGGGTGCAGTACCTGAGAGCCCACAGCCAGGAAGTGGTGCCACAGGTTGGACCTGAGGCCCAGATCCTTCCCTCCCAGTTTCTGTCATATGACTTGCAATTCAAACATGATCATGCTAATGGCTCCCATAGATCGCCCCACATTCTGTCCCTACATGCCCAGCCCAACCTGGACTGGAGGCTTTATCTCATTTAGGGCTCATCTTGGAACTCTGCAGAATCACAGCTGATGCCTGAAGAGACGCACTTGTTTATTTTGAAGGCCAATTTAATTAGGATGCCTTTGGCCTCAACAGTTGTATCCTGATTTCCAGGAATTGCTCTCAATTTAGAGTTGCCAGCTCACAGCATTGTGTGCCAGCCCTTTGCCCACCTGCTGTGCTCCAACTTCTCTCTCCTCAGTGATCACATTGGCTGGCAGGGGTGTGGAGCAGGAAAAAGGAGGGAAGGGTGCTTCTCCAAGGAACCTACACAGGCTTGAGCATGGTTTAGTTGGAGGAGAGGACCCAGACCATGGAGACCAAGGGACCGTGAACCAGGGCCCAGAGAACATATAGGACAAGACACAGAGATGGGTGAGAATAGTCAACCTCTCTGTGTGAGTTGGTGCCGGGATGGGTGGCCAGATAAACAATCAGGGCCTTAGGCTGTATCTACAGGGGCCAAGTATTCAGAACAAGGGGGTGAGTGTGCTGCTTTCTTCTGCAGTTCAACGTGTAAGGTGTGGCTGTGGAGCCAATTGTGAGTTAGACTTTTGACGCTACCACTTATTACCTGTACGACTTTGGACCCCTCTGAGACTCAGATTGTCTTTGTCATATTTTCAGAGTACAGTAGTAGAAACTATTTCAAAGTGCTGTTAGGAACAGTCAATGAGATACTAGGTGTCAAAGGTTTGGCACAGTGTCTAGTGGGCACAGCTCCCCTATTCTCTGCTCTGTTCTGCTCTGGTCAGCTCTGGGCCTCACATGTTGAAAGGCCCTGATAAACTGAAACATATCTGAAGAAGGGAAGGCTGGGGGTGGAGGAGCAAAAGAATTTCTATTTGCCTGGTAGAAGAGAGGGCACCTCCTGATGTGGGTGGCCAGGTTCCTCAATGTGGGGCTCAGTTAGGATGGGGGTGGGGTGGCAGAAGTGACTGAGGTGCAGGCGCCAGTGCACAAGAGGAAAGAAGACTTCTCAAGAAGTCAGAAACATGCTACTATCTGTTGCTTCAGGAAGAAGGGAGATGGAGACTGAGGTTCCTTTAGATGGTGGCATACCAGGAGAGACTGGATGGCCACAGAGCAGGAATGTCACAGGAGCAGGAAACTTCAAGTGGCAACCACGTCCAGACCCAAGCCTCTGGGGTGTCTAGAGTGCAACTTTGTTCTGCGCCTAACCCAGACAATAAACTATAAAGTCTTTCTGCTCTGGCTTGGATTCCTGTAAGGGTTATGGGCCATTCCTGGGGACCCATGAGTCCCAGGCCACCCAAGGTGCCCCTGTTGAAATTGCAGAAGGGATATTGCCAGTGTGTTCACTCTAAGAGCAGGGAGCTGCAGTGGCCTCTCAGGCAGCCATGGGTATCCAAACTGGGAGAACCTCCTAAGATCCTCACTGAGCCTAAAAACCCCTAAGATCTTCTCCTTTTCCAGCTGAGGGGCCTGAGGCCTGTAGCGGGACAAGGCCTCCCAGTGCCATCTGGGAGTAGAGTCACACCCCATCCAATGCTCAGCCCTGCCTTGTGTCCAGGGACCCCAAGGGCTCATTCCCTTGACAAATGCCTGTGTCATGTAAATGTGTTAGGCCTGGCTCAGAGCTCAGCAGGCTTATCCAGACAATAGGAGCCTAGGGGCTGAGAGACAAGTCCCTGCCCTCCTCCATTACGTGCCTCACTTGCCAGGGGAACTTGAGGCCAGGCAGCCTCCTCCCCTCAGGCTCTCAGCCACTTTAGCTCTGAAAGGAGAAAGTGTCAGTCGATCCTGCCAAAGGCCACACTGCCCTGATAGCCAGACTTCTTGGAAGTCAGTGATCCATCAGTGGGAGTGTATGTACTGGGGTGAAGGGTGGACCCCAAAAAGATATGTCCAAGCTTTAACCCTCAGAACCTCTGAACGTGACCTTATTTGGAAAAAAAAGAGGGTGGGGGGTCTTTACAGATGTGATAAAGGTAAGGACATTGAGATGTGATAAGCCTGGATTATTCAGGTAGGCCCTAAATCCAATGGCAATTGTCCTTAGAAGAAAGGAGAAAGATGCAGAACAAAGCTGGGCACAGTGGCTCATACCTGTAATCCCAGCACTTTGGGAGGCCAAGGCGGGCAGATCACCTGAGGTTGGGAGTTCGAGACCAACCTGACCAACATGGAGAAACCTCGTCTCTACTAAAAATACAAAATTAGCCAGGCGTGCTGGTGGGTGCCTGTAATCCCAGCTACTCGGGAGCCTGAGGCAGGAGAATCGCTTGAACCCGGGAGTCAGAGGTTGCAGTGAGCCGAGATCACGCTATTGCACTCCAGCCTGGACAACAAGAGCGAAACTCCGTCTCAAAAAACAAAAACAAAAACAAAAACAAAACAAAACAAAACAAAAACAGAGAATGCCATGTGAAGACAAAGGCAGAGACTGGAGTGATGCAGCCATAGCCAAGGATGCTGGCAACATCCAGAAGCTGGAAGAGGCAAGGAAACAGTCTCCCCTAGAGCCTTCTAAGAGAGTACGGCCCTGCCAACACCTGGATCTCAGTCTTCTGGCTTCCACAACTGTGAGACAATACATTTCTGTTGTTTTAAGTCATTTAGTTTGTGGTAACTTGTTACAGCAGCCTCAGGAAACATACAGTGGACCACACTGCTCCCAAGACCCTGACCCTGTGAGCCATCCAAGGGCCTAAACCCTGCCAGGTGGCACCCAGGGAACTTCTAGTGACTCACTCAAGGTCAAGGCGGCATGATTGGCTCCATTCCTTGTCAGACCTGCTCAGGGCCCATGAGCTTCAGGCTTTGGACTTAACCGCATTAGAAGGTGAGGCTGTCAAGTGAAGCCTATGAATTGATAGCAATTTGATTAATTAAAACAAACCTGCCCAGAGTCAGAGCAGACAGCAATATGGACATCAAGTGTGCAGCACTAGGATACACCTGCCTGAGCTGCTCCTTCCCTTTATGTTTGACTAGGGCTGGGGGCTGCGGTAATTTGTATTTAAGAAAAGGAAATACATCAGGGTTATGAGTAGTAATTTCCCTTCACCTCCACTCTGCCTGGCCCAGTGGTTTCCGGAAGATGGCCAATCGAATCAGAAAAGGAAGAATTGCAGTCATTGTGTAGACATCCAGGGTCCCCAGAAGCAGAAAGCAACCTGGCCTGAAACTAGCTTCTGCTGGGGATGCTTAACCTGAAATCCTCTGCCAGGTCTGGGCTGGTGGGGTAGGGGTAGTTGATGAGGCTATTGCCTATGGTTCCTTCTGACCTTGGGTTCTTGAAATGTCCCTTCTCCTCTCTAGGCCTTAGCTTCCTCTTCTTTAGATGGGAAGATTATCCTTCTCCAGAGCAGTTGTGGGGATCAGTGTTCCATCATGCACACTGGGTAAGCATTCTGTAAGCCAGGACAGTTTGGACAGGATAGTGCTTTCCGCCTGGAGGAAGGAGTGCTGAGGAGGAGGAGGCAGAAGAAAGGTAGGTGCCTTCCTGGGTCTTTTTCTAGGAGCAAGGTGACTCTGTCCTGAGAGAGGACATTCCAGCAGTCCAGGGAGGTTTCATTTGGCTGCAGAGCCCCTGATCCCAGACAACCTCCCAGAAAGCCACTAATGGCAATGGCTGGTCCCAGCAAGACAAGGGATATCTCAGGTGCCGCACCAGCTCATTGATGATGGCTGACAGCAGCTCATGCTCATATCTCTTGCCCTGTGCCTATGCTTCTTGAATTCTGCTGTGCTGGGCCATAGTCCCTGCCCAATGCATAGTAGTAGCAGACGCATGCTCTCCAGGGACCCTTGCCTAGCCCCACTGGTGTCCTCTTTGCCTGAGATCAGGTGCCTCCTGTGTAGCAGGAAGTATGCAGCAAGTGGGACCAGACCCTGACCATGAGAGCCACACTCATGGCCATGATATCCTCCATAGGCCACTGATGACTTAGATGTCCCCTTCGATGGGAGAAGAAAATCTGGGGTGGAGGGGCAAGCCACCAGCAAAAGGTAGTAAGTCAGAGCTGCCAAAGAGCCAGTAGCCCCTGGGCTGTCTTCATACAGGCTCAGTTCTGAAAACAATAGCCCTGAACCCTCTTGGTCTAGTCACTCCAGTGACTATGATTCAAAAACAACTGGCAGTTGGTGGTGTACTCCGGGCAGTAAAAGCAGTCAAAACCACAGAAGTTGCCCTGGAGCTTCAGAGTGACCTCTTAGCACCACTTCTCATATGCTTTTAAAATTCTGATTATATTATTCACAGCTCCTCAATGGCTCTTTACTCCTAAGCATTCAGAGGCTCCTATAGAGGTAGAGATGGCAGAAGGGGCCATGAAGGGTTCTGACAGGAGGTGACTTGGTCCACACTTAGTTTGGAGGGATTTACTGGGAGCCATTCAGGCGGCCTGCAGGCAAGGGCCTGGAGCCGCTGGAGACCCTGGGCGTGGTGTGGTTTACAAATCCAATACAGAGATGAGCAGATTGTGCTTCTGGGTGGTGGCCTGCCTGTGAGGGGAGGGAAGGTGGCCTTGGCCAGAGTCTGGACAGCCTGAGGCCTTCTTGCAGCTGCTCCCCCACCTCCCCATCTCCCAAAGCTGCCGTTGGCCTAATATCCTGTTCTCTGCCCAGAGACTAGCCCCCTGTGAGGAGAGCTATGTGAGGACAGCGTCTCTGTTGGAGTCTGGGCCTGGGGGCCCAAGGTTTGGCCCAACTCTGCCTTCTTCCCTGGAGATACCCATTCTTGCAGCCCCCTCTCCCCTGAGTCCACAGTGGCCACATATTTGGATTCTAGCCCACAATTCAACCTTCCATCAAGAGGAGGGAGCAGTGTCTAGCAGCTGCAAAGCTCCCAAGGGCAGGCCAAGGCTAGGAGGCCTCAGGTTGCTGGGCCTGGGGAACCCAGGTTTGTGAAAATGCCCCCACCCTACCTGTTGTCAGCCTTGTCACTCCCTCTGGGGGTCCCTCAAGCTACAAAGCTCTCTTTGGATGTTTCTGGTCTTCTGTGTGCCTGCTCGGCACTAGATCAGAATGGCTCTCTACAAAGCAGCTTCTCTCCTGTAGCTGCCTCTGCCAGCCTCCCCCTGACCCTGGGAATTTGTGTTCTCTCCAGCTTTTTCTCACAGTTTTTTGCCCTAAGACTGGCTCATCTTTGTGGAGTTGCCTTCCCGGGGGCATGGTTGGAGCTTGGCAGAGCAGCCATGGCTTGAAGCCAGCAGGTCTAGTGGAGTTTCTCCTCTGCCATAAAGAACAGGAAGACTGTTGCAAAGATCCCTTTCTGTACAGCCTCTCACTTAAGCATCATTGAAATCCTAAGTCAGATACTAATGGGATTCTCATTTCATGGAGGAGCAGACCACGCCTGAGAGAGGGTGGCTGGACTGCCCAAGATGGTGCGGAGGTAGAAATGGATGGGGAACCCAGAGCCTTCAAACTCCCAACCACATCAAGGTGCTGCTTAGCTCCCCTCTGGGAACACAGCCCTCAACAAAGAGTGGGCCTCCTCCCTGCTCTAAACAAAAACCCAGCAGATGGTGGAGCAGGTTTGCTGGAAGCCTCAGCTTAGGCCTCAGTCCATTAGGACCACCCTAAATGGGGAGGTGATGTCTTTGGGTGCATATTGCAGAATGTGTGGCAACTCCAGTAGAAGAAACTCTGAGCTCAGTAGCACAGGTGGCCCTATCCTCAGGCCCTCTACAGTGCTGCAGCCACAAGCGCCCAGCGCTCCACTCCCAGTAGACCCTGCCCCTGGGCCTGCCACCATTCTCCATGGCTGACAGGCTGAAGGCTGAGCTTCTAAGCCACCCTGCCCCACAGTATGTCCCACTACTCCCACTGGGTGGGTACCCAGGATAGGTGTTCAGGGAACAGAAAGTGAGCTTATTCCTCCTTCAAGGAACTTCTTGGAACTTGCCCAGTGAAAACTGTTCAGAATTCTGAAGAATTCTAGAATTCTAGTACCAAAGTCTGGGAGATGGACAGGGCCCTCAGAGCAGCTTGTGCAGATTCTCCAAGGCGGGGTGAGCATCAGCGGCACTGGGGCTGCTGAATACACTGCAGATTTCCTGGGCTCCATGCCAGAGCCACTAAATCAGAATCTCAGGGTCGGAGCAGGGGTGGGAGTGTAGCCAGCTGCATTTTTGAAAGGGATCCACAGGTGGTTCAGATAGACTCTACAGGCTGGGGAAGTGAAGGCCCCAGATCACACATTGAGTCATCACAGACTGGGACCGGAACTGTGGTCCCTGCCTCCCACTGTGGGGCTCTCTCTCCTATGTCATCAGACCTAGCTGGCTGTCAAGGCTGCCAAGGCTGAGGAGCTATGTCCATGAGTCACTTGCTGACAACACTCATCCTGCCTTGAGGGCATGAGTCATAGCAGACCACAGCTGAGGATGGGCAGCTCCAAAGATGTCAATGGGAGACGGTGGGGATGCCTCATCTATCCTGCTGTCCTAATACTGGGTGCTCGGTGCCCTGGAGCAGGAAGAGTCCCAAGATGGAACCGCCAGTGCCTCTTGGGCAAGAGAGCCCAGTCTTTCAGAAGGAAACCTGCACAACTTCAGTTCAGTCTTCCATCTGGTGCTGTGGATCCAAACATACTGTTTTTCCAGCCCTCAGCCAGGAACCGGAGTCACTCCAGTGAACGGGCCAGATGCAGCACCTGCCCTCAGGAAACTGCAAGAAGCAAGAAGCCCATCACTGGGATGAGGCGCACCAAGGGGCAGTGCAAGATGATGCTCTGGGCATGCCAGTAGGGGCTCAGCCAAAAGATGGAGGGGAGCACGGAGGCCACTCGCAGGCAGAAGGAACTGTGTGTGCACATGAGGAAGGGGAGGCCCAGGTGGCTGGTGCCAGAGTGGAAGTGGAGGGCCAGGGACCATTCAGTGCGGCCGGGAGTGGGGCAGGGCCTTGGAGGCCCAGTAAGGATGCTTTGTTTTTTTTTTCAGAAACATGGAAAAAGGGCCGATAGGTATGTGAAAAGATGCACAACATCACTAGTCATTAGGTAAATGCAAATGATAGCCACAATGAGATACCACCTCACACCCACTAGGGTAAAAAAAAAAAAAAAAAAAAAAAAAAGAACAACACATGCACAGAAAATAACAAGTGTTGGCAAGGATGTACAGAAATTGGAACGCTTGTACATTGCTAGTGGGAATGCAAAATGGTACAGCCACTGGGAAAACAGTTTGGCAGTTCCTCAGAAAAACATAGGATGACTATATGACCCAGGAATTCCACTCCTGGGTACATACATAGCCAAGAGAATTGGAAACAGTTTTCCCCACAATGAATGTCTATCACAGATTCACGATAGCCAAAAGGTAGGGACAACCTAAAATGTCCATTGATGACGAATGGATAAACAAAATGCACTATGTCCACATAATGGAATATCAATTCAGCAATAAAGAAGAATAAAGTACTGATCCATGCTACAACACTGATGAACCTCAGAAACATGATGCTAAGTGAAAGAAGCCAGTCACAAAAGACCACATGTTGTATAACTCCATTTATATGAAATATCCAGAATAGGCAAATCCACAGAGGCAGAAAGCAGATTAATGGTTGTCAGGAGCTTGGAGAAGGAAAAATGGGAGAGTGACTGCTTAATGGGTATAGGCTTTCTTTTGGGGGTGATAAAAGTGTTCTGCAATTACATGGTGATTGTTGCATAATGTTGTCAATGTAATTAATGCCTAAGTATACTGAATTGTACACTAAAAATATGAACTGACAAATTTTATCACACACAGAGACACACACATATACCACAATAAAAAGTGAGGGGACCGATGGGAAGACCAGTTGAGAGTTCAAAGCAGTGGACGGAAGGCTGAACAGAAGGGCATGCAGGTTCCTGCCAGTTCTGAGACTTTGGTGCCTCCCTCTCCCTTTTGCGCACTGAGCACTCTAGCCAGCTTCGTTATCTGTACAGCAGGCCTGAGCATGACTTTCCTCCCCTACTCACTGTTGGGCTCCCATAAGACAATACGTGGAAGCCCTGGCACATAATAGATGAGCAGCCAATGCCAGCTCTGTTCCCTGTGAGGGGCGACGTGCTGTGGTGTTCCTTAGAGTCACACTGCGTGGCTCTTATCCTGATTTGGTCACTACTTAGCTATATGGCCATGAGTAGATCACTTCCTCCCTCAGAGTTGCCACATCCTTGTACGTAGAATACAGCCGGTCACATTCCTGTCTTCCTTTTAGTCCCTCTTGTGAAATTGTGCCAGACTGAGGCCTCTCTACCCTGGAGCCAGGAAGCACAGTTTTCTCTCAGAGCACAAAGCTCTGCCTTGGCTCGGTCCCTTGGGGAAGTTGGGAAGGACCTGATGCCTAAGACTTCCCAGAGGTCTCCAGATGGGTCCTCTTCATTCAATATGACAATGCCCTCTGTTGTTGGCCTGGGAAATCACTGAGAAGAAAATCAGAAGCAAGTACAGCCTCCTTTCTTGAAAAGTGTTAATGAAACTGTTAACTTTTACATCTGGTTCTGTGCTGTTGTCCTAAGCCTATTTATTAGTATATCATGTAATGTGGTTCTAGAAGGGCAAATATGAGAACACGGGGAATCCCTGAGTGTCTGTTCCTGAATCCTTTCTCCCCACTTCCTCTTCCTACTGACCAATTGGTCTCTATTCTTTTATGGTCTTCATTTCTGACTTTCCGCTGCCTCATCAGCCTGCAGCCTCAACATTTTGGTCTCTAAAATGGGTTTCATGTGAAGGTGAAAGGAGTGAGGCTTAGCCCAGTATGTGGCTTGTAATAAGTGCTTAACAAAGGTTAGCTATAATTACAATTATTTAAAATAATTTTAAAAAGTGCTGATTTTTTCTCATGGACATTGTTTTTTCCCACATAATTGATCATCTAAATTGTAAGACTGTGATTTTTCCACAACACTCAATAGACTTATTTTTAATCCCAAAGACAAAAAGCAGCCAATCCACCCATTTCTTTGTGCTGCCTCATCTAGTCCATGGGCAAACCTTGCTCCTTCCAAGCCCAAACACTGATCCCTGAGAACCAGCATGGGCAAGCAAGCTCCAGGCCCTTTCAGGGTCAACCTCTCCATTAGGTACAGTAGGCTATGAGACTTTTAAGGACACACAAGATAATTAAACTTATTTTAAAATCAGAAGGAAAGAAATGAACTTTTAGATTAAAGACAATATTTTCTTATATAATAATGTATTCATCTTTATACCAACACAATCATAAAATATAATTATCATTATTTATTGGTAATTGAAGAAGGGCCCCATGAAGGCAAAAATGTTCAGGGTTCCTGGAAGTCACAGAGCAGCTGCCCCATGTCAACAAGAGGAGACAAAAGATAGAGACACTGGCTTCACTTCCATCTTCCAAATAACACCTGAATTTCATGTGGCTCCTGCTGAATGAGAACTGTTTAGGGGAAGGGAATTCCAGCCATCAAAGCTTCAGCTTCACTCAACTGGCATGGAACAAGGCTGCCGCCACCATTTTTAGCACTCTGAATAAATATAGTGTCTAGTAACAAACCTTCACATTTCCCTGAACTTAAAATAAAAGTTAAAAAAAGTAAAAGGTTTTCCATTCAACTAAAAGGTGTGTTTGGTAATGCACACATTGTTATTGTTGCTGTTATTATTTTGCTGCTACATGTTGGAAACTTTGTTTCCTTATTAAGAATATAAATAAAATGAGTTACTTTGTGTTTCTTTCAATATAAGAATAAATAAATGTAGTGTCTAAGTGGAGGAGCAGCAGGGGCTGGAAATCTAGAAAACCCCCGCACCCTGAAACTGGCCACGGGTTCTGCTTTACAGGGCTCGTGGGGTGTGCGGCAGCTTTGCACCTCAACACTCCAGCACTTCCTCCTCACAGATTTCCCATTACCCTGTAATCTATAAGTTCAGGACCTCACCAGCCTGCAGAGATAGGGTCCCAGAACATTAACAAGCTAGTCGCCTGCTTCTCGCCCTATCTATTCACCCAGGCTCCCTCCCCACCCCCTGAATATTTCAGGCTCCCTCCCCACCCCCTGAATATTTCAGGGAGTCCCCAAAGGAGCTTATATAAGTGTTCACAAATGTTTCTGTCATCTCATCACCATCTGGGGTCTACCCCATTCTTTCTCTCCAGAATCCATTCCCATTTGTTAACATGGGCTGCCCAGGAATCCCCTTACAGAAACCATGGCACCATGTGGCTTAGAGTGCCCCTGGTGGGCAGGCCAAAGGCTGTGCCAAGCGTCTGGCCCTGACACCACACAAACTGCCCAGGCCTCCTCAGGACACAGTAGAATTCAGTTCTGGCAAGAAAAGAGAGAGCAGCCCCAGCCCTACCTCTTGGGTACATTTTGTTCTCTAGGCTCTGTGAAGCAATATGTACTGGGCCTAGAGGTCATCAGTCAATCAACAGAGTTGTAACTCAAGCTGCTTTGGGTGAAGTGGCTGCTCCTGGGATTCACAGTCCTAGCCACTCAGTTCCTCCATGCTTCTTCCTGCCACCTGGGGGCCCCACCAGGCCTCAGGCTGGGGAATGCCTTGACGCTCTGTCCCTGCATGTCTGGGAGAACTCTTTTTTTTTTTTTTTTAATGATTATACTGTAAGTTCTAGGGTACATGTGCACAATGTGCAGGTTTGTTACATATGTATACATGCGCCATGTTGGTGTGCTGCACCCATTAATTCGTCATTTACATTAGGTATATCTCCTAATGCTATCCCTCCCCCCTCCCCCCACCCCACGACAGGCCCCGGTGTGTGATTTTCCCCTTCCTGTGTCCAAGTGTGGGAGAACTCTTTTGACTGTCTGCAAATCCCCAAGCTGAGCCCTCAGCACTTGACTTGGAGGTTGAGAGTTAACATACATACCCACGTAGCCCTTTTCCTTATCTCAACCCCCAGAAGGTGCAATGCTCCTGCCCCAGCATCCTTCTCTCAGTTGAGATGAAGGCTCAGCCCACGCTCTCAGGAGGGACACCCCCTCCCAACCCTCTTCATCCATCACCAGATTAGAGAACATAGAAATCTCAGCCAGGTCTTCATGTTCCAATCAGGGATCTGGCTGTTCTTGTAACCTTCTGGAAACTTTCACAATAATGCTAACTATGTTGAGCACTGTCCACAATTTGGCCAAATTTGAGCATTCCATAGATTGTGATACAGAAGATAGGGGTTGTCATAGCAAGATGAGTGTCTTACAGCTCAGTGTGGGGTCCTGCTACCAGGGTCTCACAAGAGATCAGCAGCACGGGAGTAGAACAATTCAAAAAATAGCAACTCTTTTTGGAACAGCGTTTCCTTGGAGCTTGGGAAATGATGATGCCTTACTCTTCACAACAAACACAGGTTACTGAGACAAATACTAATCAAGGCAGCTCATCTCTTGTGCCCTCTGCATCCCATTCTTCATTGACATTGGCTGTCATAGTCATTCCAATTCAACTTGACCTCAGTTCACGTGGGAGAAGAGATGTACCAGAACAGAACATCTCGTGGTGTGCAGGCTAGCAGCACTCACTGTACACAAAAGACAGGGATCTGAGTTCAAGTCCCTACCTTTTGCCTTTGGCGGTGATATGCGATCGTGGGGGATGCTGTGCAAGTAAGTCAGGTTTCCAGGTTGCAATTGGACAGATATACGGTGTGAGAAATTTGGCTGCTGAGAGCTTGATTGTAATGAAGTCCTTCCAGGGACTCAAGGAGCCTGTCCCCTTTGGAGGCTGCCCCTTCCTCAGCTGGCTCTTGCTCTATGAAGGATATATGCTAGTAGCAGGGGGTACCTCTCAGGGCTGTGGGCTTCCCAGCGACCCCTCTTCTTGAAGAACACCAACCTCAGGTAGGATCTTGCATGTGCTTAGAAGAGGTAAGGGATTTTAGGGAATCAATGCCTGAATGGGTTCTGACTGCACAGCTAAGGGAGTTCCTGCCATCTGGTTTCTGTTATGCAAATCTGTATAACCAAATCAGGGTCACCTTTCCATGGGGTCTCAGGGTGGTAGTGAGAAGGGTGCTTTCTCAGGATGAGGAGCTGGACTCACTCATTGCCTTCCCCACATTACTGTGGTCAGTTGTCCCCTGCTAAAGCTCTAGTCATTAGCTGTCAGAAACATCTAGAAATTTCCTTGGACTTCCAAAGGTGAATTGACAAAGGACAGCAGCTCATAGCATTGCCCAGCAGAATGGCTTGATGGTCAGGGGCATTCCCTGAGATTGAAATGCAGCTTCTACCAAGGGCCTCCTTCCTGCCTCCCTTGTCTAGACCAGGAATTCATTTCAGAGCTATTTCCCTCGTGTTGACATTGCCCCCACTCCCTTGTCAAAACAAGTAAAAAATCAAAAGGTAGATAAACATAATTTTAAATTGTAAAATAAGTTAGAAGATAACATCCTGAAAGGAAAATGGATTGACTGGCAAAAAACAAACAGAACCAATAACAAAGACAATGACCAGAAGACAACACTCCCACATGGGGCCCAAAGAGGTGAGTGGCCACAGTTCTGGGCAGCAATTGCCCTGTGGCCAGCTAGGGCTAAGCTGAAATTTCTGCAAGGTCCTCTGCAAGAGGTATTTTCCAAGGTTTGGGGGCTACAGATTCAGGACTAGAGGTAGGGGTCCCACTTCAGGACAGAGATATGGGGACCCTGGTGGTTCACTCAGCTGTTCTTTCTGCCCACAATGGCAATGCCCACTAAGCCATGAGCTTGGCCTTCCTCTTCCCATGGCTAGCCCCTAAGCCTTTTATTGCATTTCAGGTCCCCATCAGAAATTTCAGCAGGGCTCCCGCCTCTTCTCAGATGCTCTCTCAGGCACCTCTGACCCAACAGGCCAATGTCTGGAAGTGGTTAGTAACTGTGGTCCTTTTACTAGCAGCCCAAGTGGCTTACATGAATGCTTACATTTTGTATTTCACAGCAGCTTTCAGCCCTTGATTCCATAGTGGCCTGCCCAGAGGGACAAGTTCTTCTGCTCAACACGGCAGTCCTTTCTGCCTTCTTTAATGTTTAGTGGAGAAGACTCCTAGGGCACAAGTGGGTAGTCCACAGATAAAGTGAGAGTAGGCTGTGGCCATGGCCTGAAGTCATAGCTTACTCTTTCCTGGAAGGCACAGTGGTGGAATGACACCACCAGCATATGGGTAATCTCCCCTAGGGGCACTGCACCTCACAACTCTAGAAGGCAACACCACATTGTCTTCTAGGCATAATTTTGGGCAATTGTTGCTCTGTGGCCAATCAGGGCCAAGCTAGATTCCCAGCAGGGTCCCCAGAGGTATTTTCAAGGTTTGGGGGCCACAGACTCTACCCCAAGCTGCAAATAGCAGCCCTTGAAACACAACACTTGGGGTTGGACAACACCATGACTGTGGAACCACAGTCCTGGTTTTCAATATTGTGTCCCATTTGTTGGCAGTCTGTATAGCAGGCCATGTGCCTTGCCTGCTTTCCCCTCTTTCCAGATGCCTCCTCAAAAGCAGATGGAAGGCAGCACTTCTTGAAACAGTCCTTCTAATTTTATCAACTAGACCTGCTTCATTGTGCCTGCTTTGGGTCGGCCCTGTGTTAGGGTCTGGAGTGCCACTTGGCCTCACTGCCTGTGGGACTCAGTCTGATGGAGGATACTTGTATCTGTCCGAAATGATCCCTAAGGTGCTTTAGGGATCTTTAATGACATTAGGGATCTTTAATGACTTAGGGATCTTTAAAGACATTAAATGTCTTTAATGAAGCCTTTTTTATTGTTAAATATTAATATTGCACACAAAGAAAAGTGCTTAAGACATATATATGCAGCTAAACAAATTGTTGTAAACACTAGTGTAAGCATCACCCAGCTCAAGAAATGCAGCATTGACAGCTTCCCCAGAAGCCCCCACATGCCCTACAAGTCACAGTCGAGCCCCTCCTTCATCCCTGACTTCTATGAGAATCACTTCCTTCCAATCTTTTGTATTTTACCATATCAAGGTGCATCCCAGATCACCATGGATTACCTTTGCTTGCTTTCAAGTTTATAGAAATGGAATAATGCATGTTCCTTTTAAATTCAAATTTTAGTCTTTTAATTTTGAAATACTTATAGATTCACAGGAAGTTGCAAAAATAGTACAAGAAGGTCCCATGCACCATTTACCTGGTTTTCCCCAATGGTACCATTTTGTTCAACTGTAACATAACATTAAAACCAGAAAATCGACATTGAGATGTCCACTGACCTTACTCAGATTTCACCACTCATTTGTGTGTGTGTATGTGTGTGTGCATGATACATACACATTCATTTGGTCAGTCCTCTTTCACTCAATATTTTGCTTTTAAGATTCATCCATATTTGTTTTCACTGCCAAATAGTATACTTTTCATATGAATGCACCACAGTTCATGTGGCCATTCTACTACAACAGACAGTTAGGTAGCTCCAGGGAGATTGGATACTGTGAGCATCATTGCCCATGTCTCCTAATACGCACAAGTACTCATTTCCTGAGGATATCTATTTCTCTTCTGTCTATATCTATATACAGATATATAAAAGTGGAATTGTTGGGTCATTGGGGACAGCTATCTTCAACTCTGTTAGATAATAGAAATGTTTCCTAAATGCCCATCCCCTTATATACTCCCACCAGCAGGCAGCCTGTGAGTTCCAGGGGCTCCATATCCTCATGAACACTTACTGTCATTACTCTTGTTAATTTTAGCCATTCTTATGGGTGAGTAGTGAAGCTCATTGTGGTTTTCATTTGCAGTTCCCTGGTTACTAGGAAATGTAGCACCATTTCACGGTTATTAGCTATTTGGATTTCCTGGCTTGTGAATTACTGGTTAAGCCTTTTGACAGTTTTTCTGTTGAGTTCTCTCTCTTTTTCAAAATAATTTGTAGCATTTTAAAAATATATTCTAGATATAAGCCCTTTGTCAGTTTTACATGTTGCAGATAACTTCTCTCAGTCTGTGGCTTGCTTTTTCACTCTTTTCATGCTACCTTTCAAAAACTAGGAATTCTTCATTTTTATATAGTACAGCTTGCCCATCTTTTCCTTATGCTTAGTGTTTTTCATGTCATGTTTAAGAAATTTTTCCCTACCTTTAGGTCATGAAGATATTCTCCTATATGATCTTCTGAAAGCTTTATAGTTTTACCTTTAACATATAAGTCCTTAATCCATCTGGACTTGATTTTTGTGTTGATGCGAAATAAGAGTCCTATTTCATTTTCTATCCTGTGGATACCTCAGTATCCCTGCACAATTGATTGAGAAGACTATCCCTTCTCCACTCCTGTGCAGTGTCTCCTCTGTTATAAATTAAACTTTACGTATGCATGGCTGTATCTCTGGGCTCACTCTTCTACTCCATCATTCTATTTGTCTTGCCTTATACCAATACCATGGCAGGCAGAAGTCTCTCAACAGCTATTGACCCAGGCTGTGCTCATTAGGGATTAGAAGGATAAAAGTTAGCTATAGTCAGATTAGAAGGATCTTAAAAATCAATTGGAAAAGCCTGGACCTGACCTGAGGAGCAAAGGAGTGCGCCAGCATGTTACAGAGAAGAGAGATTATGAATGAGCACCTTAGGAAGATAAATTTGGGAGTCAAGGTAAGTCTCAGTATGGGGCTAAGAAAAGAATATAGAGGTCATTGTAGTGGTCCAAGGCTGAGATCACAGGGAGCGTGGATGAAGGAGGTGGCAGTGGAACCAAAAAGGAAGGGATGCATCCAAGAGACATTTAGAAGAGAAAGCTGAAATGATGGCACTTTGTTACGAGTCCATGTAAGAGGGAGGGGATTAGAAAGGGCAAAATGGCCTGGAAACTGAGGGGTGATTCTGGTTTGATGAAAGAGACCCATAAAGTAGTTGGTGGAGTATGTTTTCCACCATTCAATCCTAAAAGTTCAATTTGTGTTCCCAAGAGTCAATCAGAGAAGTCCTGACTGTATAAAGATCATCTTGACAAGGCTGTTGAGCAGGGATACACCGCCCATGGCTTGGACTTTTGAGATTTGAAGTGAGACTTTGGGCCATATTCAGGCCCCCTTAGGCATTGTTGATTGGATCTGCTTTGCATTCTGAACACAATTTGATCATAAGGACATCCTGAAGCATATGATTTAATCACTAAGCAACTGTGTTTACAAGGCAAAGTTCATTCATATTAAAACAGCAGCAGCCAGAAAAATAGCCACCAAAACTAATGGAAAAAACAAAACTTAAAAACAAAAACAAAAAACAGCTAGCTCTGGGTTAAGTCATGGAACTCTATGAACT
This sequence comes from Homo sapiens, assembly GCF_000001405.40. Lineage (NCBI taxonomy): Eukaryota > Metazoa > Chordata > Mammalia > Primates > Hominidae > Homo > Homo sapiens. The sequence goes on from NC_000023.11 coordinate 150,211,115, forward strand.
TAAACATCCAAAAGGTACTTTGAATATTCGTAAATACATGTAAACACTCGTTTTATTCTGTTGACCTAATATATTTAAATGCATGTAGCATTCTTCCTTGCACTCTCCTACCCCTGCTGATATACACCAAAGCATTCAGGTCTAATATTATTACTGAAAAGCCAAAAGCATATTTCCAGATACTGAATGTGTATAAAAAGCAGATGAAGCAAGTCCCTTGAGAAAATAAAGTCCCATAGATTATGTTGTGAAAAGACAAAAATAGTGTTTGCAACTCAATTACATCACCAATTGGGTTTTTAAAAAGAGACCATACACATTTTAGGTCATGAAATCATTCCCTTAATCCTTTAAACAACAAATCAAATTAAAATTTAAGATAAGATTCACTTGGTTAAAAATGATATGGAAAGCATTGGCAAATAATTAAAAGGGATTTGGTAACGTAATAACTAGCTAATTTAAGCACACATTTAATAAAGAATGGGTTATGGGAGGAGTTAGTGTTTGTGTTTTTTTCCCATAGGAAGAAAAAAAGCCTGTCATTCTTTGTAAGTACTACTGATGTTTGCAGAAGAAATCTAAGGTGCTATGAGAGCATGTGAGCGCATCCTGGGCGGCAGGTGTGGAGTAAGCCAATCTAGACCCTGGAGATGTCCCCTGAAAGACTGCCAGAGTCCACAGTCAAAGGAGGCGAAAATGCAGCATTTCCAGGAAGTTGTCATCTTGAAGTTTCTGGAGCCACCTCTCATTTGTTCTGTAGTGTGAGAGCCAATGCTGACTTTTCTTCTGGGTCTCAGCAATCCTATGCTCAAGCGGTTCAACTTACACAGGTAGAAAAACCAGAACTCACAAGTGTTCTGAACCTAGATACTTACCCCTCTCATTCATTCATTCACTCGCTCATACACTTACTCATCCATACATTCGCTCATTCATTCTCACACACACACTCCTACACATTCACTCATTCGTTCATTCTCCACTCACACACTCACTCATTCATTCATTCATTCTCCATTCACTCACACAAACATACTCACACCCTCAGCCATTCACTCGCTCACACATTCATTCATCCCTTGACTCATACACACAGTCATTCACTCATCCATTCACACACATGCTCACTCGCTCATTCACTCACTCACTCATTTCACAAACATTCCTTGAGTGAATGCCTCATGCTGTGGGGGCTGTAGAAAAGACCAGCCCTTGGCTCCATACTCTCAGGCAGTTTATTCCCTTGTGAGAGACACGAATACAAATGAAGTAGCCATACCACGAGGCAGAGGAAAATAAGGATAATTTGGGGTAAGAAAATGCAGGGCAAGCAGAAGGAGAATTTAAATCCACCTCTAAAATTCTACATAATGCACTTCTCTTGTTTACCTCTCTTCCCATCTAGAATGTCAGCTCCTTGAAGGCAGGGGTTTTTATCTGCCTTGTTCGCTGCTATATTCCCTATGCCAAAAACAGTGCTTGGCACATGGCGGGTACTCATTAAAAGATCTGTTGAATAAATAAGTGAATTAGGGGAGGAAGCAGGAGAGCTCCCTTTGGAAATGCTTCACACAGGAAAGAATCCTGGAGTTGGACCTTGCCAAAAGAGAAGGGTCTTGGTGGACAGCTGGAGTTAAATGGCGTTTTGGTCTGAGGGAACAGCTGAAGTGATGGCCCGGGGAGGGGAAATTGCATGGTGTGTTCAGGGAACAGAGTTGTCCAGCATAGAGGAATGTAGGACACAAGGTGACAGTGGTGTCAGATAAAGTTAGGACAAGATCACTGAGAGCTTTCAAAGCCAGGTGGCAGTGCTGTGTGTTTTCCTGCAGGTGTTGGGCTCTGGCGAAAGAAATTTGACATCCACTTACTGAGAAGGCTGACTGCATGCAGAGCCTCACATACTGGGAGACGGCAGAAGAGCTCTGATTCCATTTACCAAGTACTTATTGAGCATCCACTATGTCCACAGATAAAACTATTAGCAGAAGGTGTAGCAGGAAGGGCTCTGGCAGGGATGGAGGCAGGGGGTGGGCCCCAAGCTGGGCCTCCTAGCCTGGCTGTCAGTCCCATGATGGAGACAGGCCAGCTGATCTTAAGGGCCCCTGCAGCCCTGACATTCTGGGACTCTAATTATAGAAGACAAAGCTTCATTCCAGATAGCTGGGGAAATCCTTGGGTTCAATTTCACCTCCTGGGGCTTGTAGTTCAGCTGGCACTGAGGCAGTTGAAAAGGAATGGAATGGAAATCCAGAGCCTGCCTCAGCCCGATTGTCTCTCAGCTGACTGTTTGCTTCTAGATGTCAGCAGCTCTTTTAGGAATGCGGAACAGCAGCCTTTTCACAGGCAAGGGTCCAGGTTTGGTTCCTGATCTTTTCCTTTGCATTGTGAAGAGGGAAGGTCATGTGGGCCAAGAGGAAATCAAAGACCAGATTCCTTCCAGACTTCCTTTCCAAAAAAGCTCAAAGGAAAGGTAGAGCTGTAGTCATATGGACAGGACCACTCTTCTCATAAACAAGTCTCAGCTTTCATGGAAGCCAGTCAAACGGGCAGCTGATAGGGAAGCCCCCATTCCAACAGGCCCCAGCTGGTTGGCCTGTCCTGGGTCTGACCAAGTGGGGCCCATGGGAGGCCAGTGGCGTTGGGTGTCATTTCTGACACACAAGCCATACCTACACAAAGAAACCAGCTTAGAGAAAAGGGCTATGAACAGTCAAACAATTGGTTACCGGAAAATCACCAAGACAACTCATGAAAAACAAAATAAATACATGCCTCTAACAAGCTAGTAATCAGTTGCTTTTATGGATTGACTGAATCCCACTGTTTCCTTGCAAAGTGTGAGTGTATTAGGGCCCAGAGCAGGAGGCCAATCCCAGGGAGGCCCAGCAAAGTCATTCAGTGTGTTTGAGATTGATGAAGTCAAACACTTCCCATCAGTGGAGGGATGTGAGGATGGGAGGGAGGAGGCCAAGACCCAGGAAGGGTAGAGCCTTGGCACCTGATGCTGGCAGTGCCTTTGCTGAGATGGGAAGCCGAGGTGAAGTCTGGGGTAAAAGGTGAAAGATCCAGCTGGAGAGCCTATGGGATTGACAAGCCCATGGGTCGTCCTGGAAGAGGGTCAGGGAAGGAGATGGGAAGACAGATCTGGGCTCCAGATGTATATTGGGGATCACCCTTCAGGCATCTCCTCACTGGTCTCCAGGTGGGCCTCAGTGGGAGGTAGGAGGGCAAAGACTGAAGTCCAGGTATGACCACAGTTGGTTTGAATATGGTGCACATATCCAGCAGGCTGTTGTATATATAAGTTGTATATATGTTATATACATATATATAGTTGTTTATATAAGTCTAGAGCTGAGGGAGAGGCAGTGCTTGGAGCCCCAGGGAGTGGCAGTCCCCTCCCCCAACCCCACTCCCTCCTCTGGCACCAGGGTCACCAGGGCCACATGGTAGTTTCTGGTTTCACCAAACTCTTCTCAATCCCTGGAGCTCTATGCTGGGGGCTTCTGGGCTTCCCTGGGGGGCTTTTCTGAGGACCTCTAGCCACTTGCCCTTAGTGGGGACTGGGGGGACCCTGACAGGTCAGACTCTGCTGATGTGTCCTCATTCTCTGGCTCCATTCTAGTCTTGTGGAGGTGTCACTCTCCAAGGCCCACCCTCAGCCCCAGCAGACCTCTGCCTCCCCAGTGGCTCCCGCTCCTCTTGGCCCTCTATGGCAGTGATGACAATGATGGCCCTCCATGGCACCTGACGGCAATGGCGAGCTCGGCGGCGGGGAGGGGACAGCCTGGACTGCATGCTGTGTCTCTGCAGTGCATCCCCACTGTGCTGGGGACACAGAACCACCCACATCTGTGCTGTGGCAGGGCAGGGTTCTGCCCCCAGAGCCCAGGGTCATATCAGTCCCTTGTATGTCTTAGCCAGGCCAGGGACGTGCCTATGGGTCTGTGACTGATCTCTCACCTGTTCTCTTTAGAGAGTGGCCCCGCAAGAGGAGCAGCTGAGAAAGGCACCAGCCTGCAAATGGCAGAGCCCTCCAGCTTGTGGGCAGGAGGCCACTCCTTCGAAGGGCTATGGGAGACAGATAGACATTCAGGCAGGAGTCCCAAAGGAACTCAGAGCCCAGGCCCCATCCCTGCATCTCCCTGACAGCCTGGGAAGGAGGGAGGGAGGGAGAAACAGAGGGAAGGAGGGAGGGAGAGAAGGAGGGAGAGAGGGATGGAAAGAAAGGGGAAGAGAGGGAGGGGGGATGGAGGGAGGGGGAGAGAGGGGGAAGGAGGGAAGGAGGTCCATGGTTCCCCTGAGCATCCACTGGGAAAGCCCCATCAGCCACCACTGGGGCCGAGGCCGCTGTTTCTGAGATGTGTCTTGTGCTCCCGGGGACAGTGTGCACCCATGGGGCAGATGCCACCTTCACCAGGTGAATTTGCAGAAGGACTCAGAGTCACCCAAACCAGGTGGGACATTTTCCCACTCTGACCCCAGCATTATACTGGTTCCTTCTGAGGATCTTGGACGGGGCTGCTGGGTCCTCCAGAGCCCAGGGCACCTGGGGAGGCCCTGCTGAGAGCCCCAGCTGAGGACTCAGGGACCGCCCCCGCCCCGGGGCCTTGACTTGCAAGGGACCTCGGGCACAGCCCTGCCTCCTGTGGGCCTGGATCTCCCCACCTGTCAGCACTTTGTGCTGGGGGCCTGCCTGACCCGAGAGGCCCTGCCTGTCTTTCCCACAGGCTCCCAGAGACTGACCGGCTTAAGGCTCGAGGCGTGCCAGGGCCCCCGGAGTCACCCTGCATCAGCTCTTGCCGCCTGCTGCCTGGGCACGGGAGACCACACTGGTGGAGGGGATGAGACAGGGCAGGCCCAGCCTTGGGACACCCCTGTCCCCACAGCTCCAGTGACTGGGTGCTTCCCCCAGCCCTGCAGAGCAGCCTGCCCCACTGCAGACAGTGCTGGTCCAGGGAGGTCCTCACAGGACAACCAGAGTTGTGATGCGGGTGATGATCAGAAGCTGTGAGTGTGGAGGAGGCAGGTTCTCTCTGTCTAGCCATTGTACAGATGAGGAAACGGTGGCCCAACGCCACACAGTGCCCAGCAGGGGTGGCCCCAGGAGCCAGTATTCCAGTTCAGGCTTGACTGACCTCATAACCCCCAAACTGGCTCATGCTGCCTCCCGGCTATGCTCTAAGATCCCCAAAGGGGAGGCCCTCACTAGACCCCCATCCTGTCCAATGCCCAGCACTGTGCCAGGCAGAAAAGTGACAAACAGTTGGCATCTCTTAAAGGGTGGTCCAGCCGAAGGAGCTGCCCACCCAGCTAGAGAGGGAGCAGCACCCTGTCCAGGTCTGTCCTGATGAATGGGGCCTGTATGAGGGAGGCCTGTTTCTGCAAAGAGGCTGTCCTTTGCCAGCCCTGCACACCCTCCCACTCAAACCTGTTGCTCTCTGCAGCAGTGGCTGACTTGAGACTCAGTGTTCTCTGTTCTTTCAGGGCAAATAAAGCTGACGTGTTGGCCTCCAGCTCTGTGAGGGAGGGAAGAGGTACCTTGGGCTCCCAGCTCCTGCCCACACACAGTAGACCTGGGGGCTGGGTTTCCTCCCCAGAGGAACACTGGTCCCCACTGAACCACATGTGAAACCTTGGCATTGTTGACTAAATTATGGCAGAGGGATAGGGCAGTTTGGGTCGGGTGGGAGAGGAGCTGGGGAGATAGGGAGGAGTGTTCATGGGGGTGGGGTGAGGAGAGGCGGAGAGGGGTGCCTTCCATGTCTTCTAAGGGATGTCTTCAATGTCTGCTGTGTGGACACGGGAGACCACACTCGTGGAGAGGATGAGACGGGGCAGGCCCAGCCTTTTGGGACATCCCTGTTTCCCCACCTCCAGTCCCAGCTCCAGTGACAGAGTGCTCCCCAGCAAGGGGGACGATAAAGGGTACTAACCCAGCTTGTCCTTCCCCAGGACAACAGCAGTCTATGCACACCTCAGAGAGCCCAGGAGACCACAGCCCCTTGCAGACAACCCACTGTGGGCTCCTGAGAGTTTGTCCCTGGGCAGACATCATCCTTTGCTTAGGTGATGGTAGCTTGTTTTTTGCCTCTTGTTCATTTTATTTTTAGACCCACTTGGCCAGCCTGTCTCCCAGCCTTTGCAGAATGTGAGCGTGCCCAGAGAAAGTGGTGGGCACATTAGTGAGGCGGGCAGGAAGACGGGTACACTGAGGGGCTGTGAGGACAGCTGATAAAATGTTTGCTTAGCTTCATCTATTTATTAGCATGGTTAGAAACTGCTATTTATATTTTAACCCTTCAGAGACAGTCGTGAATCTCTGGATAAAAAGAGTTGGTTGATTTCCAGCCTGGAAAGTGAGAAATAATCAATAGTCACAGATCTGGTCAGGACTGCCAAGGGCGGGAGCCTGCTGGGGTGTGGCCCCCACCCGTTGGTCTGAGATGCCCAAGAGTGGCTGCCAGGAATGGTGGGCATCACCATGCTCACGCCACACCACCCCCTCAGCTTACATGGTCTCACTCAGCTACTCACGTGGCCATTGGTGCTGTTTATGTGAGGATCAATATAAGCAAAGTGCAGAAAATGCTCATGGAAACTGTGGCTGGCAAATCGTGATAGGGTTTCACACCTGGGAAAATGGAGACTCCTCCCCCGACCCTCCACAACTGTGGGAAGTGCTGGGAGCCATGCGGGGAGTGGCCAAGCTGCAATAAGAACCAGGGCCAAGGTTCCTTCCCCTATGTAGAAGATAAAGTTGAAGGGAAAGGAGGGGGTGGGGGGAGGGTGGGAGGGGTGCAGAAGCTCCCTCTCCTGTTTTCCCACCACCAGGAAGTATCCATGGGGAATGATGCACCCTGCCTCTTCTCAGGGTGGTGTCCCACTTCTGAGCAGGTACAGACCACCCTGTCACAGCTTTTTCTTTGCAGCTGCTCATGCCAAGGTCGGGTTGGTTAGAGGCCCCTGTGGAGTTATGGGGGGTGGTGATCAGATGAGCCTCTCTTTGAGGGAGAGCCACTCCAGCTCAAATCCACTCTGATCCTGCCACTGCCTCCCCAGAGGGCTGGCAGGTGTGACTGAAGTCACCAAGGGGTCAGGCTGTGGTGCCCATGCTCAGGGAGGGACTTGGGGCCTGGCATGTGTATGAACCTGGCAAGTGTTTTTGGGAGCGAACTGAGAAATTTCCTAATATTAATATGTTTCCACTACAAGCTGTTTGCATCTCAGATGCCCTTGTATTTAGTCTGCTGTAATGGTGATGTTTTGGAACACTTATCAACAAGCATTTTGACAATTTGCTGTGGTTTTAGGAGCACTGGCTCCTGTCTTTGCAGCTTATTAATGGGAGACAGTTTAAGCATATGTGTAGACATAACTGAGTTCTTCCTGGAGCAAAACCGAAGTGCAAGCATCTCAGAATTTAACTGGAAATAAAGCAACCCAAATCTGTCTCCTGTCCCATGAGATCACTTAACCTTGCAAAAGGGACCAAGCAATGTGCATTTCAGTTCCTGATGGGGTTTTCCTGTGGGGTCTGAAGACTCTAGTGGTCTCCTTTCCTATGAATTTATGGCATCAAGCCTCCATCTACTAAGTCTAATCCTCAGTGTAGGTGAGAGGGAAATGAAAGGGCACCAGCCTGGCAGACGTGAAGGCCAACGCACCCCTGGCCTGCTCTGCACAGCCCCAGCCCAGCCTTCCCTGGCACCTGATTGGAGCTCAGGTTTAGTGCAATTAACAGCTCAAGCCCATAGCTCATGTCTAAATTTACATTCATCATAATCCAAAAGCAAACATGTGCCTTTGATAGCTCTGATTTATTCATAGGATCAGTTTGCTGTTCACGTCTTAATTGTTTTTTTAATAGCTTCGCGGTAGAAAATCAAAGCCTGATGAGTTTTGTATTATACAAACTTATTTTCTTGCTTTTTTTTGTTTTTCAGTTTTTAAAACTTAAAATATCTAATTAATCCGTGTAATCTGGATACATTCTGTTTAAACCTTTCATGCTCATATAAAATAATGATGCAAATGTAGCTAATTGGTATAGCAGGTTTTTTCCTTTTTTTTTTTTTTTTTTTTTGTTTGTTTTTTTGTCTTGCCAGATACATCAGCAAATATATGTTCAGGACAAGAAGGTTGTGAAGCAAGAAAACGAATGAAATCCCAACGATCAGGGGGATGTTAAAGGAGCTTTACTACCCATTGGCAAATGTTAACAAAGATTCCTGGAAAGAAGTTCAGTTAGCACAGCGCTGAGGGGCACTCTTCTTCCTTTGGCCTCCGTTTCACAGAGTACTTGCCTGAGAGGGGCCCCTTCGGGCCCCGTGGCCAGGCAGTGCCCTGATAGCGCCCGCCTTCTCCAAGCCTCACTTGTGCATTGGCAAAGCTTTCTGCAGCCTTAATCCCATCACCTCCTGCCAGCCGTGTTGTGAGCCTGCCTTTCCTCTTAGCATCTCCCTCTTGGCAGACTGGCGAGCGAGTGAGCAAGGGCAATGCTTGTCTGCAGCCACTCAGCTAGTCCATGCAGAAGCCAGGAAGTGATCTTAGAGCTGTCTGACTACAGATCCTTGGCCTCTCCCTCTGTGGTCTGAGGAAAATTCCCCTGACCTCAGCCTTGAGTCACCTCTGAGGTCGAGAGGTCTGCGGAGGCAGAGGAAGGCTGGGACACACCAGTGCACACCAGCTCAGCCATCTCCTGGCTCAGGAGCATCTCTAGAGCTTGCCGACACATCTCAGTTGGCAACCCTGGCCGCCCTCCCCTGCCTCCAGAGCCCCTATCCCTGTCATTCCCCAGCCTTGCCTGCTTAGGCTCAGAACTGAAATCCCAAGAAACAAAGAGGCGATTCAGGTGCAAATATCCCTAATGAATAAAGAAAGGAGATTCACTTGCCAGATTATTTAAGGCAAGTTGTCAAAGCCATTTCTCTTTAGCAAGCACGTTACTTCTGGGGGCGGGGAGTGCGGGGATGGGGGTGAGGGCCTGTAAAGGGCACCAGCCACTCTCCAAAGCCTGTCTTCAGATTCCCTCCTGGAACCAGTACCTGCAAGGAAGAATGGATGAGCAATTTGCAAAACATTACCACTGGCGGAGTGAGGAAAGCTCCTAGGAACAGGTTTATTTGACTAGACTCTGGGCAGACAGATTATAAACTTGCCTTGTCACCAGGAGACTAAAGATGAGGATACGAGACTCCTTGGACGTTTCCCAGCAGGCTGGGTCCCTCCCAGGACTCTGCTGATGTGTCTGCAGGAGGGCTACTGGCAACTCCCTGTGGCCACCACTACCACCACCACCTGCCCAGGGAGCTGCCTTAGGGGTAGTGCCGCTCAGGGTCCCAAGTAATTAGAAGCTGCATTGGACTCAAAGACCTTGTCCTGGTGCTTCTCCACTTTGGCTTAGAAACAGGCTGTGATGGAAAGGAAGACTCACAAGGCTGGGCCTCATTTCCTTTTTGGCCATTCTCACCTCCATTCCAACATCAAGACATTGTGCAGACCCCACATAACAGCAGCTAGCAATATTTTTATCATCTGTTGACTGAGGAACACACAAGGATAAACAGCTGATTTGAGTTTAGCATCGGTCTTCGATGCAACTTTCATTGATCATACTAGCTCCCAGAGACATAGAGCTATGAAAGTTACATCCATCTACAGACAGTGCTTGGTATACACACGGATCCAGGCACTCCTGGCAGTAAGAAAATCACCATCACTGGGCTAAACTCATGGTGTCGGCAGGACCAGGCTCCTTAAAGCTCAGGGGAGAAAACTTCCTTCTCCCTCCAGCTTCTGGTGGCTCTGGGTGCTGCTTGGCTTGTCACTGCATCATTCGCTCCAGTCTCTGCCTCCATCTTCACATGACCCTCTCCCCTGTGTGCCTCTTCTGTCTGTGTCTTCTCTTCTAAGGACACTTGTCATTGCATTTAGGGCCCACTGAGATCATTCGGGATCATCTCATCTTAAGATTCTTACCTTAATTGCATCCGTAAAGACACTTTTTTCAAATAAGTTCACACACCCTTGCTCATAAGCCTTTAAAGGCTCTCTGCTGCCTCTGAGATGCTGCCTGAGCTGCTCCATCTGGCACTCAACACTCCCCAGTCAGACCCCAGCCCTCCTCTGCAGCCCTCCTCTCTCTGCACCGCATCCTCCTCACACACATCTCTATCCTAACCTGGCCGCTTTGCTCCTCCAGCATACCCTGACTTCTCCTGCCCCTATGCCTCTATTCTTTCTTCCTCGCATAGAATACTCTTCCACACCTACCAGCCTCCTTTTCACTCTTCCAGGCTCAGCTCAAACCCTACTACCTCTGAGAAGCCTTCCCAGTCTGGCCGTGCTGAGAATGACTCCCTCCCTCTGCATGGTTCTTTCCAGAGGATTCATATCCAGATCACGGCCAACCCTGCGGCAAACTCACCTAATTAGGACTTCCTTTCTCCCTTGAGGGGATGGGGTTTTACTTTCCCTGGGATCTCTGACACCTTGTACACGATAGGGTATACAATGGATTTTTGTTGAATGGAAGTGGAGGCGATTTGTGCATCTCTTGTTGCCCCCATTGCTTAGTGGAGAAGAAAATTAACTATGTCCAAGAGGGGAGAAAAGGTACAAAAACGAGCTGAGAGAGAAGGGATTCAGAGTCACCCAGTATGACAGATGGCATTCAGAGATCCTGACTCCTGCCCTGGCCTCTCCCACTTCCCTCTACTACAGTTTAGAATCCCTAGGGCACCCCTTTGCCTCCTGCAGCACTTTGAAGGCCTGAAGTTGCCCTTGGCATAGACACTTGGGGTTCAGACTGTTGACATGTAACATGAGTGCAGATCTTGTTCAGATTGCCACAGCCTTTGCAGATGTCCCTGAAGTCCCCTTCCCACTTCTTCCTTGCTTTTTGCCAAGGGTAGACCTCTTCCTTTTGGCTCCTCTGGCTGTTGGGAAAGTAAGGCTGGTCCTTTCTGTCTGGACCTCATGCCCACAGCTAGAGGCCGCACCCAACCCCAACTAAGCAACACCTCTGGAGTCTGTCCCCAGAACCTCCCTGACTTGCCCCCACCACCCCAGGATGCATGGCCCCCAGGCAGCCATTCACTCTGCTCACTCAGGGACTTGCTCTCTTTGTCCACAGTTTCTTTTTGACTTCCTAGGCTCTTCACACCTGCCTCCATTGGAGTACCAGCTCAAGGGCTCCATCCTGCAGCCACTATGGAGGGGGGGAGGGGTGGGCAGAGCATGAACTGTAACATCAGCCCTGGGTTCACATCCCAGCCCTCTGCTTTTTGCTAGTTGTGACCTGCTTTGAGCCTCATTTCCCGATGGACACATTCATTCACTTATTCAGAAAAAGGAGAAGGAAGGAAGGAAGAGAGAGAGAGAGAGAGAGAGAGAGAAAAAGAAGGGAAAGAAGAAAGAGAGAGAGAAGGAAAGAAGAAAGAAAGAAAAAGAAAGAAAGAAAAAAAGAAAAAGAAAGAAAGAAAGAAAAAGAAAAAGAAAGAAAGGAAAAGAAAAGAGAAAAGAAAAGAAAAAAGATCTTTATGGAGCACCTACCAGGTACCACACCTACGGTGTGCTAGACATCAGCAGCAGCAGCAGTGTAACAGTGCAAAGGACAAAATCCCTGCCCTCAAGGGGCTCCCCTTCTGGTGAGGTGCTAGCCATGTGAATAAGCAGACTAGAATGGGACAGAGGGTACAGGGTTGTGCCATGCCCTGTGCTCTGATGTGACTACTGGGCTCCTCAACAACTCCCACTGTCAAGCATTATATTCCAAGAGCACAGTGAAGGGTTAGGGACTAGAGAATTCTTACTTGCAATAAAAAGTCATTTTCCCTGCAAGGATTTCAATAAGAGAGATTTTTGGGAAAAAATAATAGCTATGGGTGTATTTGGCCATTGCAAAAGATAATCAGCTGCTCCAAATGCATAGAACAGCCTTAAGTACCACAGGACCTGCCTTCAACAGCAAATACAGCCACAGTCAAGTTTGTGTGCCCTCGAGTTTAATATGGTGTGATTGATAAACTGCACATAATTTAATAGTTTTTCAGGAAGAAAGAGAGAATCAGCAACATGGCATTGAAGGTACCCGTTGACAGTGACGTGCATCACAGCATTAACAGGTGAGGAAAGCATGCGGCTCTGAAAACCCTCTCCTTGCAGCCCAGCTCACGACCCACAAAGGCCTGCGGTGAGGCCAGTCACTCTGCTAGCACAGCCAGTTTGTCTGTCAGTCACAGGCAACAGTCTTCCTCCTGCCCCCTCCCTGCCCCCATAGCCCCAGTTCCCAACTCTGATCATGTTATAACCAAGAGCAAAATGTGATGCTTCTCTGTTCTGGCAGGAGAAATGCTTGTGTGTGCAAATGGGAGACAAAGGAAAGGGACCACCACATCCATGGAGTGCACCGCGTGAGAGAAATGCTCAGGAAGGGAATTGACCAGATTGGCTGTGGAGAGAAAAGAGAAGGAACATGGGAGGCAGAGGTATACCCAGGCTTCTGGCAGGTTACGGAGACCTGTACCCAGGAAAGAAACAACAGTCGGCAGGGGAGCTCCAGGTCTGGATCCGCCTTGAGCAGGGATCATTGTGTGTGCCTGAAGCTCCGTTTTCCATGGCCAGCTCTATTATGAGGGCTCAGGGGAGCTGGGTTAGGCTAGCCATGTCCCATTCCTGAAAGGCCAGCTCTGGGTCAGAAATGTGACCTCTCTCTCCTAAAGCCCCAGAGACTGAGTGCTCCTTGTGCATCTCCCTAAATCCTGTTGTTTGTCCAGGCTCTAGCTGGGTCCCCCTTAGCAGCCCGCTCAGCAAGGCAGGCCTGGAGTCCCACCACTGGGGCTTCTCTCTCAGTTGGTTCCACCTCTCCTAGCTGAGCAACCAGGCTTTCACTGCTGAATGTCTGAGCCAGCTCCATCGTACAACAGGAGTGAGGGAAGTACCTGCTTCACAAGGTTGTCATAGCCATCAAATGGGATCACACTCTAAAGGCAGGTAGGGCAGTGCCTGCATGGCACTTGGTGGATGGTCAATAAGACTTTATCCTTCTTCCTTCATCTTCCTCTTCCTCCTTCCTGTTTCCCCTCCTCTCCTTGGTATTGTTGCTATTTTGTATTGGTTTCTGTGCCTACTGTAACAAATTACCATAAACTTCGTGGCTTAAAACAGTGACAACTTATTCACTGATGCAGAAATGTATTTATTCATTTATTCTCCAACAGTTCTGGAGGCCAGAAATCAGAAATCAAGGTGTCAGCAGTTCCAAGCTCCCTGCGAAGGCTCTAGGGGATAATCCTTCCTTGCTTCTTCCAGCTTCTGGTGGATCCAGGTGTTCCTTTGGCTTGTGGCCGTATCACTCCAACCTCTGGCTCCATCTTCACCCTTACCTACTTCCCTGTGTATCTTGAATCTCCTGCCACTCTCTTATAATGACACGTCATTGGATTTAGTGCCTATTTGGATAATCTGGGATGGTATCTCAAGATCCTTAATTACATCTGCAAAGACCTTTTGCCAAATAAGGTCATATTCACAGGTGCCAGGTAGACATATCTTTGTGGGGCCACCATTCAATATACTACAGTATGAATATTAGGTTTTCTTGTCAACCCCAGATTCTCAGGCCCAGCCACCTGCATTTTCCCTGAGCTGAGCCTCTTCAGAACACTCATGGAGCTACGTGCCTATGGCCACAGTGGGAAGCAAGACCACAGCTTGTATCAGGTCTCCAGAACTTGTGGCACAGGGCCTTGGCCATCAGGTGACCCAAGCCTTTTACTGGCCTAGCAGGGGAAACTAAGCACCGCCCCCTGTTCCCACGCAGGAGACAGTAAGTCTCATGCTCTTTCCTGCTTGCTTTCAGCAGGTATCTAGAGGGCATCTCCCATAGGTCCAGCCCAGCCTGACTGCTGGGACACAGTGTTATTAATTAATTAATAACCAAAACCTCCTAGGCATCTCCCTGGCAGCCCCAAGGCCATCTTCCTGCCCCTGCCCTCAGGGCTCCACAGGCTTTGCTAAGGGCATGCAAACAGGCTCTCCCATTGCCGAGTGGACTGGGGCCACAGTGGGCCCTAAAGCACAGAGGGTGGGAAGAGCTTATCCTAGCCTTGGAGCTAAAGTCCTGGATTCAAATCCTGAGGACCATGTCTGTCACCTTAGACCATGCCCTCAAGGTAAAATAGCAGCTGTGAGCCCTGATGAGGTTGTGAAGCCCATACAGGGAGGGGAGTGCAAGCATTTTACAACCTGCAAAGGGCCATGCAGGAGACAGTCTTAAGAGATGCCAGGCCACTCTTCCCACCTGCATAGCCTAGGGGCTGGGATTGACCTTTCTCCTGCATCAGACAGGACAAACAAATGCCCCCCATGCTGGGAAAAGCCAGGACTCTGAGAGAAAGGCAGACCTTGAGGGCGGGGATGGGAGGATGCCCGTGCAAAGCTTAGCCCCCCTCCTCACACTTTTCTAAGAACGCAGTGATGGAACAGAACAAGAGAAAGACCATGTCTTTCACCAAAGGGGGGAGGGGACAACCCAGTGACCAATTTCAGTGATTAGCTGCAAGAAGAGGGTCCTTTATTCCAGGCGTGTGTATGCCTTTTAATTTCCTCTTGTGGGCTCCTGAGGGGGCCCAGTAACCGTGCAATTGGTATTCCTCTCCAGCCTTGGAGGATGCGGGCACTCTCTCGGAGATGGCTCCAGGTGGCACAGAGTGCCACCTGCACTCCCAGCTTCCCGATTAACTACTCTGCAGCAGACCTCCACAGGGCGATGAAGGGGAGGTGATAAGCTGGCCCAGCTCTGCCCTGGAGCCCAGGTGGGTCTTCTCCCGCCCGGAGGCAGCAGCGGCAGCATTAGGGAGGTGCGAGTTGACCCTACCTCCTACCTGCTTTGTGCTAAACCAAAACAAAAACCGGTGTCAAAGGGGCTTGGCCCCCTTCAGCAATTGAAGGCATAGAAGTTACACACCGGGCCAATTAGGGAGTGGAAATTTGCATTACAAGAAGACCCTTTGCTTCACAAAAGTAGTTCTCATAAGATTGCAATAGATGGCACCCAGGGGGGTTAAAGATTCAATTTTCAAAACCGAGTTTTGCCCACAACTCTTTCGCAGCACGTTCTGTTGTGGAAAACCAGTCTCCAGACTGACTTTTGACCAGCCTTCCAGCCCCAAGATTTGTTGTTTACCAAAGGATACATGCCATCCTTATACTATCTCATACTCAACCCCCTTCTTTGCTATGCCCGGGGCAATTGCTCCAAAACAGATATGGCTCCTCCCAGGCTGGCACCTGGCTCCCGGAGGTAGTCACAGTGGACAAGTATCTAGGCCTGGGGTGGAGAG
Organism: Homo sapiens; assembly: GCF_000001405.40. Lineage (NCBI taxonomy): Eukaryota > Metazoa > Chordata > Mammalia > Primates > Hominidae > Homo > Homo sapiens. The sequence goes on from NC_000023.11 coordinate 150,226,465, forward strand.
TACGAGCTAGACCTGAGTCCCAGTCCTGCTGAGCCATCTCAAGTTGCAGGGCCTGTCCCCTCTTTCAGGCCTGAGTGTCCACATTTATAGAACAAGGGAAGGTTGATAGAAGAATCTCCCAAAGTGTTTTTCATTCTAGGAGTTCATTCCTAGGCATTGCTGGGTGGCCCTGGGGATACTCTTGACCTATGAAGTAAGATAGGGACATTGCCTTAGATAACGCCAATAATAATACACAGGGGAAAATCCAAATGCCTGCGTGCAAGTACTTTAGCCCTTGTACCATTTACAGATGCTGAAGGTGCAGCGGTGGGGATGGCCTGTGTCCCTACAGAAAGCACATCTTACAAGTCACACGCCTCACCATCTAAGTGCTCAGCTTTCTGAAACCTGCTCATTCAGAACATATGAACCTCATGCTGTGGTATTCCAGGTCTCAGCTTGGCAAGCTCAATGATGTTTTCATTCCAATCAGTGCTGAATACAAACAGACCCTTATCCCTAAATTGTGAAATTTAGAGAAAAGTAGAGTCTCAAGGTGCAAAATTTGAACCTCACAAAATTTAACTAAACCGAAGTTTGGGATATAGTAAGAGCTCAAGGAAATGGCTTCTAATTGCTCATTGGGAATAGATTTTTGAGATTAAAACAAATTTTTCAAACCTGTCCAGACTCAGAGGCTTGGGAGTGAACAGTTGTCACTTAACTTTATGGCAGTGGTGGCTGGAAGCTCGCCCACCCTGATTCTTTGTTCTCCCTCCCATAATTGCTCAAACTGAGAGGTCTGTAGGCACCTTAAGGATTCAAAGTGATTTGTGAAAGTTGTAAAGTCCAAGCCTCAACTAGAGAGTTGTTCTTGGAGGTAGGAAGTTTGAGGGACTTAAAATGAACTGGGGGGAAAAAGGCAACAGAGGAAGAGTGAGAACAGAGAGAGAGAAAGGCTCAGAGGAAGGAAGATAGGGGAGGGGGGGAGAGAAGGAGAGAGAGAACGTGAACATTTCCTGGTGATTTTAATTTTCACATCACAAAACACCGCACGTCTGTCAACCGTTATATTTCCTGTGCAGCCTTCTGTGACCACATGGAGTACCTCAGGGAGGGAAGAAAATAGAATTCATTCCTTTCTACCCCCAGCCTGATCTGCCCACAGCTGTTTGGGCACAAAGGAAGGAGGGTAGAGCTCTGGAAAATTGCCAAGAGCGCCTCCTCTCTCCAAGGGGAATGACCAATTTTCACCGCCACTGGAAGGGTGTGAGCTGTCCCAAACTGCCCTCTGGGATTATGCTTACTCGGTTCCACAGGAACATTTAGAGAGACAGAGGTTGCCTTGGGTTATCAGGGCCACAGGCTTCCTGGGTCTGCTTTTGGCACCTAGGATTCCATGAAGAGGGACTGACAGAACCTGAGAGCTGAAAAGCACCTCAAGAAGTCATCGGTCCAGTCTTGCCTCTAAGGACTCTCCATCTCAATCAGCAGGACCCTCACCCAGTCAGCAATGGATCAAACGTCCCAGCTTCTGGGGCCAAAGACAGGCCTCTGCCTCCATGCTCCTAGTCCCTTCCTTGAAGCGGTCGGATAATCACATGACGAGCCTCAAGCAAGGGACTTCAAGCTGGTGGCTTCCAGCAGCTAGCTTCCTGCTTCCGAACCATCATTGCCTCCTATTGAAGTCCTCCCATCCTCCACTCCCACATCTATCCAGGCCCTGGGAAACTTTGCCAAGAAGCAGATGATGGCGTCTGCCTTTGCCTGGGTGATGAGATGACTGGCTTCTGTCCCAGTTCTGCCACTCACCAGATGGATCAGTTTCTCATTGCTGTTATAACAAATTACCACCAACATAGTGGCTTAAAACAATGCAAATTTACTATTATACTTTTGGAGGTCAGAGGTCCAAAACAAATCAGTTTCACTGGCCTAAAATCAAGGTGTCAACAGGGCTGGATGCTTTTGGAGGCTCTGAGGGGAGAATCCATTACTTTGCCTTTTTCAGGTTGGCCACCTGTATTCCTTGGCTCATCACCCCCTCCTCCATCTTCAAAGCACATCGTTTCAATCTCTTTCTTAAGGTATCTTGCGGAGGAGGTCCCAGAGGCACCAAAGGGGTGACAAGCACAGATTGCTTTAACTGCTACTCAGAGAATGACTCTGCGCCAAGCCCTGTGCTGAAGGCTTTACACTCACAATCCTTGATATACACATGGAGCTCTTGTCATCACATCCCTTTTTCTTCTGTCTGTGCCAAATCTCCTTCTGCCTTCCTCTTATAAGGACACTTGTGATTGCATTCACAGCCTTCCCAGATAATCTAGGACAACCTTCTCACTTCAAGATCCTTAACTTAATTACATACACAAAGTCCCTTTTGCCATATAAAGTCATATTCACAGGTTCCAGGGGTTAGGATGTGGACATCTTTGTGGGCCATTATTTAGCCTACCATACCAGTAATAGGTCTTTGGCAAGTAAAGTCACCTCACCTCTCTGAACCTTACTTTCCTCATTTGTTCAGAGGGGAGAAGACTCCTGCCCTGCTGACTTCCTGGGCGCCCTAGGAGGTTCCAGTAAGAGAGTGAATGTGATGACATTGTATGCTGTTGAGTGAACACCAGAATAAGTGCTGAGCCTGGTTCTTGTTGCCCTTCTTATGAAGCTGTGGTCCCCTCAGTTCAGTCACCCAGTGCTATCTTCCTCTCTGGAGCCTTTCCTCTGTGGCCTTTTCCAGGCATGTCTTGATGAATGTACTCCAAGTTAAATGTGTCACTAAGCCAACTGGCTCCTCCTACCCTCTCCCAATGATTGAGCGTATAGAGTGGCTATGCTGACTTTGGATCCCAGGCACTGGCAAGTGAACACCTTAGTTGGTTAAAATATCCCTTCCCACTCTGCTGTGTTATGGTTTCAGTGAGACCCATGTGTATATGAAGAAGATTGTGAGTGTAGAGCCCTCAGCACAGGGCTTGGCACAGAGTTGTTGTTCTCTGAGTGGCAGTTAAAAATGTCTGTGCTTGTTGCCCCTTTTGGTGCCTCTGGGACCATCCTTTACCCCCTCCTCTGCAAGATACCTTAAGACCACAGCTAGCAGTCACAGCAGCAAGTGCAAGCACCTTTTGACATTTATGCCATCCTGGCCCTCTGCCAGTTGCTATCCATATCACTTTGGTTGGCCAAGCCCCATTGTCAGCCTCAGCTGGCCAGCATTCTTGGAGACAGGTCACAGTTTGTTCAACAGCTGATAAGAGGTGTGTAAGGGGCATCAAAGGCTCTGAATGGAGAGGTGGAAAAAGCCCCTGGGTGCATGGCCCTGGATGACTCTTGGGGTTTAGAAGAGACCACGGAGATGACCAATGACCAACAAGCTTTCAAAGGGAAATGCTTGCCTCTACCAAACTCAGGGGAAGTCATATCTTCTATCACCCCGGCGGGGGGCTTCAGTTAAGCTTGTGAGAAGCTGAGAGCAGAAAGACCTTTTCTGAACCTGATGTTCCCACCCCTCATCATGCCACTGTGGAGACAGGATCTACAGGGAACAGGGAGAACTTGGCCATTATTTCCCAAGACAGCCAGGCTGGCAGCTTCCACTACAGGTGCTGCTCTTCTCATTCCTGATCTTCTGAGCACACCATCATTCCCCAGGGCCTTCCACAGCCATCTTCTCTGCTGGGGTGTCCCATAACCTTTTTATGAGTCCCAGATGACCTTGATTCCAAAACCTGACAAGGATATTGCAAGAAATGAACATTATAGACCAATTCCTCTCATGAACATAGTTCCACAAACTCTTAAGATATTAGCAAACCAAATCCAATACATATACACATACAATATTTATTGTTACATTTATATATATACATATAACATATACATACATGAATATAAATACATATCTCCCTTCCCTTTCCATTAATATGTATGTGCATATATATATATATATGTATGTCCAGTCATATATATTCATATATGTTCATTGTCCCATTCATGTGTGTATGTGCAGACAGAGAGGACTTCATCTTCATAGTTCTTCTGGTATTTTCAGGGTTCACCTCCCAAATAAATTATTTGTACTCCAATTCCTGACCTAGTATCAGCTTCTGGGGAAATACAATCTAATTCAACAACTAATTAAGGTTTATTGTAGGCATGTGAGATGTGAGGGTGGTTAACTATTTAGAAAATCAACCAATTGGATTAATCTTATTAACAAAGAAAAAGGAGGAAGTCATACAATCATTTGAATTGGTGCAGAAAAGCATTTGAGAACATTCAACAGCCATCCTTAATAAAACACCAAAAAACAAACAAAAATCTCTTAGAAAACTAAGAAGGGAACTTTCTTTCTTTCTTTCTTTCTTTCTTTCTTTCTTTCTTTCTTTCTTTCTTTTTAGTACAAACTTAGGGCTCTTTATTCAGGTAGTAAAGTAAGGAACAGCAAAGTGGGAGGGCTACACCATCACCATGGCAACAGAAAGCCTCAAAAACATAAAGTCCCTCGACTTATGTCGGGTAGACTCTTCCTAGCTCAGGAGAAACACATTTTAACTGGCTGAGGACAAGGCCAGGCAGCCTGGCCTCACTGTGGAAGGGCAGCTGGACGCATGGCCTCTGGTCAATCCTGGAAGTGCTTGGTGAGGGCTTCCAGCAGCTCCTGCTTCTTCAGCCCACTCTTCAGCCCGTAAGCCCGGCAGGCCTCTTTCAACATGGGCACAGTGAACTTGCCCAGCGTGCCCTTGCTAATGTGGGTCTTCAGCTCCTCTTCTGAATACTCCACCTTGGGCCTTTTGCTTCCAGAACCTTCATTATCATGTTTTCTCTTGGTAACTTTCCCTTCAAGATTGTAATCTGGTGGGTGAACAAGCTCCTTAAACTCATCCACCAGGGAGCCCAGTCTTCTATTTATTGCTTCAACCTTGGGCAATGTCAGGTCCACTGCTTGTTCTGGCTCCATCAAATCCAAGGCCAAGGCCTCCAGGTTCCTGAAGTGCTGCTGCAGCACGGGGTTCTCAAAGCTGTCACTTCTGTACGTGAAGCGAAGCTTCTCAATGATAGCCTTCATCTTGTCCACCTGCTCTGGAGTTGCCGTGACTTTTTCAGTAAAGGGCATCTTCCTTTTATCATCAGCAAAGGGTAAAAAGACCAGCTGGAAGCCCGGAGGAGTCACCTGAATTTTCTGGTCATCCAACACTTCTTCCTGTGTCACCAAAGCCACAAAATAAGGGGGGATGTTCCTGCGGGGTGTGTATCTGCACAATGCTGCAACCTCCTTCTCCAGACACTTGATGAGCAGAGCACTGAACAGGGTTGAGCTCCCAATCACCAGCGACTCCTCTGGGTACACAGACAGGGAGGGCCTCAGGTAATGGCGTTTCTTCAGCAGTACCAATGGCTTGAAACCCATGAGCATCAAACCTGGATCATCAAACCGTTTTAGCTCTTCTGTTTCCTCTTTCTCCAGTATAATCTGACGACTCCCATAGATCTGAGACCACTTGGTATCGCTAGGCAGAAGCAAATCGTCTGTACTTGTATTAAAGGTCCGGGTCTTGGTTTTCACTGGTTCATTTATTTCCCTATAGAGCTTTATTGGAGGAGGCTTGAGAGCCTTCTGGACCAGATTATAAATGCCCACAGAGATCACTATATCTTTGTTGAGCTTCAGCTTTAACCTGCTGAGTGCTCGCTTCCTGGTCTCTTTGGCGTGAACCTTCTGCAACAGGTCTTCTAGCTTGCTGGATTCCTCAAAGTGAACCCTGAGGTCCTCATCCTCTGCTATGCTGATGATATCTCTGTAGAACAAGGATATGTCAAAGCCTCCAGGTTTCTTCAGATGCATCAAGTCAAGGAAGATGCCTGTATCTCGGAGATCACCGGCTTTGGTCCTGGCCTGGCTGGCTTTGGCACTCTCATTGCCATGGGGGTTGTCTTCATTGGTGAAGAGCGTGATCTTCGTATGACTCATCTTGAATTGGACATCACTAAAGAGGTTGGCACAGACCCACAGCACTTCACTGAGTGAGTAGTCAGATCCATGGCCCATCAGGTCTTGGAAACGTTTTTGTCCCTGCTGCCCCTTAAACTGGTCAAGCTCTAGAATTCATTTTGCACCTGGATTATCCAGCTCCTATAAGACATAAATATTTTTAAAATTCACTGAATTTTTGTCTTTCTCGGTACCGTAGAACACCACAGCCAAGAGATCTCGATCACTGCTTATGATCTTACTGATGTACACACTTTGAATACACTGGATGCTCATGTCAAAAGGTGTCAATTCATCTTCACTAGGAGATTCAAACATAGCCTTGGAGGCATCAACCAAAAAAATCAAACTATCTCTTTCTGAATATTTATAGTCTCCTCTTGCTTCAAGGTTCTCTTCTTGTTCTTCTTCAGCTTCTTCACTGCCCTCGGTTTTGTAATATGACTCCCACCCTGACAAGTTGGCTACTGCTTACTTTGGCTAAGAAGGGAACTTTCTGATCTGATAAGGAGAAGTCACACACAAAAAAACCCTACAGCAGCCATCGTAATTAACAGTGAAGTATTAAAATCCTTCGTCATAGATTGAGAATGAGAAAGCGTTTCCTACTATTACCACTTCTGTTTCATGTTATATCAGAGGTCCAATGTAGTTCAATAATCTAAGGAAATGGGAGAAAAGCATAAGGATCAGAATAGAATACATAAATCTATTATTCACAAACTACATGATTGGGTCCA